>NC_000011.10:47635757-47938787 GCF_000001405.40 Homo sapiens | reverse complement strand
CACTGCAGCCTCCGCATCCCAGGTTCAAGTGATTCTCCTGCCTCAGCCTCCCAAGTAGCTGGGATTACAGGCATGTGCCACAACGCTTGGCTAATTTTTGTATTTTTAGTAGAGACGGGGTTTCACCATGTTGGCCAGGCTGGTCTTGAACTCCTGACCTCAGGTGACCCACCCACCTTATAAGCCTCCCAAAGTGCTGGGATTACAGATGTGAGCCACCACACCCGGCCTACATCCCTACTATTGCCAAACACTCATAGCTGTAGGCACTGGTGTGATGAACAAGAGAAATTTCTATCCTCATGCAGTTTACATTCTAGAGGGAAAAATGGACAATAAACAAGCAAACACAGGAGTACGATTATTGCAGACAGTGATGAGGGCCAGGCTGTGATAGCAGGAGCACACACAACGTCATGAATCAGGGTGCAGTGACAGAAAGGCACTGGGGCTGCGCTGGACCTAGTGGTCAGGAAGTCTTCTCTGTGGGCACACATTTAAGGAAGACCTGAGTAGGAAGGGGACAGCCATGCAGAGACCTGGAAGCAGAGTGTTCCAGACAAAAGAAAAAGCAAATGCAAAGGCCCCTGAAAACAAGCTTCTCATGTCCTCGGGGTGAATTGAAGGAAGTAACGAGGGCAAGGGAGATTGGTAGGAGATAAGGTCAGGAAGGTGGGCAGGGGCCAGCTCAAACAGCCTGGCCAGGAGCTTTGATTCTATTCCAAGTGCAGCAGGAAGCTGATAAAAGATGATCACACAGGCCGGGCATGGTGGCTCACGCCTGTAATCCTAGCACTTTGGGAGGCTGAGGTGGGCAGATTGCTTGAGCCCAGGAGTTTGAGACCAGCCTGGGCAATATATGGAAATCCCATTTCTACAAAAAAATTTAAAAATTAGCTGGGCGTGGTGGCATGCTTCTGTAGTCCCAGCTACTCGGGAAGCTAGAGCGGAAGAATCACTTGAGCCCAGGAGGTCGAGCCTGCAGAGAGCCGAGATTGCGCCACTGCACTCCAGCCTGGGTGACAGAGTGAGACTCTGTCTCAAAAAAAAAAAAAAAAAGAGGTCATGGCACAGTGGCTCATTCCTGTAATTCCAGCATTTTGGGAGGCCAAGGCAGGCAGATCACTTGAGCCCAAGAGTTTGAGATCAGCCTGGGCAACACAGCAAAACCCCGCCTCTACACAAATACAAAAATTAGCCAGGCATGGTGACATGTGCCTGTAGTACAGCTATTTGAGAGGCTGAGGCAGGAGGATCACTTGATCCTGGAAGGTCAAGGCTGCAGTGAGCTGTGATCACACCACTATACTCCAGCCTGGGTGACAGAGTGAGACCCTGTCCCCCCAAAATTTTTTTTTTAAGTAAAAAGATGTTCACAGAAGAGTGAAATGATCTATGTTTTAAAAGATGATTCTAGCTATTGTGTGGAGAATGAACTATGAAAAGTGTAAAAGAAGTAAGGAGACCAGGCCGGGCGCAGTAGCTCATGCCTGTAATCCCAGCACTTTGGGAGGCTGAGGCGGGTGGATCACTTGAGGTCAGAAGTTTGAGACCAGCCTGGCCAACATGGTGAAACCCCGTCTCTACTAAAAATCCAAAAAAAAAAAAAAAAAGTAGCCGGGCATGGTGGCGGGTGCCTGTAATCCCAGCTACTCAGGAGGCTGAGGCAGGAGAATCGCTTGAATCCCGGAGGCAGAGGTTGCAGAGCCAAGATCTCGCCACTGCACTCCAGCTTGGGCTATAGAGTGAGAGCCTGTCTCAAAAAAAAAAAAAAAAGAAAGAAAGAAAAGAAGTAAGAAGACCAGGTGAGGGGTGATGTGGCCTGAAGGCAGGTGGCAGTGCAGATGGAGAGAAGTGGAGGAATCACGGACGTTTCTGGAAGTAGAGCTAACAAGACCAGCTGGTGGATTCTTTAGAGGAGACACAGGGTAGTGGGGATAGGAGGAGTCAACATTTTAGGCTCATGGCCCTCCTTAACAAGAGTGGATGCTTTTCCTCCCCTCTTTATTTTCTCTTCATATCCTCTCTCTACTCTGCTTTCTTTTCATCTCTAAACCTATCCATTTTTCTTTTCTTCTTCTTCTTCTTTTTTTTTTTTTTTTTTTTTGAGGCCGAGTCTCACTCTGTTGCCTAGGTTGGAGTGCAGTGGCGAGATCTCAGCTCACTGCAACCTCCACCTCCCAGGTTCAAGCAATTCTCCTGCCTCAGCCTCCCGAGTAGCTGGGACTACAGGCACTCACTACCACACCCGGCTAATTTTTTTTTTTTTGTATTTTTAGTAGAGACATGGTTTCACCATATTGGTCAGGCTGACCTTGAACTCCTGAACTCAGGTGATCCACCCACCTCAGCCTCCCAAAGTGCTGAATTACAAGCATATGCCTGGCCTTTTCTTTCTTTAAAAAAAAAAAATAGAAAAACGGGTCTCGCTATGTTGCCCAGGCTGGTCTTCAACTCCAAGGCTCAAACAATCTTCCCACCTCGGCCTCCTAAAGTGCTGGGATTACAAGTATGAACCACCACTCCTGGCCTCCATTTTCACAGAAGACTCACACCCCCCTCCCCCATTTGGGGGCACCTTCCTTTTCTGTTCTTTTCAGTCCTAAGAATCTTCCTTCACTGAATCTCTGGCTCCTGCTGGGTATATATCCAACAGTACATATTGGATGGATTTCTCTTTTGATGGCTGTGTTGTGGCTCCCCTACTAGGGATCAATTCTTTAAGGGTAGGTGGGACAGAATGGCATGTTAGCTATGGGCACTGTCAGAATCTCATTTTTTAGTGCTGTCAGACAAGTGGCTGACTTATCTGAGCCTCAACTTGAGCTAAAAAAAAAAAAACGGGGAGGGATTGTATAATTACGTAGATAATGTATATAAAGTGCTTAGGACTGTGCCTGGCACATTAGTAAGACTTCAAGGAATGATAGCTGTGGCTATTACAGTTGTCCCTCACTATCTGTGAGGGATTGGTTCCAGGAATGCGCCCCAACCCATATCAAAATCCATGGATGCTCAAGTCCCTGAAATGGTGTCATATTTGCATATAACCTACACACAGCCTCTCAAATACTTTAAATCATCTCTAGATTACTTTTTTTTTTTTTTGAGACGGAGTCTCGCACTGTCACCCAGACTGGAGTGCAGCAGCGCGATCTCGGCTCACTGCAACCTACACCTCCTAGGTTCAAGCGATTCTCCTGCCTCAGCCTCCCTAGTAGCTGGGAGTACAGGCGTGTGCCACCATAGCCAGCTAATTTTTGTATTTTTAGTAGAGACGGGGTTTCACAATGTTGGCCAGGATAGTCTCGATCTCTTGAACTCGTGATCCGCCTGCCTCGGCCTCCCAAAGTGCTGGGATTACAGGCCTGAGCCACCGACACACGGCCTAGATTACTTATAATACCTAATACAATGTAAATTGCTATGTAAATAATTGTTATACTGTATCACTTGGGGAATAATGACAAGGGGGAAAAGTCCATGCATATTCAGTACAAACTCAACCATCCCTGCCTTCAATATTTTCCATACTCAATTCCACCTTCAATATTTTCCATACTGATTGTTGGATCCACTAAGGCAGAACCCAGGAACATGGAACTCACAGATACAGAAGGCCAACTATATTTGTTTTGATTTGTTTTTTTGAGATAGAGTCTTGCTCTTTTGCCCAGGTTGGAGTGCAGTGGTGCCATCTCTGCTCACTGCAACCTCCACCTCCCAGGTTCAAGCGATTCTCCAGCCTCAGCCTCAAGAGTAGCAGCTGGGATTACAGGCGCGTGCCACCATGCCCAGCTACTTTTTGTATTTTTTAGTAGAGACGGGGTTTCGCCATGTTGGCCAGACTGGTCTCAAACTCCTGACCTCAGGTGATCCGCCCACCTTGGCCTCCCGAAGTGCTGAGATTATAGGCGTGAGCCACCACGCCCCACCCCAACTGTATTTGCAAGGCATTTGTGCTACTTGTAGCTATGACTTTGACCAAGTTGTTTTCCCACTTTGAGTCTCAGTTTGCACATCTGTAAAATGGGATGTGGTTAGCATTCAGCTCTAAGATTCTTGGTACTTTTGTTATACTTGTTAACACTTTAATCCACTTTAAATAACGTTACCCAAAACCCATGTGATATGGTTTATTCTTCGTAATGTTGTACCGCCCTCTATTGGAGATACTCTGCCAGCATTTGTCGGAGCCTTAAATCAGCAGATGCTTAAATGAAGGCCCAGGCCTCCTAATTTATATTCTGAAAACAATCTCTCCTTAAGTAACATCTCTTCCCCCGTAGCTATGGGTTATTTTTACAAAAACAAACTTTGTTTTTGCATTTTAAAATTCTGTCCTCATTTTATTCCTTTTCTGAGGACCTTGTCAAAGTTCAAGGATTTTATAAATTAACATTTATTTTGACATAATTTTAGATTTACAGAAAAATACTACAAGAATATTACAAGAATAACAGTATATCCTTCACCCAAATTACCCAAATGTTAACATTTTACTGACTGCATTTGCTTGATCAATTTCTCTCTCCACACACATACAGGCATACATATGTATGTAATATGTTCATATTCTTTTTTTTTTTTTTGAGATGGAGTCTAGCTCTTGTTGCCCAGGCTGGAGTGCAATGGCGCGACCTCAGCTCACCAACCTCTGCCTCCCGGGTTCAAGTGATTCTCCTGCCTCAGCCTCCCGGGTAGCTGGGAGGAGGGTTGATCGGGAGAAACCGCCTTAGTTCACTTCTCTTCTGTTCCTGCGAGTGGCACCATCCCAGGTCTGTTCTGTCCCAGAAGAGGACTGCCACTGCGTTGTTCATTAGACTCAGGTGACACAGACAGTTCAGGACAACCCAGTGGTAAAATCATGGTTTTTTTTTTAATCCATTCCTTGGGCCGGGCTCGGTGGCTCATGCCTGTAATCTCAGCACTTTGAGGGGCCGAGACGGGCAGATCACAAGATCAGGAGTTGGAGACCAGCCTGGCCAACTTGGTGAAACCCCATCTCTATTAAAAATACAAAAATTAGCATGGCATGTGCCACCATGTCTGTAGGGATGGGGTTTCTTTCTCTATATTGGTCAGGCTGGTTTCGAACTTCCTACCTCAGGTGATCTGCCCGCCTTGGCCTCCCAAAGTGCTGGGATTACAGGCGTGAGCTACTGCACCTGGCCAAATCTGGGTTTTCTTTCTTTTTTTTTTTTGAGATGGAGTTTTCCTTTTGTTGCCCAGGCTGGAGTGCAATGGCACGATCTCAGCTCACTGCAACCTCCGCTCCCGGGTTCCAGCGATTCTCCTGCCTCAGCCTCCTGAGTAGCTGGGATTACAGGCATGCGCCACCATGCCCTGCTAATTTTGTATTTTTAGTAGAGATGGGGTTTCTCCATGTTGGTCAGGCTGGTCTTGAACTTCTGACCTCAGGTGATCTGCCCACCTCAGTCCCTCAGTCTCCCAAAGTGCTGGGATTACAGGCGGGAGCCACCGTGCCCAGCCCTTTTTTTTTTTTTTTTTTTTTTGAGACGGAGTCTCACTCTTGTTACCCAGGCTGGAGTGCAATGGTGGGATCTCTGCTCACTGCAATCTCCACCTTCTGGGTTCAAGCGATTCAAGCGATTCTCCTGCCTCAGCCTCCTGAGGAGCTGGGATTACAAGCATGCGCTGCCACACCCAGCTAATTTTTGTATTTTTTGTAGAGATGAGGTTTCACCATGTTGGCCAGGATGGTCTTGATCTCCTGACCTAGTGATCCATCTGCCTCGGCCTCCCAAAGTGCTGGGATTACAGATGTGAGCCACCGCGCCTGACTGGAATCTGGGGTATTTTTATAATTACTTAAAAATATATATATAATTTAAATAATTTTCATTTGCATAGCACTTAATTTGCAAAGCTCACACATCTCATATCTATAATACTAAGTAAATGATAATAATGACAATTTATTGAAAGCTTACTATGAGTCAGGTGCTATGCTGTAAGCTTTACATGGATTCCCTTTTAGTCAGCTACTCTTTGAGGTAGGTACTATTGTTAACTCCATTTTACAAGAAGAAACTGAAATTCAGAAAGGGTAAGTCACCTGCCCAAGATCAAACAGCTTCTAGGTGTCTGACTCTAGAGCAAGAATCTGACTCTAGAGACTTAACTTAATACTACTTCATAGTACACTGCTATGTAATTGCTAGGAAAAATAGGTACTCTTATGCAAACTCAGCTACATTCATCTTACTTGCATGTTGTCTGTTAAAGGTTATTTTCCATATCAGATGAATGTGTTTAATATGAAAAATGTCTTGCTTTGGTTAGTAACTTTCCACCAACACTCAGGCACGTGCTCTTTTCTAAAAAGCAAACACACAAAATAAATAACAGTAGCTAGGCAATATTCAGTCATTTCTTTTCTTTTCTTTTCTTTTCTTTTTTTTTTTTTTTGACACAGAGTCTAACCCTGTTGCCCAACCTGGAGCGCAATGGCCCGATCTCGGCTCACTGCAACCTCCACCTCCCAGGTGCAAACCATTCTCCTGCCTCAGCCTCCCAAGTAGCTCAGATTACAGGCGCTCACCACCATGCCCAGCTAATTTTTGTATTTTTAGTAGAGACAGGGTTTCACCATGTTAGTGAGGCTGGTCTCGAACTTCTGACCTCGTGATCCGCCCGCCTCGGCCTCCCAAAGTGCTGGGATTACAGGCATGAGCCACTGTGTCCAGCCCAGTCATTTCATTTATAATAAGGATTTTAAAACATGATGCAATATTTTTGAACATTTATAGAACAGTCATTTTTCAAAAAAAAAAGAAAAGCTCAAAGAATGCCTTTCATTTTTTCCCCATGTATCAAGACCAAAAATTTTTGCTAAAACGAGATCTATCGAAAAGGCTTGAGATTAGGAAAACAACATCTAAGTCTGGTTTGATTTAGTGTCGTTCAGTTTTCATTGCTTTTTTTTTTTTTTTTTTTTGGAGACGGAGTTTTGCTCCGAGTACAGTAGTGTGATCTCAGCTCACTGCAATCTTCGCTTCCCGGGTTCAAGTGATTCTCCTGCCTCAGCTTCCAGAGTAGCTGGGATTATAGGTGCTTGCCACCAAGACCGGCTATGCTTTTGTTTTTAAGAAAAAATATTGGAAAAATATGTGGACCATCCACTGTGAGTTATAGAACAAGCACAGGACTGGGGTTAGGAGTCCCGGGTTTTTACTTCCTAATTTAAAAAATGAAGGGATTGGACCAGACAGTCTCTAAGGAACCTCTCAGCTCAAAAGTTCATGATTTTTCCTCATACATAAGGAATTTTTTTTTTTTTTTTTGAGACGGAGTCTCGCTCTGTTTCCCAGGTTGGAGTGCAGTGGCGCGATCTCGGCTCACTGCAAGCTCCGCCTCCCGGGTTCACGCCATTCTCCCACCTCAGCCTCCCCAGTAGCTGGGACTATAGGCGCCCGCCACCACGCCCGGCTAATTTTTTGTATTTTTAGTAGAGACGGGGGTTTCACCGTGTTAGCCAGGTTGGTCTCGATCTCCTGACCTCGTGATCCGCCCGTCTCGGCCCCCTAAAGTGCTGAGATTACGGGCGTGAGCCACCGCGCCCGCCCCAAGGAATGGATTAAAAAAAAAAACCTCATGATTTTACCACTGGGTTGTCCTGCACTGTCTGTGTCACCTGCATCTAATGAACAACCCAGTGGCAGTCCCTCTCCCGGGACAGAACAGACCTGGGATGGTGCCACTCGCAGGAACAGAAGAGAAGTGAACTAAGGCGGTTTCTCCCTATCAACCCTCCATCCACTGAGGCTGTTCTCACCTCTTGCCAGAAAAAGGAGGATGCAGAAGGAGAAACAGTGAAACAGAGCTACTAGAGTTGAAGAAGGAGGAAGAAGGAAAAAGTGGAAGAACAGGAAGGACAAAAAGGGGAAAGATGTCTCTTTTGTTAAGGGTTTGTATGTCTTTAAGCATCCCAACATTTTGTAAGTTACTTAAAGTCTATATAATATATTCTTGTATTATAAATCAGATAAAATGAATTTAGTTCTCTAAAGAACTCTTTAAAAGTACTGTCTTTAAAAAAGATTCTCTTAAACATTTTTCTGTTAAAAGTTTTTTCTTCCCATCACTCATAATTTCTGGAGCTGTGTTGTCCAAAATGGTAGCCACTAGCCCCATATGACTATTAAAATGTAAATTTAGATTAATTAAAATTAGGCCAGGCATGGTGGTTCATGCTTGTAATCCCAGCACTTTGGGAGGCCAACATGGGTGGATCACTGAAGGTCAGGAGTTTGAGACCAGCCTGGCCAACATGGTGAAACCCTGTCTCTACTGAAAATACAGAAATTAGCCAGGCATGGTGTTGGGTGCCTGTAACATCAGCTATTCGGGAGGCTGAGGCCGGAGAATCACTTGAATCTGGGAGGCGGAGATTGGAGTGAGCTGTGATCGCACCACTGCACTCTAGCCTGGGCGACAGAGTAAGACTCCGTTTCAAAAAAAAAAAAAAATTAAATTAAATTTACCCGGGTGTGGTGGCTCACTCCTATAATCCCAGCACTTTGGGAGGCCGAGGCAAGCAGATCAGTTGAGGCCAGGAGTTCGAGACCAGCCTGGCCAACATGCAGAAAACCCGTTCTATTAAAAATACAAAAATTAGCCAGGGGTGGTAGCACACACCTATGGTCCCAGCTACTCAGGAGTCTGAAGCAGGAGAATCATTTGAACCCGGGAGGCAGAGGTTGCAGTGAGCCAAGATTGCTCCACTGCACTGTAGCCTGATGACAGAGCGAGACTCTGCCTCAAAATTTTTTTTAATTTAATTTAATTGAAAAATCAGCTCTTCATTCAAACAAACCACATATCAAGTGCTCAATAGCCACATGGACAATGCAGACGTGGAATATTTATTCTTACTTGTATATTTTTAGAGACAGGGTCTCACTGTGTCACCCGGGCTGGAGTGCAGTGGTGCGATCATGGTTCACTGCAGCCTTGAACTCCTGGGCTCAAATGATCCTCCTCTCTCAGCCTCTGAGTAGTGGGGCTACAGGTGTGAATCACCACACCTGGCTAATATATATATAATAATTATAAAATTACTATATTATTATATTATTATATAATATTATATATTATTATATAAATATTATATATTATTATATAAATAAAAATATAATATTGTATATTATATATAATTTATATATGTGCTATATATTATATATTATTTATATATAATATATATTTTATATATTATTATATATATAAATTATATATATATATATATATTTTGTAGAGATGGGAGTCTTGCCATGTTGCCCAGGCTGGTCTCGAAATCCTGGGCTCCAGCATTCTCCCCTGCCTCAGCTCCCTGAGTAGCTGGGACTGCAGGTGTGAGCCACCACGTCCAGCAGAATATTTCTTTTCTTTTCTTTTCTTTTTGAGACAGAGTCTTGCTTTGTCACCCGGGCTGGAGTGCAGTGGCGTGATCTCGGCTCACTGCAACCTCCGCCTCCCTGGGTCACGCCATTCTCCTGCCTCAGCCTCCCAAGCAGCTGGGACTACAGGCACCTGCCACCACACCCGGCTAATTTTTTGTATTTTTTTTTAGTAGAGACGGGTTTCACCGTGTTAGCCAGGATGGTCTCGATCTCCTGATCTCATGATCCGCCCGCCTCGGCCTCCCAAAGTGCTGGGATTACAGGCATGAGCCACCTCACCCAGCCGTCCAGCAGAGTATTTCAATCATCAAAAAAAGTTCTATCCAATTGGTCTTGGCTGTTTGATTAGGGGAAAATAGGGTTCAGAATACTTGAGAGAACATTAGGCAATAGGAGAATGAGAGTGATATAAATAGGCAGTTGTTGATATTTATAATTATTATAATAGTTCCAAGTACGGGGTTAAGCAATTTATATGCATGATCCCTCATTCCTTATAACCTCCTCATGAGGTGGGCACACATATTATCCCCACTTTACAAATGGTAAAACACCTGCTTATTTCTGCCTTTTCCTCCACCCCATCAGTCTCTACTGTGGTTTTTGATGATTTCCCCTTTGTTTAAGCATTCTGGCGAAATAGGACCCAAAATAGAAAACAAGAGAGTGCTGACTTGGATGGGAAATAGAGCTGCTTGAACAACTCCAAGCAACAACAATGTGCTAATCGCCCTCCCCTAAGCATCACCAGCTCACATTTACCGACAGTGTCACCTTACAAGTCAGGGCCAACACTTTTACTCTGCAGCCAGCACATGTGTGTTGTGCGCCTGTTATGGAAAAGGCTCAATTGTGCAGGCTCTGGGGGAGAAACAGAAGTGGGTATGTGTGTCAAGGCTTCTGCCCCCAAACAAGCCTACCTTGTAAGGAAAAAAGACGATGACTTCCGGGATCCTACGTATTTAGGCCAGGCGTAAGGAGGGGAAATTTCATGGACAAGGAGGATTTGAACTGGGACTTGAAGAATAGGAAGGATTTTAAAAGGCAGAAACAATAAGGAACTGCCTGTCATGCAAATGGAAAGGACGACAGAAAAACATGTATAGAGGCAGGAGTGGAAGAGATGCATTCACTGGGCACAGCAGCCAGCATCTGTCTCATCAGTTCTGATTCTGGACTGATCATTCAAGGTTTTTGTTTTTATTTATTTATTTTTAAATTTTTTGAGACAGAGTCTAACTCTGTCACCCAGGCTGGAGTGCAGTGGCGCAAACTTGGCTCACTGCAATCTCTGCCTCCTGGGTTCAAGCAATTCTCCTGCCTTAGCCTCCCAAGTAGCTGGGACTACAGGCGCACACCACCATGCCTGGCTAATTTTTGTATTTTTATTAGAGACAGGGTTTCACCATATTGGTCAGGCTGGTCTTCAACTCCTGACCTCAGGTGATCTGCCCGTCTCAGTCTCCCAAAGTGCTGGGATTACAGGCGTGAGCCACTGTGCCCAGCCTTTTTTTTTTTTTTTTTTTTTTTTTTTTTTTTTTTTTTTTTTGAGACCGTCTTGCTCTGTTGCCAGGCTGGAGTGCAGTGGTGCGGTCTCGGCTCACTGCAACCTCCGCCTCCCGGCTTCAAGTGATTCTCCTGCCTCAGCCTCCCGAGTAGCTTGGATGACAGGCGTGAGCCTCCACACCTGGCCAAATGGAGAATGTCTAAAAGAGCTTTACAAGTTACATAAATCCAAAGGGCTGGGTTTATTTTCACCTCTCTGGAACCATTTCCCCAAGCATAGCTCAGTTATCCAGAAGCTGTCCTGGATCCCATCTAAGCAGGGCTCTCCACAAGCTGCATACATCAATCACCTAGGTGACTTGGGAGGTGATTTATTTTTTATTTTTTATCTTTATTTTTGGAGACAGAGTCTCATTCTGTTACCCAAGCTAGAGTATAGTGGCACGATCATAGCTCACTGTCATCTTGAACTCCTGGGCTCCAGTGATCCTCCCACCTTAGCCTCCCAAGTAGCTGGGACCACAGGCATACACCACCACACCCAATTAATTTCCTTTTTGGTAGATATGGGGGTTTCCCTATGTTGTCCAGGCTGGTCTTGAACTCCTGGGCTCAAGCAATCCTCCCGCCTCAGCCTCCCAAAGTGTTGGAATTACAGGCACCTGGTCTCACGATTTTTTTTTCACATTTATCACTATCTGAAATTCTCTCGTTCATTCATTTGGGTTCTTGATTGTTGGTCTCCTTCCCAGGCCGCCAACCAGACTGCATCCCCATAAGAGCAGGGTCCCTTGTATCACTGCTGTTCTCTCCAGTGTTTTCCAACAGTGTCAACACCAACGGGCACTCCATGGATACTTTTTGAAATCCATAGAGGGCTGAATGGTAGAATCTCTCAAACGCACACATGCACACGCCCTTT
Source organism: Homo sapiens (assembly GCF_000001405.40). Taxonomy (NCBI): domain Eukaryota; kingdom Metazoa; phylum Chordata; class Mammalia; order Primates; family Hominidae; genus Homo; species Homo sapiens. The sequence goes on along the minus strand of NC_000011.10, from coordinate 47,926,937 downwards.
GATTCAGAGTGACTGTGAATGAGAATGTGAGGGTGAATCTGACTTACACTTTTCTTAAAGGAACCGAGAGAAGCTCTGAACCTCAATCATCAAAGTTATATATTACACCATTGTTTATAATAATGAAAGACTGGAAGAACCTAAATGTCCACTTGGTTAAATAAATTACAATACAGTTATGCAATGAGGATAGTAAGCACACCTATATAAAATAACACGGAAGCTCTTTGTGAACTAATATAGAGAAAGATTTCCTGGATATATTGTTAAGTGAAAACAACAAGTGTTAAGGTAGGCTATCGCTGGTGAAAGAAGGGGGAAGATGTATACATATTTGCTTGTTTGTGCAAACAAAAAAAGGGATACAAAAAATTAGTTATGACGGCCGGGCATGGTGGCTCACACCTGTAATACCAGCACTTTGGGAGGCCGAGGCAGGCGGATCACAAAGTCAGGAGTTTGAGACCAGCCTGGCCAATATGGTGAAACCCCGTCTCTACTAAAAATACAAAAACTAGCTGGGCATGGTGGCGGGTGCCTGTAGTCCCAGCTACTCGGGAGGCTGAGGCAGGAGAATCCCTTGAACCCAGGAGGCGGAGGTTGCAGTGAGCCGAGATCGAGCTGCTGCACTCCAACCTGGGCGACAAAGCGAGACTCCGTCTCAAAAAACAAGAAACAAACAAACAAACAAAAAAACCTAGTTATGACCATGCAGCATCTCATGCCTATAATCCCAGCACCTTGGGAAGCTGAAGCAAGAGGATTGCTTGAGCCCAGGAGTTCAAGACCAGCCTGGGCAACATAGTGAGGACCAATCTCCACAAAAATGGGAAAAAAAAATGAGTTATGATGACTGCCTACAGGGTAGGGTAACTGGATAACTTGGAAGTAGGAAAGATTTTTCATCATAAGAGTAGGAGGAATGGGGGTATAGGGAGGGATTTGTTAAATGATACAAAAGTACAGTTAGATAGACAGAAGGAACAAGTTCTAGTGTTTTATACCACTGTAGGATGACTAGAGTTAACAATCGTATATAGTTTCAAATAGCTAGAAGAGAGGATATTGAATGTTCCCAAGATGAAGAAATGATAAGTGTTTAAGATGTTAGATATACTAATTACCTGATCACTATACAATGAATTTTTTTATTATTTTATTATTATTATTATTTCTTGAGACAGAGTCTCACTCTGTCACCCAGGCTGGAGTGCCGTGGCGCCATCTCAGCTCACTGCAGCCTCCGCTTCCCAGGTTCAAGCCATTTTTGTGCCTTAGCCTCCCGAGTAACTGGGACTACAGGTGAGTGCCACCATGCCCGGCTAATTTTTGTATTTTTAGTAGAGAGAAGGTTTCGCTTTGTTGGCCAGGCTGGTCTTGAACTCTTGGCCTCAAGTGATCCCCCTGCTTTGGCCTCCCAGAGTGCTGAGATTACACGCTATTTTTTTTTTCTTCTATAGGCACAGTCACAGCTCACTGCAGCCTTGACCTCCTGGGCTCAAGTGATCTTCTCACCTCAGCCTCCCAAGTATCTGGGACTACAGGTGTACACCACCATGCTTGGCTAATTTTTTTGTATTTTTTTGTAGAGACAGGGTTTCGCCATGTTGCCCAGGCTGGTCTCGAACTCCTGGACTCAAGTGATCCTCCCGCCTCAGCTTCCCAAAATGCTGGGATTACAGGCGTGAGCCACTGCTCCTGGCCTACACTGTATATATCGAAACATCACTATGTACCCCACAAATATGTACAATTATTATGTGTCAATTCAAATAAATAAATAGATTTTCCACAATAAGCCTTTTTGTAACTTTTGAGTTTTAAACCACAACAATACAGTACCTATTCAAAAATAAAATCGATTAAAAAATACACAATTTTTTTTTTGAGACGGAGTCTCACTCTGTGCCCCAGGCTGGAGTGCAGTGGCATGATTTCAGCTCACTGCAACCTCCGTCTCCTGGGTTCAAGCGTTTCTCCTGCCTCAGCCTCTTGAGTAGCTGGGACTACAGGTGCACGCCACCACACCCAGCTAATTTTTGTCTTTTTAGTAGAAATGCGGTTTCCCCATGTTGGCCAGGATGGTCTTGATCTCCTGACCTCGTGATCCACCTGCCTCGGCCTCCCAAAGTGCTGGGATTACAGGTGTGAGTCACTGCACCCAGCCTCTAGTCACAATTTTTTTAAATAAATATATATTGATTGAAAAATTTGGTGAATGAAGTTCAGAGTTTCCTTTGGTGGCTTTCAGGAAACAAGCTACTGTCCCCTCCCACTCTTATTCAGAGTCACCCGCCTGGGCCTGCCCACACTCTCCCTCTCCACGCCGCTCCCCTCCCCTAAAAAAAGGTCAAGTTCTGGAAGACTGGGCTACTGCAGCAGCTGTCCCACTGGCTGGCTGGAGGTGTGTGAAGGACAGGTAAACAGCAGCATGTGGTGGCAACAGAAATTCCCTTCATGCCAATATGTCCTGTAAACAGAATGAAAAAAATGTCATCATGTTTACCTTCTAGGGAGTCTTACAAAAACAACTTTCCTGCTTCCCTAAGCTTCTAGATAAAAGAAAATAAACGGCTCTGCTCTGAGTCAGCTGACAGCTATAAACCATTGAGTCTGAGGGAAATTTTTGGTCAAGAAGTGGTAGCAGGCCAGGCACGGTGGCTCATGCCTGTAATCCCAGCACGTTGGGAGGCCGAGGCGGGTGAATCACCTGAGGTCAGGAGTTCAAGACCAGCCTGGCCAACATGGTGAATCCCCATGTCTACTAAAAGTACAAAAATTAGCCGGGCATAGTGGCAGGTACTTGTAATCCCAGCTACTCAGGAGGCTGAGGCAGGAGAATAGCTTGAACCCAGGAGATGGAGGCTGCAGTGAGCCCAGATCATGCCACTGTACTCCAGTCCGGGTGACCGAGACTCCATCTCAAATAAAAAAAAAAAAAAAAGAAGTGGCAGCAGCCTCTTGTATGCCTGGTCTATCCTGGCTGCAGAGAGTTGTGTGTGGAACAAGTATCATTCTTGAACTGGCAGGAAAAGGATCTCTGGGAAGTTGCAGTGTCCACAGAGAGAGCAGGGCCAGCCCAGAAAATCTAAATGAGTCTCCTGGCCTGCCTCCAAAGGCAGCAAGCAGGGCCAGTGTCATGGGTGTGCAATCTCAGTTTAGAGGTGCCCTTGCACGTGGCTGAATGCTCTGCTGACACTGTCTTGAAATTTTTAATAATTTTCCAACACGGGATCTATATTTTCATTTTGTTCCAGGCCCTGTAAGTTACATAGTCAGTCCTGTAGGAAGTGTCACAAAACTCCTTTGTCACCTCAAGTATCCTAGCTTATTATTTTAGTTTGTTATGAAACATATTGAGTCCATTGTTTTTCTTTTCTTTTCTTTTTTTTTTTTTTTTTTTGAGACAGAGTCTTGACCTATCACCCAGGCTGGAGTACAGTGGTGCGATCTCGACTCATTGCAAACTCTGCCTCCTGGGTTCAAGGGATTCTCCCACCTCAGCCTACTGAGTAGCTAGGACCACAGGTGTCCACCACACCTGGCTAATTTTTGTGTTTTTAGTAGAGATGGGGTTTCACCATGTTGGCCAGGCTGCTCTCAAACCCCTGACCTCAAGTGATCCACCTGCCTCAGCCTCGCAAAGTGCTGGGAGTACAGGCGTGAGCCACCGCACCCGGCATATACAGCCTGTTCTTATTCACCAGTGTGCCAAAATGTATGGGATCCTTTCCTAAAAGCCATTTTATGTATTTATTTATTTATTTATTCATTTATTTATTATTAGAGACAAGGTCTCTTTCTCTCTCTCTCTCTCTCTCTCTCTCTCTTGCCCAGGCTGGAGTGCAGTGGCATGATCACGGCTCACTACAGCCTCAAACTCCTGGGCTCAAGTGATCCTCCCACCTCAGCCTCCTGAAGTAGCTATGATTACAGGCACAAGCCACTGCACCCAGCCTGAAAGCCATTTCAGAAGGGCTTGAGGATCCAGGCACTTGCACCTGTGGATGTGTGGGAGGGAAGGCCACGGTCAGGGTCAACAGAGCAGACAGGGAGTCTGGGCTCAGTAGCTCACGCCTATAATCCTAGCAGTTTGGGAGGCCATGGCAGGCGAATCGCTTGAGCCCAGGAGTTTGAGACCAGCCTGGGCAACATGGTGAAACCTCATGTCTACAAAAAATTTAAAAAAAAAACCTAACCTGGCATGGTGGTGCATGCCTGTAGTCCCAGCTACTTGGGGATGCTGAGGCAGGAGGATCACTTGAACCTGAGAGGTCAAGACTGCAGCGAGCAGAGATCATGCTACTACACTGCAGCCTGGGCAACAGAGGGAGATAGGCCAGCCTACTAACTTGATATACAGCCAGGCACTTTATCCCACTGCAGAGAGAAGGGAGAGAAGGCATCACAAGCCCCTTCAGCACTGGGTGGGTACTCTTAGGGCTAGAGAAGGGAGGTAGGCCAGTTACCATTTCTTGTGCCAGCATCTCTCTTTATTCCTGGTCCCATGGGGTGCTCAGAATTAGTGGTTCACAGTGTAGCATCTTTGAGGAAAATCTTCCAAAGAAGACACAGAAGCAGAGTCTTTAATTTTTGTTGTTTGCTCTGTCATTCAATAAATATTTACAGACTCCATCTCTACAAAAAAAAAAGGCCGGGCGCAGTGGCTCACATCTGTAATCCCAGCACTTTGGGAGGCCGAGGCAGGCAGATCACCTGAGGTCAGGAGTTTGAGACCAGCCTGGCCAACATGGTGAAACCCTGTCTCTAATAAAAATACAAAAATTAGCCAGGTGCAGTGGCAGTGGCAGGTGCCAGCTACTTGGGAGGCTGAGGCAGAAGAATTGCTTGAGCCTGGGAGGTGGAGGTTGCAGTAAGCCAAGGCCGTGCCACTGCACTCCAGCCTGGGTGACAGAGCAAGGCTCTGTGTAAAAAAAAAAAAAAATTAGCCAGGCATGGTAGTGCACACCTGGGGTCCCAGCTACTCAGGAGGCAGAGGTAGGAGGATCACTTGAGCCTAGGAGGTCGAGGCTACAGCAAGCTGTGATTATAACACTGCACTCCAGCCTGGGTGATAGAGTGAGACCCTGTCTCTAAAAAAATATATATATATGTGTGTGTGTGTGTGTGTGTGTATGTGTATATATATACAGATATAGATATATATCTATATATATCTATATCTATATCTTTAGTAGAGATGAGGTCTTGCTATGTCACCCAGGCTGGTCTCAAACTCCTGACTTCTCCTGGCCTCAAGTGATCCCCCTGCCTCAGCCTCCCAAAGTGCTGGGATTACAGGTGTGAGCCACCACACCCAGCCAAAAAGAAAAAAAAAAAGAGAGATATTTATTGAGCACTTAGTGGAGCTAGGCAATAAGCAACTAAATGAACACAATGATAAATATGAATTGTGGTAAGGGTTATGAAGAAAACAAAGACTGCCAAAAGAGAGTACCTGGACAGAGGTGGGGAAGGGCAGGAGAACTACTTGGCTAGTATGATTGGGGAAGGACTCTGATAACCTGAGCTTTTTCAGCTGAGATCTAAAAGATAAGTAGAAGCAGCTATGTGCAAAAAGGAGGAAGAGCAGACCCAGTAGCGGAAAGCACTGTGGGATGTTGGCATGTGCAGGAATGTGGCCTCTTCATGAAATGGACAAAGGCCAGTGGCAGGCCGGGCGTGGTGGCTCATGCCTGTAATCTCAGCACTTTGGGAGGCCGAGGCAGATGGATCACGAGGTCAGGACATCGAGACCATCCTGGCCAACATGATGAAACCCTGTCTCTGCTAAAAATACAAAAATTAGCCTGGCATGGTGGCATGCACCTATAATCCCAGCTACTCAGGAGGCTGAGGCAGAAGAATTGCTTGAACCCAGGAGGCAGAGGTTGCAGTGAGCTGAGATCGCGTCACTGCACTCCAGACTGGGCGACAGAGCGAGACTCCATCTCAAAAAAAAAAAGGCCAGTGGCTGGAGTGTCAGGAAAAATGAAAAATGGGGAGTATGCAGTAAGAGGAGGCGGGGTCTGAAGAGGTGGGCAGGGCCAGACCATACAGGGTTCTGCAGGCCACACTGGGGACCTTGGGTGTCATTCCAAATGTATCAGTCTTCGAAGACTTGTAAGAGGGACTGTAATGCCATCAGATTTACATTTGGGAAACCAAGAATAAAACCCAAATCTCCATCCTAGCTCTCTTTCTACTTCACTCAATGTCTCCTAGGTTCGGCCCTCTTCCAACTACAGAAAGGTCAGCCCTTGTACTAGAAGAGCTTTGAGGAACAGAAGACTAGCTAGAACTGAAAGGCAAAATGTTGCTTAGCAACCAGAAGGGTGGGGAAGTGTGGTTTTGCCACCTGGCATCCATTTACCCTTCTTACTAGTGTCTTCAACCGCAGATTTCCTCTTGGAGGAATGGAACAGGACCCCAAATGGAAAAACTAGCTACAAGTTACTAGTTAGGTAAGAAATGGCAGTGTCTCAGACAGGGGTAGTAGTAATGGGAATGGGAAAAAATGAGTGGAATTGAAGTATGCTTTAGAGGGGGAAGAGTTAGGTTTTTTGTTTGTTTGTTTTTTGTTTTTGAGATGGAGTCTCGCTCTATCCCCCAGCTGGAGTGCAGTGGCGCGATCTCGGCTCACTGCAACCTCCGCCTCCCTGGTTCATGCCATTCTCCTGCCTCAGCCTCCGGAGTAGCTGGGACTACAGGCACCCGCCACCAGGCCCAGCTAATTTTTTGTATTTTTATAGAGACAGGGTTTCACCGTGTTAGCCAGGATGGTCTCGATCTCCTGACCTTGTGATCTGCCCGCCTCAGCCTCCCAAAGTGCTGGGATTACAGGTGTGAGCCACCGCGCCTGGCCAATAGTTAGGATTTAATGATGGATTGTGGCAGGATAAAAGAGAGAGATGTTCAGGGTCACAGGTATCTGGCATGAGAGACTGAACGGCTGTAGGTGACATTTACAAAACTGGGTGAAAACTGATCTTGGAGGTGAGGACCAAGATCAAGAGATCTATTTTGAAGGTGTTAATTTTTTTTTCTTAGAGATAGGATCTTACTCTATCACCTAGGCTGGAGTACAGTGGTGTGATCATAGCTCACTGCAGTCTCAAACTCCTGGGCTCAAGCAATCCTCCCACCTCAGCTGCTTGAGTAGCTTGGACTACAGGTGCACACAACCACACCTAGCTAATTTTTAAATTTTTAGTGGAGTCAGGGTCTCACTTTGTTGCCCAGGCTGGTCTTGAACGTCTAGCTTCAAGTGATCCTCCCTCCCCAGCTTCCTAAAACATACATGTTAATTTGAGATGACTGTGAGGTATCAGAGTGGATGCAGCTATCCCAGCCCCACTAGACAGGTCAGAGGGAGGCTTCTGTCCAAAGGCTTGCTCGGAGGGACAGAATGCTCAGAAAAGAAGGGCAGGGCCTGGCTTCCTGCTCCCTCACTGCCAGCTGCTGGGTCCTGGGCCCCCAGACCAAGACTCCAGGATAGATTGTGCAAAATTTGGAATAATCAGTGACCTTTGTTTTTCACCCATCCTCACAGTTGCTTCAGGTCACCCCCTGATGTGGCACTTACACGCAGAAACACAAGGTTTAGAATAAATACAACTAAAAGACATGCACTGTGGAATGACTCATGCTCATTGAATGTGGGCACTAGCCTTTTCTCAGGAGCACCAAGTCCCAGAACCACAATGGCCTGGGAGACAGGGACCCTGGGTGGATGGGCCCTCCATTTGCACAGCACTTTGGGGCTTACAAAGCACTTTCACATCCATTGTTTCATTTGATTCTCTCAACAATTTTTGAGGGATTATCCTTAACTCTACTTTATATGAGAAGGTTCAGAGAGGTTAAGTAATTTGCCTGGGTTGCACAGGTATTAGGAGGAGTCAGAAATTAAGGACAGGGGCTGGGTGCAGTGGCTTACACCTGTAATCCCATAACTTTGGGAGGCCAAGGTGGGTGGATCATCTGAGGTCAGGAGTTCAAGACCAGCGTAGCCGACATGGTGAAACCCCGTCTCTACTAAAAACAAAACTTAGCTGGGCATGGTGGTATGCGCCTGTAGTCTCAGCTACTCAGGAGGCTGAGGCAGGAGAATTGCTTGAGCCCGGGAGGCGGAGGTTGCAGTGAGCCGAGATCGTGCCACCACACTCCAGCCTGGGTGATGAGCGAGACTCAGTCTCAAAAACAAACAAACAAAAAAAAAAAAACACAAAATTAAGATCAGAAACCAAAACAAATCATCTAATGCCAAGATTGAGGCACTTTCTAGCAAGCCACGTTCCATGGCAGGGATTGCCCATGTTCAGAGAAAGCTGCCTTCACTTCTAAGATATAATATGAGAGGCACAGGAGGCCCCCACTGCCTGTGACATTGCCCAGAACCCAGCCTAGTAAATTGCAAGGACCCCACAGAGATTCTATTCAGTCTCCTCGTCTTACAGCTGAAGAAAAAACTGAGACTCAGGGAGGGAAGAAAGTACGTGGCAATATCAGGACTAAAACCCAAATCTCCAGCCCAGATCTCTTTACACTTCACTCAAGGCCCCTGGGTTTGGCCCTCTTCCAACTCCAGAATGGTCAGCCCTTGTGCTAGGCGAGCTTTGCAGAACAGAAGAGGAACCAGAGCAGAAAAACAAAATGTTGCTTAGCAACCAGAAGGGTGGGCATGTGTGGTTTTGCCACCTGGCATCCATTTACCCTTCGTTCTGGTGTCTTCATCCCCGGCTTATTATCAGGGCACCAGCTACACACCCTTTTCAGGCTCTGCTCCTCAAAGAAATTCATTTCCTGGAGTTCACTTCACTTTCCGCTCCAAGAGTGGGCATGTGACTCAGGGTTGGCCAATCGGAGCATCACATTCCTCTGGCCAGTAAAGGGTCTGGGGCGGGTAGCAGGCTGGATAGGCTTTTCACATGTAATGCTTCACAAGATTGCAAAGCACCACTCAAGGACTGGAGGCTGGCTGAAGTGCTTTACAGACAAGGTCCTGGGTCCAATCCTGCCCCCTCTGCAACTCCAAGCCACCGCCTGATTTTGGCCAGCTGTTCACAAATGTGAATAAACAAGGAAGAAAATGTGAATCTGAGCCAGGCGCAGTGACTCATGCCTGTAATCCCAGCACTTTGGGAGGCCAAGGCTAGCGGATCACTTGAGGCCGGGAGTTCAAGACCAGCCTGTCCCAACATGGTGAAACTCCACCTGTACTAAAAATAGAAAAAATTAGCTGGCCATGATGGCCTGCACCTGTAGTCCTAGCTGCTTAGGAGGCTGAAGCATGGGAATCACTTGAGTCCAGGAGGCGAAGGTTGCAGTGAGCCAAGATCGTGCCATTGCACTGCATCCTGGGTGACAGAGAAAGACTCTGTCCCAAAAAAAAGGAAAATGTGAATCGAGTGACGTAAACCCCTCGACAATATAACTCCAATATCCTGCTAACAGGGGAGGAGGGGGAAGTCTTGGAAGGCTCACAAACTTCTCAAGATTCCTAAACTCATAAAGTACAGATTGCAAAGAGAAGTAGCAAAGATTCACCCATCTCCTCCATATCTCAGACAAGGAAACCAAGGCCCAAACTGGGGAGGTGAGTCCTTAAAGCCATGCAGAGAGTAGGTGACCCAGGTCAGTACTCAGCCAACAATGGCCCCTGACTGCTTTTATGTTATGATAGCAAATGGCCCAGGGTCTTTTTTTTTGAGACAGAGTCTCGCTTTGTTGCCCAGGCTGGAGTGCAGTGGCATGATCTCGGCTCACTGCAACCTCTGCCTCCCGGGTTCAAGCGATTCTCCTACCTCAGCCTCCTGGGTAGCTGGGATTACAGGCGCACACCACCACACCCGGCTAATTTTTGTATTTTTAGTAGAGATGTGGTTTCACCATGTTGGCCAGGCTGATCTCGAACTCCTGACCTCAGGTGATCCGCCCGCCTCGGCCTCCCAAAGTGCTGGGATTACAGTGTGAGCCATAACTCCTTTTTTTTTTTTTTAACCTCTAAGTTGGTAGACAGATGGCCCCTTCAGCCTTGCAGATTGGGATGCTTGTCAAAGCTGAAGAATACCCTCTGGCACCCCTATCTCCTTAGTAGTAGCAACAGAGGCAGCCCTGACCCAGCTGCATTTTTCTCAGGCTTTCTCAGACAAAGGGCCTGCATGCCTTGCCTTGTTATCTGTTACTCTTAATCAGCTCTGCTCCATTTTCTATCATGTTTTATCTGTAAAAGCCTCCTTGGCTGCCCAACAGGAAAGCTGGGCCGAGGTCCCAGAGTTAGTTTGAAAGCCAAGTTGGGACTGGTTTGATGGGAGAAAGAACAGCGGATGTGTCGGGCCTGCAGCCTGCAGTGCCTTCAGAGATCCATATCTCTGCACTCAAGGCAGTGTGGGGGAGGAGAAAGAGCAGGCCGGCTGGCCTGGGTTCACAGTCCAGCTACTTCCCAGCTGTGTGACTTTCAGTGAGATATTTCGCCTTCTGAACCTTACTTTCCTCATCTGTAAAAGAGGATGATACCACTTGCCTCGCAGCGTTGTTGGATTGCGTGTGTAGCGTCATTAGCTCTGGGCCTGGAGGATGGAACTCTGGCTATATTTGTTTTCCTGGTGCTCAAGGTGTGGAGTCATACTAATGAAGAATCAGTATTCTTATCCACGGGATTAGAATTAGTATTCTATCTGCCCTGAAGGTTGGGCTGTAGCATGATAGGCAGAGCCCAGGAACTGGGTCTGAGGATGGTGCTGATGCTCACCAGCTGTGGCTAATCCCACTCTTCTCTAAGATTCAATTTCCTCATCTCTAAGTGGAAAGCTTAATACCTTTCCTGCATCCTGATATTATAGTTATTAAAGTGCCTTGTTAACTGTAAAATACTATGTCAGTTTTATTTCTTCTTATTAGTACACACTGGTGTATAATCAAATCCTTCTGAGACCTTGGGCAAGTCATTAAACCCCTCTGGGTATATTCATCAGGGTCCCAGCAGGAAACAGATGGCACATTCAAATTGGGCAATTTGATTAGTGTGTAATAATGGGGCTATTTACAAAGATGTATGCACAAAATGGACAGGGCAGTACCTAGTAACCACAAGGAGCCCTTGCTCCCCCTCAGCCTTGAAAGAGTGAGGGAGAAGCAATTCCTTGGACCAGAGATGGCAGCTGCATGGAGAAGGCCACCTGACAAGGGCCGTGGCCTTCAGAGGAGGGATGCAGCTCATCCAGGGTGCCCTTGCAGGGAGGCGGTTGAGGAAATAATACTCACATCTCGCTCTCCTCCTGCCCTTTGATCTCCGGTGCGTGCTTTCCTTTGGCCTCACCAAACCGGAAGCCAGAGGGTAAGGGAACTCCTTGATGCAGGCCATACGGGTCACCCTCCCAGGACACAGGACAGGATGGAAAGGGTGGAGAGCAGGTTGGGTGACGGGGAGTGGGGGGGAATTGGCAGGTATCCAGTGCCCTGGGCTTTAGTGTATTTCACAATTAGAGGAAGGTGTTGAATGAGATGATGTCTCCTTCTTTCCCACCCCCTAACAGATTCTCAGCGCTTTTTCCAAGCTTCAGATCTGGACCTAGGGTTAGACCATAAGCCAGAATCCAAGCCCTCTCCCAGGGAGATCTTTAGTCTTCCTGATTAATAAAGAACAAGGACATCCTTTTCTGGCAGCCCCAAATTTAAATTACCCCCTTTGAGTCCCATACTCAAAGCAGTGGGTAAGCCAGCCACAAAGGGGGTAATTCTTTGGATTACTATGTTTTAGTATTTATTTTTCTCTTTTAATCAAAGTGCGCCAGGTGCATGTCTCAAATACTAAACAGATGCCGTTCCGCTTTCATTCATTGGGAAAAAAAAAAACTAATGCAATGTAGATGTCTCTTTAGGCCTTATCTTTAGAAATAATAAATTGCGTACAAGTGAACACCCTAGAGCAATCTAATTTCTTCCAGTACCTTCTAGCTGACAGGCAGCGTGGCTCCCAGGGGAGAAATCAAAGAACTGAGTAATCTTGGAGAGACAATAGTTCCCAAGTCCCCTTTTTCACTCCATCCTATTCCGGATGGTTGCTATAAATCATGTGCCTGTAAAAGAAGAGATAAGAGAGGGCTTCCCCAGAAATTCCAGCGTGGGCAGTACAGAACAATAGTTAAAACCATGGGCTCCAGGCCTGGCATGGTGGCTCACGCCTGTAATCCTAGCACTTTGGGAGGCCAAGGCAGGTGGATCACTTGAGGTCAGGAGTTCGAGACCAGCCTGGCCAACATGATGAAACCCCGTCTCTACTAAAAAGACAAAAATTAGGCGGGCGTGGTGGTGGGCACCTGTAATCCCAGCTACTCCAGAGACTGAGGCCAAAAAATCACTTGAACCTGAGAGGCAGAGGTTGCACTGAGCCAAGATTGTGCCACTGAACTCCAGCCTGGGCAACAGAGTGAGACTCCGTCTCAAACAAACAAACAAACGAAAACAAAACAAAACAAAACAAAAACCATGGGCTCTGGAGACAATGAAACCTGGGTTCAAGTCCTTGCTCTGTCACTCACAAAATTGTCTTTGTGACCTTGGACAAGTGACCTAAGCTCCAGTCTCCTCATCTGTCAAATGAACATCATAATACTCTACCTACTCATAGGGTTATTTCAAGAATTGCATGAAATGGTACATGTCTTTAGCATTCCATAAGTGGTAGTGGAGGGGAAGTTAGGAGCTGAGGACACACTAGATCCACAATAGTGCCCCCTTGCCTGCCATGGTACATCATATATGCTTCTTCTGTGGCCCTCATTGCTTTCCCTTGCATTTTAGCCATCCCTACCATCCCCCTGCTCTAGACCTGTCAGTCATCACTGGCCACACCCACAGTTCCCTCACTTAGGAGCACTGCCCTACCCCCCACTGCTATAAATCATGGGTATTTTTTAGCTCCTTAAGCAAATCACCATAATAAAATACTGTGTTTTATTTATTCCCCCATCATAGATACAGGACCAAGAAAGGCCATCCTGGTTCTGTAATGCAGACGAACCTAGAATCAGAGAACCTAGGTATTGTACTAGATAGAACCTGGAAGACTGACTTTTTTTTTTTTTTTTTTGAGATGCGGTCTCACTCTGTCACCCAGGTTGAATCCCAGTGGTGCGATCTCGGCTCACTGCAACCTCTGCCTCACAGGCTCAGGTGATCCTCCCACCTCAGCTTCTCAAGTAGCTGGGACCACAGGCACATGCCACCACGCCTGGCTGATTTTTGTATTTTTTGTAGAGATGAGGTTTTGCCATGTTGCCCAGACTGGTCTTGAACTCCTCAGCTTACCTCTTCCGCCTCCCAAAGTGCTGGGATTACAAGTGTGAAGCACTGCGCCCAACCCAGATGAGTGACTTAACCATAGGTTTCTACGTGAAACCTATCAACAAGCTGTGACAACACTAACCACCTGTGGAAAGCCAGCCTGCAAACGCAAAGCATACTTAGGAAAGAAGAAAAGAAAGGAGAGAGGAAAGGAAGTTTGAAACATATTTACCTTTTATTTCTAATTTTTAAATATATGTATTCATTTTTCTACTTATTATTTACCTTTTATTTATTAGGAATTAGCAAGGAGTTTTCCTGTGAGATCATGAGGTGAGGACCACAACTCTGGGAAAGCTTTATCTCCCCCTTTTTTACAGCTGAGAAAATGAGCTCAGAGACCATAAGCGACCTACCCAGAGTCACACAGCAAGTTAGAGGAAAAGTTAAAATCTCAACAGAGTGATACATATGTTTTGCGCCACCCCTTTCAAAAGTAGGTTGTTAGCATTCTTTATAAACAGCCCCTGTAGTTTGCTGACGTTTTGCTTGTATGTCAACACCACAGACTATTATGCAATATTATAAAATTTCACCATGATCTGTTTGCACTACAACAATGTACCTAAAGAAAATTTTTCTCTGATCAATTGCCTCATCTTTTTTGTTCATTTGTTTTGTCTTGTTTTGTTTTGAGACAGAGTCTCACTCTGTCGACCAGGCTGGAGTGCACTGTCGCTATCTTGGCTCACTGCAACCTCCGCCTCCCAGCTTCAAGAGATTCTCCTGCCTCAGACTCCTGAGTAGCTGGGATTACAGGCATGCACCACCACACCCGGCTAATTTTTGTATTTTTAGTAGAGACGGGGTTTCACCATGTTGGCCAGGCTGGTTTCGAACTCCTGACCTCAGCTGATCTGCTCGCCTCGGCCTCCCATGAGCCACGGCACCCTGCCCAATTGCCTAATATTTTACATCTGTCTTTCATGGTGATAGACTACTGGCCTAGAGGAATCATCCAAGAATTTAAAGTGTGCTCTGGCCAGGCACGGTGGCTCATGCCTATAGTCCCAACATTTTGGGAGGCTGAGGCAGGAGGATTGCTTGAGCTCAGGAGTTTGAGACCAGCCTGGGCAATATCGTGAGACTCCCCCCCGTCTCAAAAATAAAAATAAATAAAATGTGCTCTTTCAGGCTGGCTTGCACCCTCCTTCCTTCTTGCCACCTTTAGTAAATGACAAAGTCTTACTCTAAAATCTTTAGTCTGTGGTCTTATTTTTCCACATCCTTCTTCTCTTTCCAGCCCCACTGCAGTTTCTCTGGGTCAGGTCTTCAGATTATTGTGATACGCTCTCGATGTTCTTCTCACCTCTGGCCTCTCCATTCTAATCATTTTACACACATTGGTGATTAATTTATCTACTACACTGCTCATATCACAGTACTTAAATACTTTCATTAGCTTCCTGTTCCCTACACAAAAAAAGCCTCTTTTCCTTCTTTTTTTAAATTTTGTCTTCTTTCTAATCTTCCTTCCACATACACACACACACACACACACACACACACACAGAGAGAGAGAGAGAGAGATATTTTTTAGATGGAGTCTCGCTCTGTCACCCAGGCTGGAGTGCAGTGGCGTGATCTCTTGCTCACTGCAACCTCCGCCTCCCAGGTTCAAGCAATTCTCCTGACTCAGCCTCCCAAGTAGCTGGGATTACAGGCATGCACCACCATACATGGCTAATTTTTGTTATTTTTAGTAGCGATGGGGTTTCACCACGGTGGCCAGGCTGGTCTTAAACTCCTGGCCTTAAGTGATCCACCCACCTCAGCCTCCCAAAGTGCTGGGATCACAGGCATAAGCCACCACGCCTGGCCTGCCTTCCCAATATTAACATCCATGCTCCATCATCCCCATCAAACTGTACCTTTCACTGTTGCCCTCTTCTCCCTGTACTTTCCCAGAATGATGTGTCCAGGCCCCGTTTCTCCTGCCTCTGTCTCTGCTTCTTTCTCTGTTTCCCTCCAGGCTCTGCCTTCTTGGTGAGGACTCCATGCTCACAAGTCTCCCCTTGTGCCTGCAAAGTAACTGCCCGTGGCTTCTAAGGATATGCGCTTCCATGTTCAAATGCAGCAGAGAAAAGAACCTCTGCTTCCTGGGAAATCTCTTTGTCCTGACTGGCCTGACTTTTGTCATATGGCCCCATCTTTGAATCAAAGCCTGTGGCAGAGGGAGGGGAGAGGCTGATTGTAGGAACTCCCTGAATTTCCCAGTCATGAGATTTGGGTAGGACTGACTCCCAGCTTCAAGTCTGGGGACAGGCCCTGATTGGCTTGGAGTAGTTGGGGGAAGACACTCTGGAGGCCCCACCTTCCATGGAGCCTCTCCCTTACCCCCTTAGCTAGAAAGCAATGTTTTCTCTGAATTTGTGAGGCTCTTTACGAGCCTTTCTTTTTTTTTTTTTTTTTTTTTGAGACGGAATCTCTCTCTGTCGCCCAGGCTGGAGTGCAGTGGCGCGATCTCGGCTCACTGCAAGCTCCACCTCCCGGGTTCACGCCATTCTCCTGCCTCAGCCTCCCTAGCAGCTGGGACTACAGGTGCCCGCCACCATGCCCGGCTAATTTTTTTTGTATTTTCAGTAGAGACGGGGTTTCACCGTGTTAGCCAGGATGGTCTCGATCTCCTGACCCCATGATCCGCCCACCTCAGCCTCCCAAAGTGCTGGGATTAACAGGAATGAGCCACCGCGCCCGGCAATGAGCATTTCTTTTATTGGAGGAACCACTGTCTACCTTGCGTTAAAGGCCTCTGTCTCATCTCTGTGTCCTGGGCATCCATCGTAGTGCACACCACACCTACAATCTCCTATGAGAAATGGCCCTGTCCACAGTCCCTGACTCAGCAGCCAGCCCTTTGTGTTCTCCTGTCTCTCCTGTCTCCCTGCTGGCCACGCTGATTAGACCTGGGGTGGACACCTGAACCAAAGGCCACCAACCAGAGGCTGGCCAGCAGCTTCTGAGGGGTCTGAAAGAAACAGTTCTGGCCGGGCATGTCGACTCATGCCTGTAATCCCAGCACTTTGGGAGGCTGAGGCGGGTGGATTACTTGAGGTCAGGAGTTTGAGACGAGCCTGGCCAACATGATGAACCCCGTCTCTCCAAAAATACAAACATTAGCTAGGCTTGGTGGCACATGCCTGTAATCTCAGCTGCTCAAGAGGCTGGGGCAGGAGAATCGCTTGAACCCGGGAGTGGAGGTTGCAGTGAGCTGAGATCGAGATTGCGCCACTGCTCTCCAGCCTGGGTGACAGAGCAAGATTCCACCTCAAAAAAAAAAGAAACTTTTCTTTTTTTTTTTTTTGACACAGAGTCTCACACTGTCGCCCAGGCTGGAGTGCAGTGGCACAATCTCAGCTCACTGCAAGCTCCGCCTCTTGGGTTCATGCCATTCTCCTGCCTCAGCCTCCTGAGTAGCTGGGACTACAGGCACCCACCACCACGCCCGGCTAATTTCTTGTATTTTTAGTAGAGACTGGGTTTCACCATGTTGACCAGGATGGTCTCGATCTCATGACCTCATGATCCGCCTGCCTCGGCCTCCCAAAGTGCTGGGATTATAGGCATGAGCCATCACGCCCGGCCGAAATGGTTCTAACCAAACAGAGATCTCAGTGATTGACCCTGAAGGCCATGAGTGAGCTGCCATGAGGAGCAGGCAGAACCTCTGAGTAAGCAGAAGCCACAAGGCAAGCAAAAGACAAAGTGAGCAGAGAAGGAATTCTATTATTATCCCTGGGAAGAAGGAAGCTGAGACTCTGGGAAGTTAACTAACTTGCCCAACACTTGCCTAACCTGCCTAATTAGGTTGTCTAATTCTAAAGCTTACCCTCTGGACCAGTGCACCATACTGTCAAATTGCTAACGAAAACAACTGCATTACATTTGATGCAGACAATTCCTTATTTACAAGCTAGTATGGGGTCATGTTAATAGGGAATAAAAAAAAATAGGGTCATTAGAGTTATCTCCTTTTCCTGGGATGGTCACACAGAGCCTCTCTTCTGGCCCATTCATCTTTTTTATTTTCACTTTTTTAGTAGAAATGGGGTTTCACTATGTTGCCCAGGCTGGTTTTGAACTCCTGGGCTCAAGCAATCCTGCCATCTCAGCCACCCAAAGTGCTGGGATTACAGGCATGAGCCAATGGGCCCAGGCCCATTAGTCTTTTGGTCATTCCTTTCAAGACTGACCAGGAACCTTCCCACCATACCATATCCCGATCAAGAGTGCTTTTTATCGCCAGGCATGTTGGTTCACACCTGTAATCCCAGCACTTTCGGAGGCTGAGGCAGGTGGATCACTTGAGGCCAGGAGTTCGAGACCAGCCCGGCCATCATGGTGAAACTCCATCTCTACCAAAAATACAAAAATTAGTTGGCTGTGGAGACGCATGCTTGTAATCCCAGCTACTTGGGAGAATTGCTTGAACCCAGGAGGTGGAAGTTACAGCGAGCTGAGATCACGCCACTGCACTCCAGCCTGCCAGCCTGGGTGACAGAGTGAGACTCTGTCTTAAAAAAAAAAAAAAAAAAAAAAAGAGGGGCCTGGCGCAGTGGTTCACGCCCGTAATCCCAGCACTTTGGGAGGCCGAAGCGGGTGGATCACGAGGTCAGGAGACCGAGACCATCCTGGCTAACACGGTGAAACCCGTCTCTACAAAAACACAAAAAAATTAGCAGGGCATGGTGGCAGGCGCCTGTAGTCCCAGCTACTTGGGAGGCTGAGGCAGGAGAATGGCGTGAACCGCGGAGCTTGCAGTGAGCCAAGATGGCGCCACTGCACTCCAGTCTGGGTGACAGAGAGAGACTCTGTCTCAAAAAAGAAAAAAGAAAAAGAAAAAGAGTGCCTTTTATCTATTCTCAGCCAAGAGTGGTCTCAGCCAATATGTGGCAAGTGCCACTGATTCAGTAGTGAATAAGCCATATCTCTTCCATGAAGAGCTTTAGTCTTTAATTCCTAAGGTGTTTCTGCAGTTCCATAATAGTAATAATAGCTGCTAAACGTGCTAAGTTGAAGGCAAAGCCCTGGGAAAAGGCCACTGTAGTAGACCCCTCTGGGGGACACTGCCCAGCCAACAACAGCCTCCACCTATCAGAATATTTGTCCTTTCTCGCCCAAGAGTGGTTTTCAGAAGCACTGTTCTAGCTCGTTTCACAACAACCTTGAGATGATAACATTAAGGTTAAGTAAATTGTGCAAGACCACATAACTCTTTCATAGCTCTAGTAATGACTTTAACTCAGGTCTGCCTGGCTCTAACACACATGATCTTTCCACTATTTCCTGCTGCCTCCAAATAGACAGACAAATGGGCTATTCGGTTTGACTTAATATACAACAATCGCCAAGGTTTTTGTTTCATTTTCCTTTTATTGGCATCAGTAATATTCATGCTTTTTTTTTTTTTTTTGAGACAGAGTCTCACCCCTGTTGCCTAGGCTGGAGTGCATTGGCACGATCTCAGCTCATTGCAACCTCCACCTCCCAGGTTCAAGCGATTCTTGTGCCTCAGCCTCCCGAGTAGCTGGGATTACAGGCATGTGCCACCATGCCCGGCTAACTTTTATATTTTTTTAAGTAGAGACGGGGTTTCACCATGTTGGCCAGGCTAGTCTCAAACTCCTGACCTCAAGTGATCCGCCCACCTCGGCCTCCCAAAGTGTTGGAATTACAGGCATGAGCCACTGCGCCCAGCTGGCATTAGTAATATTCATTACACTGGTATCTTTAACCTTCATTTTGGCAATAATGCCCCGTAAAACACCAGACAAACCCTTAACAAGCTAGCATGATGCGTCTGGGGAGTTTGTACACATGGCCGTGTCCATCTATGGGAAGATATAGTGTTGGAGCAAGCCCCAGGAGTAGTCAGTCAAATGGCTGAGGATTCTTTTGCAATGAGGATATTACTGATGAGAAATAAAGGCCCAAGGGAAAATCCCCCTCAATGACGGAATGTTTCCAGTACATCTGAAGGGAGTTGGAAACGTGTATGTAATGTCCTGATGGGAGCTCATCTTTGCATGCCCAAAGTTGTGTAAGCACCTTGGTCCAGAAACATTCCCTGAATATAGCTAAAACTGCAAAAATTCAATGGTCCATGTCCTTTTTTCAAATTGTTTCACTATCAGCTGCTACTGCTCTGGTCTGTTCAAATAATGGCACCTTGATTTGAAAGAAGGAAATATGTATTTCATTTATAAAGTCAATAAATTTATTCTGAGTGCTAATATGTGGGAGGCACTATTGATTCAATAGTGAATAAGCACCATCTTGTCCATGAAGAGCTTTAGTCTTTAATTCATAAGGGCGTTTCTGCAGTTCCACAATAGTAATGAGAGCTGCTTGCTGTTGATGCACGATCATCCATTTGCACTTCACCATCATTCTGGGGTAGGCAGGGTAGGTCTTATAATCTCCATATCACAAATGAAAAGCCTGAGCATGAGAGAAGTTATGGCTTTTTTCCAAAGTTTCACAACTTGTAATTAATAGATCTGAGATTTTTTTTTTTTCTGAGACAGGATCTTGCTCTGTGGCCCAGGCTGGAGTGCAGTGGTGCGATCTCAGCTGACTACAACCTCTGCCTCCTGGGCTCAAGCAATCCTCCCACTTCAGCCTCCCAAGTAGCTGGGACTACAGGTGCCCACCACCACAGTGGCTAATTTTTGTATTTTTTGTAGAGACGGGGTTTTTCCATGTTACCCAGGCTGGTCTCGAACTCCTGAGCTCAAGTGATCCACCCACCTCAGCCTCTCAAAGTGCTGGGATTACAGGTGTGAGCCACCATACACACACAGTCAGATCTGAGATTTAAGACTGCTTAATCTGGGGGGTCCCTTTTATGGAGTTGCATGCTCTGTCATCTTATTTCAGATTTGGTATTTCTTGGAGATGCATAGTTTTCTGCTTGTGGTATTACAGAGTAAGGTTTAGCAACCTATGACCTGTGGGCCAAACCTGCTGCCATCTGCATTTGTTTGTTTGTTTGTTTGTTTGTTTGTGTTTTCGAGACAGGGTCTCACTCTGTTGCCCAGGCTGGAGTGCAGTGGCATGATCACTGGCTCACTGCAGCTTCAACATCCTGGGATGAAGTGATCCTCCCATCTAAGCCTTCTGAGTAGCTGGGACTACAGGAGTGCACCACCATGCCCAGCTAATTTTTGCTTTTTTTTTCTTTTGTAGAGACGGAATTTCGCCATGTTGTCCAGGCTCATCTCAAACTCCTGGGCTCAAGCGACCCGCCCCCCTCAGCCTCCTAAAGTGCTGAGATTACAGGCGCAAGCCACCATGCCCAGCCTGCTGCCACCTGTTTTTGCAAATAAGATTTTATTAGGACACAGCCACACTCACTCATTTATTTACTGCCTGTGGTGGTTTTGTACTACAACAGCAAAGTTGAGCAGCTGTGATCAAGACTATATGCCCCACAAAGCCTAAAATATTATTTCTGGCCTTTTATAAAAGAGTTTGCTGACCCCTGGTCCACAACATAAACGTAACTTGCCCTCCCCTTGATTACTCCCTTTGTTTAGGATTATGGGTCAGTCTGAGACCAGGATCAGAGTTCGTTGTGAGGCTATCAAAGATTACAGTTGCACAAATTCTACCTTGCCTAGGGCTTTTCTCCGTCTGCCTGACCTCAAAGATTGCCATGTGTCTCCACCTCTTCCGGTATGACTTAGAGAGGGCCCCCAGAAGAGCATATGACTTCATATCCAAAGGAGGAAGAATGTTCATAAACAAGAACTTGATTTGCTGGAAAACTGCCCTCATTGACCCTATCCTATAGCCATGGCACATTCCATTTGCCGTACGTAACATCCAACTCAAGAGGAGGCTGCCCAAGAACTCACTTGGTCTGAAAGCCAAAATGACTCTCTAAGAACATTCCTGGCAGTCTCGCCAGCTGCGGGTCCTTCGGGGGCTCCGCAACTTTCCTTCCGTCAGCGTCAGCTCCTTGCCACCCTCATCTCCAGCATGCCTGGTCCGACCCCCAGTGGCACTAATGTGGGATCCTCAGGACACTCTCCCAGCAAAGCCGTGGCCGCCCGGGCAGCAAGATCCACTGTCCGGCAGAGGAAAAATGCCAGCTGTGGGACAAGGAGCGCAGGCCGCACGACCTCGGCAGGCACATGGCGGATGTGGCGATTCTACACAGAAGATTCACCTGGGCTCAAAGTTGGTCCTGTTCCAGTATTGGTTATGAGCCTTCTGTTCATCTCTTCTGTATTTATGTTGCACATTTGGGGCAAGTACACTCGTTTGTAGATTCAGTTACATCCATCTGTCATCTGAAGAAGGAGGAAAAAACCCATCATTTCTTGGACCAAAAGTATAGTGACTATCCGTTCATGAGAGAAATTTTCTGTAAGCTTGCTGTTTTACAGGGGATTTATCAATAATTGATTTAGAGGAGTCAGTTTTTTTCTATGGCTAATAAACTTTTTAATTCACTTACAACAACAAAAAAGAACAATCTTGTTTTTCCAATTGTGCTTTTCTAATTGTGCCCGAATTTGAAACACTTTCTCTTTACTTTGTACTACCAGTCGGAGCCCACGCAATCCCCACAATTTGCATATTTGAATGGTCAAGGTTTCCTGTCACACTGTCCATGCTTTTTTGCCCAATGTGCCATTTGAGATACCCTCCCGGCAATTTGCATTTTTCAGTTTTTTGTTTTTGAGATGGAGTCTCACTGTGTCATCCAGGCTGGAGTGCAGTGGTGCGATCTCGGCTCACCGCAACCTCCACCTCTTGCGTTCAAGAATTCTCGTTTCTCAGCCTCCCAAGTAGCTGGGATTACAGCCGCCCGCCACCATGCCCGACTAATTTTTGTATTTTTAGTAGAGACAGGGTTTCACCATATTGGTCAGGCTGGTCTCGAACTCCTGACCTCAGGTGCTCCACCCGCCTTGGCCTCCCAAAGTGTTGGGATTACAGGCCTGAGCCACTGCACCCAGCCACTCCCAGCAATTTGATTCCATCAGTGAGAGCCTCTTCACCTGACGCCCTCAGCTCCCATTAATGAACACATCCTAATGAAGTTCTCTCTTTGTTGCTAGGCAAGTCTAATATGGTTTAGGGGAGGAGATGAGAGTCATTTAATCTAGCCTTCACATGGAAAAAGACCTCAAATTCAGGCTTTTGGCATCATCTATGAAAGAACTTACACGTAGATTCACCCTGCTACACTGGTAGGATTAAATTCAATAATGGACCACGTCACTTAGAGTCCACTTTAGACTCAATTGATATTGCTGTTGAACTTTTGCAATTGTTTGTGAATAGCATTTGACTTAGTCCATCTGGGTTGCTATAACAAAATACCTTAGACTGGGTAATTAACAACAGAATTTATTACTCACATTTGGAGGGCAGGGAAGGCCAAGATCAAGATGCCGGCAGATGTGATGTCTGATGAGGGCTCTCCACTTCAAAGATGACATCTTCTTGTGGCATCTTCACATGGTGGAGGTGGAGGGCAGCTTCCTCCAATCACTTTCTTTTTCTTTTTCTTTCTTTCTTTTTTTTTTTTTTTTGAGACAGAGTCTTGCTCTGTTGTCCAGGCTGGAGTGCAGTGGTGCCATCTTGGCTCATTGCAATCTCCACTTCCCAGGTTCAAGCGATTCTCCTGCCTCAGCCTCCTGAGTAGCTGGGACTACAGGCGTGTGCCACCACACTTGGCTAATTTTTTGTATTTTTAGTAGAGACAGGGTTTCACAATGTTGGCCAGGCTGGTCTCGAACTCCTGACCTCCAGTGATTCGCCTGCCTTGGCCTCCCAAAGTGCTGGGATTATAGGCATGAGCCACCGTGCCTGGACTCAGCTGCTTTTATAAGAGCACTAATCACATTCATGAGGGCAGAGCCCACATGACTTAATCACTTCCCCAAAGACCCCATCTCTTAAGACTGTAGCATTGGGTATTAGGTTCTAACATATGAATTTTGGAGAAACACCAACATTCAAACCATAGCAACATTATAAAATTACATTTTTACTTTTGTGGCAAAAAATATTAACTTGGGCCAGGTGCAGTGGCTCATGCCTGTAATCCCACCACTTTGGGAAGCCAAGATGGGAGTTCAGGAGTTTAAGACAAGCCTGGGCCACATAATGAGACCCCTATCTCTACCAAAAAATAAAAAATTAGCCAAACATGGTGGTGCGCACCTGTAGTTGCAGCTACTCAGGAGGCTGAGGTGGGAGGATCACTTGAGGCCAGCAGTTCAAGACCAGCCTGGCCATCATGGTGAAACCTCGTCTCTACTAAAACTACAAAAATTAGCCAGGCATGGTGGCAGGCACCTGTAATCCCAGCTACTCGGGAGGCTGAGACAGGAGAATCACTTGAACCTGGGAGGCGGAGGTTGCAGTGAGAGGTGATGGAGCCACTGCACTCCAGCCTAGGCAATAGAGCGAGACTCTGTCTCAAAAAAAGAAAAGAAAAAAAAAAGCATTGATCTTTCCTAACAACGTACCAAAGTTTGGCCATAGTTGGGTACGTTTTACTTCCCACTACCATGTCTCACATTATTTGTTCATCTCAGGATCCACATAGGCCAATGAGGAGGCTCTCCTGCCATTATGGGGGTCATCCCCTCTCCTACATCTCCCTCCTGGAAAGAAAGGAGAAAAATTAGCCCTGGAGCAGGACTTATTTAAAATTTTCAGATACGAGGCCACCCGAGAACTATCTACTGCATCAATGGAACCAATATGCAGACTCCATCACACACAGCTGTAACCCAGTATTGCACAGACTCAAATATTATCATCAGTCAGCAACCAGCAGGATTGTATGCCAATCGCCTGTTTTTTAAATTTTTTTTATTTTATTTATTTATTTATTTTGAGATGGAGTTTTGCTCTTGTTGCCCAGGCTGGAGTGCAATGGCATGATCTCGGCTCATCACAACCTCTGCCTCCTGGGTTCAAGCAATTCTCCTGCCTCGGCCTCCCAAGTAGCTGGGATTACAGGCATGCGCCACCACACCTGGCTAATTTTGTGTTTTTAGTAGAGACGGGGTTTCTCCATGTTGGTCAGGCTGGTCTCGAACTCCTGACCTCAGGTGATCCACCCGCCTCAGCCTCCCAAAGTGCTGTGATTATAGGCATGAGCCATTGCACCCGGCCTGAATCACCTATCTAACTAGGCCCAGTGCTGCCTACAAAGCTGTTATTAATATATGCGATGTTAACATATATGTTTATATGTATACATACATGCACATGCATGTATTCACATATACATATATACATAAAGACACACACATATATGTATGTAATTAATTGAATTAGCACTGATTTCTGAAATTGCACTTCCAGTTTCAGGTAACAGAGATGAAAGCTATTGCATCTTTTTACAGGATCTGGTGAAAGCCAGAGTCTGAAGGGTCATTTAGAGTTGGGTATACATTCATTTAATAAATTTTCACTGGGCTGCCTAAACACTCAAGACTGAAAGAGCTGAATATGGTGGCTCTGCCTATGAAGGATTCACAGATCAATGGCAGAGACCAACTCCAATGTAAGTCAGACCACAAAAGTGCTGTTCTAGAGATATAAACCAGGCATTGCTGTACCTCCAAGAAAGAGGCAATGGATTGAAGCTGGAAGAAGACTTCTCCTAGAAAAATTAATATTGGGGCTAGGCCTTGAAGAATGAGAAGATTCTGAGAGACAGAGAAGGGGGAAAAGGCTTTCTGTTCAATTTAACAAACAGTCTTTAATCACCTACCTTCTACTAAAGGCACTAAACTCTGTGCCTTCCTTGAATAGATGCTCAGTTTTTGTGACAGACTCAAATATTGCACAGACTCAAATATTATCATCAGTCAGCAACCAGCAGGATTGTATGCCAGTCGTCTGTTTTTTAAATTTTATTTTATTTATTTATTTATTTATTTTGAGATGGAGTTTTGCTCTTGTTGCCCAGGCTGGAGTGCAACAGCATGATCTCGGCTCACCACAACCTCCGCCTCCTGGGTTCAAGCAATTCTCCTGCCTCGGCCTCCCAAGTAGCTGGGATTACAGGCATGCGCCACCACACCCGGCTAATTTTGTGTTTTTAATAGAGACGGTGTTTCTCCATGTTAGTCAGGCTGGTCTCGAACTCCTGACCTCAGGTGATCCGGGTGCAGACAGAGCCAGCCCTAGACATATAGCACCTTTGTTCAATTAGAAAAGGTATCTGCCAGGCATGGTGGCTCATGCCTGTAATTCTAGCACTTTGGGAGGCTGAGGCAGGAGAATCACTTAAGGCCAAGAGTTCAAAATCCTGGGCAACACAGCAAGACTCTGTCTCTACAAAAAAATTTTAAAATAAAAAATAACAAGAATAATTAGCTGGATATGGTGGTGCACATGTGTTGTCTTAGATACTCGGGAGGCTGAGGTCGGAGGATCACTTGAGCCCGGGAGGTCAAGGCTGCAGTGAGCTATGATTGCCCCTGCAATCCGTCCTGGCTGGGTGGCACAGCGAGACCTTGTCTCTTAAAAAAAAAAATCTATATCTATATCTTTATCTATATCTATATCTATGTATGTGTGTGTGTGTGTGTGTATATAGATATATACATCTATCTATCTATCTATCTATCTATCTATCCTTCCCTCTAGACTTTCTTTTTTTTTTTTTAGACAGAGTCTTGCTCTGTCGCCCAGGCTGGAGTGCAGTGGCATGACCTCAGCTGACTGCAACCTCCGCCTCCCAGGTTCAAGCAATTCTCCTGCCTCAGTTTCCCAAGTAGCTGGGATTACAGGTAACTGCCACCACACCCGGCTAATTTTTTATCTTTTTCATAGAGATGGGGTTTCGCCATGTTGGCCAGGCTGGTCTCAAACTCCTGACCTCAGGTGATCCGCCCACCTCTGCCTCCCAAAGTGCTGGGATTACAGGCGTAAGCCACCCCGCCTGGCCTCCCTCTAGACTTTCAGAGGCCAAAATCAGGGCTCATGCTTGGTGAATCAGGCTAGATTTTAGCGCCATTTACAGCCCAACCTACCTTCCATGATAAGCTCCTTTGTACAGTGAATAACCTGCTCGACTGTATGTGGTAACCCTGAGTGCAGGAAACAAAGGTGAATAACACCTTTCACACTTGAGGAGCTCAACTGGTCAAGGAAATAAATATGGAAATGTATATGATATCATATGACATAATAAAGGTATGTTTGAACATTATAGGAGTTAGCATTGAGACGGAAATGTCATCAAAAATAAGGAAGCACGAAAACATGAATACCCTTGAGCAGAAAGGAGCAAGTGGCCTTATTTCTCTACCCCAGTGGTTCCCAAGTCTACAGGGTCATCAGAATCATTCGGTGGGCACTTAAAAAATTACAGACCCCTGCCCTCTACGCCTATCCCAGAGCAGGTCTGAGGCAGAGACTAGGAGTCTGCATCATAATAAGTTCCTCTAGGTGATTTCAGTGATTTGCTGGGTTAGGAACCACAGGTGTGAACCAAGCCCCACCCAGCCTCTACTCACCCAGTACCCACTTTCTCTTGGTGAGATAATAGTGTTCAGTACTTTCTCCCTAGAATAAAAAGGAAATGAAAGTTCTGTGGTCTCTAAAGCGGACTGCCCAGGTGAAATTTCAGTTCTGCTTTAGAAAGACAAAAGGCACCTGAGACCTGTGATGGCCGACACATCCAAGGGGCAGGTTACATGGGGTCACATGAGCCTCTTGCACCCACTGATGTGGCTGCTGCCAGGATGCAAAGAGAGGAAGGTGCAGCCTGGCCAGGACAGTGGCCTGTGAGCAGGAATTCTGATAACAAACCCTCAGAGGAAACCAGTCTGGTGTCTGAGAACCTGACTATGATGCTCATGCCCACCAAAAGACTCTTCCTGACTTCCTTGATTATGACTTTGGGATGTGTATTTGGGGAATTCAGTGCTGCCTTATTCAGTTGAAGGATGAAGTATGTTCCTAGGGCACCAGTGTGGCTTGCAGCAGAGTTTTCCTATCTATGAACATGGAATATCTATCTACCTATCATACTTCTTTGATTTCTTTCATCAGAGTTCTGTAGCTTTTCTCATGTAGATCTTTCTTTTTTTTTTTTTTTTTTGAGATGGAATCTCGCTCTGTGGCCCACACCACACTGGAGTGCAGTGGCTTGATCTCGGCTCACTGTAACCTCTGCCTCCCAGGTTCAAGTGATTCTCCTGCCTCGGCCTCCAAGTAGCTGGGATTACAGGTGCCTACCACCACACCCAGCTAGTTTTTGTATTTTTTAGTAGAGATGGGGTTCCTCCATGTTGGCCAGGCTGGTCTCGAACTCCTGACCTCAGGTGATCCGCCCACCTTAGCCTCCCAAAGTGCTGGGATTACAGGCATGAAGCACTGCACCCAGATCTCATGTAGATCTTGTACATGCTTTGCTAGATTTACACCTAAGGATTTCATTTTTGAGATGCTAATGTAAATGGTAATGTGTTTTTAATTTCAAATTCCATTTGTGGGCTAGGTGACAATGTGATTCTCCTGCCTTAGCTTTCCAAAGGGCTGGGATTACAGGCAGTGGTTCATGAGCCCAGGAGTCTGAGACCAGTCTGAGCAACACGGTGAGACCCCATCTCTACAAAAAATTAAAACATTAGCCATGCATGGTGGCATGTGCCTACAGACCCAGCTACTCAGGAGGCTGAGGCAGGAGGATGACTTGAGCCAGGAGGTAAAGGTTGCAGTGGTCCACATTCATGCCACTGCACTCCAGCTGAGTGACAGATCAAGTCCCTGTCTCAAAAAAAAAAAAAAATTTACTTGTTCATTGCTGCTACTTAGGAAAGTGATTGGCTTTTGTTTTTAACCTTGCATCCTGAAACATTGCTGTAATCACTTATTAGTTCCAGGAGGTTTTTGCTGTTGTTGCTTCTTTTGGATTTTCTACATAGACAATCATGTCATCTGCAAACAAAGGCATTTATATTTCTTCCTTCCCAATCTGCATAGCTTTTATCTCCTCTTCTTGTCTTGTTGCATTAGCTAGGACTTCTGGTACAATGTTGAAAAACAGTGGTGAGAGCGGACAGCCTTGCCTCATTCCTGATCTTAGCAGGAAAGTTTCAAGTTTTTCACCACTCAGTATGATGCTGGTTGGGGGGTTTTTAGAGATGTTCTTTTATTTACTTATTTATTTATTTATTTATTTATTTATTTATTTATTTATTTAATTTTTGAGATTGAGTCTCACTCTGTTGCCCAGGCTGGAGTGCAGTGGCACATTTGGTTCACTACAAACTCCGCCTCCAGGGTTCAAGCAAGTCTCCTACCTCAGCCTCCCGAGTAGCTGGAATTGCCCCCCACCATGCCTGGCTAATTTTTGTATTTTTAGTAGAGACAGGGTTTCACCATGTTAGCCAGGCTGATCTCAAACTCCTGACCTCAAGTAATCCTACGCCTCAACCTCCCAAAGTGCTAGGATTACAGGCATGAGCCACTGTGCCCGGCCTATAGATGTTCTTATTTAAGTTAAGGAAGTTTCCCTTTATTCCTAGCTTGCTGAGAGTTTTTTCTTTTTTTTTTTTTTTTTTTTTTGAGACGGAGTCTTGCTCTGTTGCCCAGGCTGGAGTGCAGTGGCACAATTACTGATGTGATAGATTATATTAATTAATATTCAAATGTTGAACTAGTCTTGCATACCTGGGATAAATCCCACTTGGTTATGGTGTATAATTCTTTTCTGACATTATTGGATTTGATTTGCTAATATTTTACTGAAGATTTTTGCATCTATGTTCATGAGAGATATTGGTCTGTAGTTTTCTTTTCCTCTAATGTCTTTGTCTGGTTTTGGTATTAGGGTAATACTGGCCTCATAGAATGAATTAGGATTGGTCTCTCTGCTTCTATCTCTAGAAGAGATTGTAGAGAATTGGTAAAATTTCTCCCTTGAATTTTTGGTACAATTAATCAGTGAACCCATCTGGGCCTGGTGCTGTTTTGGAAAGTTATTATTGATTCAATTTCCTTAACCTTTTTCCCATATGCCCCGAGAATACTCACCAGTGGCACTTGTGACTGCAGTATTTACCCCCAAGATAACTTTGCCACAAAATATCTTGCTTTTATTATTATTTTTGCCTCACTCTAGTATATTGACTTTGGCAACAAAAGATATCATTCTACTTATAGCATTCTGTTTTTAGTACTCGTATTTCCATTTAGAAAATATAGTAATTCTCGATTGCTGAAAATGCCAAATCCTAGAAAATGTAACATTCATACGTATGATGTTAACATTATTCTCGAACAGTTGTTGGCTGAAGATTCATTTGATGAATCCAATTTTTCCAAAACAGACAATTCTGATTATTCAGATTCTTATGTTAATTCCGTTTGGAAATAACTGCAAGAACAGTTTTTATATTTTATTTTCACATTGAAAATCAGTCAGATTTGCTTCAGTCTGAAAGAGCATGTTTATGTAAAATTAAATGAGCACAGGCAGCGAGCTGGTTTTTTTTTTTTCCTTCTAAGTGAGAAAAGGGTTAATAGATATAGGCCTATTCAGATTGTCTATTTCTTCTTATGTGAGTTTTGGCAGATTGTTTCTTTCAAGAAATTGGTCCATTTCATCTAGGTTATCAAATTCATGGATGATATGGTTTGAAGTCCCCTCCAAAACTCATGTTGAAATTTATTTGCCATTGTGATGATGTTGAGAGGTGGGACTTTTAAGAGGTGTTAGGTCAAGGGGAAACCACCCTCATGAATGAATTAAGGCTGCTATTGCAGGAGCAGATTACTTATTTTTTTTTAAAAAAAAAGAAAGTTCAGCCCCCTTTCTCTCTCTCTCTCTCTCTGTCTTTCTCTGTCTCTGTCTCTGTCTCTCTCTCGCATACTCTCTCACCATGTGATACCTTCTGCCATGGAATAACCATGGGATAACCCTCACCAGATCCTGGCACCATGCTCTTGGACTTCCCAGCCTCCAGAACCACGAGCCAAATAAACTTCTGTTCTTTATAAATTACCTAGCCGGTGGTTTTCTGTTATAGCAGTAGAAAGTGGACTAAGAGAGTTGGCATAGAGTGGCTCATAATATTTCTTTGTTATACTTTTAATGACAATGGGGTCTGTAATAATATCTCCACTTTCATTTCTTATGTTAGTAATTTGTATCTTTTTTTTTTTTTCCTAGACTGGCTAGAGGCTTATTGATTTTATCGATCTTTTCAAAGAGCCAGCTTTTGGTTTTGTTGATTTTCTCTCTTAATTTCCTGTTTTCAACTTCATTGATTTATTTATTTATTTTCAAGACAGAGTCTTGCTCCATTACCCAGGCTGGAGTGATGCAGTGGCGCGATCTCAGCTCACTGCAACCTTCGCCTCCCGGGTTCAAGCGATTTTCCTGCCTCAGCCTTCTGAATAGCTGGGACTACAGGCATGTGCCACCACACCCAGCTAGTTTTTGTATTTTTTAGTAAAGAGAGGGTTTCACCAAGTTGGCCAGGCTGGTCTCGAACTCCTAACCGCAGGTGATCCGCCCGCCTTGGCCTCCTAAAGTGCTGGGATTACAGGCATGAGCTACCATGCCCAGCTGCCAACTTCATTGACTTCTGCTCTGATTTTAATTATTTTTCTTCTTATACTGACTTTGGATTTAATTTGCTTTTTTTTTAGTTTTCTAAGGCGGAAGTTTACATTATTGATTTTAGACCTTTTTTCTTTTCTACTATATGCTTTCAATGCTATAAATCTTCCTCTAAGTGCTGTTTTTAATGCATCCATAAATTTTGTTAAGTTGTATTTTCATTTAGTTCGAAATCGCTTTTTTTTTTTTTGAGATGGAGTCTTGCTCCATTGCCCACGCTGGAGTACAGTGGCATGATCGTGGCTCACTATAACCTTTGCCTCCCGGGTTCAGGCGATTCTCCTGCCTCAGCCTCCCAAGTAGCTTGGATTACAGGCACACACCACCACACCTGGCTAATTTTTGATATTTTTTAGTAGAGACGGGGTTGTCCCATGTTGGTCAGGCTGGTCTTGAACTCCTGATCTCAAGTGATCCGCCTGCCTTGTCTTCCCAAAGTGCTGGTATTACAGGTGTGAGCCATCGTGCCCAGCCCAAAATAGTTTCAGCTGTCTCTTGAAATTTCTTCCCTGAGCTATATGTTGTTTAGGAATGTGTTGTTTGGGGATTTTTCAGCTGTTTTTCTGTTATGGGATTCCAGTTTAATTCCACTGTGGTCTGACAGTAGACATTGTATGGTTTCTATTTAAATTTGCTAAAGTGTTTTTTATGGCTCAGATTGTGGTCTATCTTGATGAATGTTCCATGTGAGCTTGAGAAGAACATGTAATCTGCTTTTATTGGATGAAGTAATCTATAGATGTCAATTATATTCAGTTGATTGATGGCGCTATTGAGTTCAACTACATCCTTACTGATTCTCTGCCTGCTATTTATTTCTGGTAGAGGGGTGTTAAAATCTCCAACCATGATAGTGGACTCATCTATTTCTCTTTATAGTTTTATCAGTTTTGCCTCACATATTTCGATGCTCTATTGTTAGTGCATACACATTAAGGATTGTTATGTCTTCTTGGGGAATTAGCCCCTTTGTCATTATGTTATGCCTCTCTTTATCTCTGACGACTTTCTTGCTCTGAAGACTGCTCTGTCCGAAATTAATTATAGCTACTGTCTGCTTTGATTAGTGTTACCATGCAATATCTTTCTCCATCACTTTACATTTACTCTATATGTATCTTTATATTTAAAGTGGGTTTCTCATAGGCAACATGTAGTTGAGATTTTTTTTCTTTTTTCTTTTTTAACATATCAACCACAGCAATCAGAGAGTCTTTTTTAAAATTCACTGTGACAATCTCTTTTTCTTGGTGTATTTAGATCATTGATGTTTAAGATGTTATTGGTCTAGTTGGATAATATCCACTGTATTTGTTACTGTTTTCCACTTTTTGCCCTGGTTCTCTGTTCTTATTTTTGTTTTCCATACTTTTTCTGCCTTTTGTGGTTTTAATTGAGTATTTTATATTCTCTCCTTTCTTAGCATATCAATTATACTTCTTTTATTACTGTTTTTTAGTGGCTGCCTTAGAGTTTGCAATATACATTGACAATTAATCGAAGTCTACTTTCAAATAACACTATACCACTTCATGGGTAGTGCAAGCATCTTATAATAACAAAATATTTTTTAAATTCCTCTCTCCCATCCCTTGTATCATTACTGTCATTTATTTCAACCATACACAAACATACCAACACACACACACACATATATATACATGTAACCGTACATAATCAATGACATTGTTGCTATTATTTTGAAGAAACTGTTATCTGTTAGATCAGTTAAGAATAAGAAAAGCGGCGGGCATAGTGGATCATACCTGTAATCCCAGGACTTTGCGGGGCTGAGGTGGGAGGATCACTTGAACCTAGGAGTTTGAAACCAGCCTAGACAACAAGGGAGAACCCCGTCTCTATTTAAAACAAAATAAGAAAAATATTTTATTCTTCATTTATTCATTCTCTGATCCAATGCTCTTCCTTTCTCATTTAGAAAAATTTTTTTTCTTATTTTTTAGAGATGGAGTCTTGCTATGTTGCCCAGGCTGGACTCTGGACTTGAACCCCTGGGCTCAAGCGATCCTCCTGCCTCAGCTTCCCAAGTAGCTGGGACTACAGGCATGTACCACTGTGCCTAGCCTGTCTTCCTTTCTTCATGTAGATCTGGTTTTTCGAACTTCTTTTAACCTTGCTTGAAAGGCAGACCTACTGATGACAAATTCCTGTAGTTTTTGTTTATCTGAGAAACTGCTTATTTCTCCTTCATTTCTTTTTTTTTTTTCCCAAGGCAGAAGAATTTTTCTTAGTACAGAACAAAATGAAGTCTCCCATGTCTACTTCTTTCTACACAGACACAGCAACAATCTGATTTCTCTATCTTTTCCCCACCTTTCCCCCTTTTCTATTCCACAAAACCGCCATCGTCATCATGGCCCGTTCTCAATGAGCTGTTGGGTACACCTCCCAGACGGGGTGGTGGCCTGGCAGAGGGGCTCCTCACTTCCCAGAAGGGGTGGCCGGGCAGAGGCGCCCCCCACCTCCCGGATGGGGCGGCTGGCCGGGTGGAGGCGCCCCCCACCTCCCTCCCGGACGGGGCGGCTGGCCGGGTGGGGGCTGACCCCCCACCTCCCTCCCGGACGAGGCGGCTGGCTGGGTGGGGGCTGCCCCCCACCTCCCTCCCGGACCGGGTGGCTGCCGGCTGGAGACGCTCCTCACTTCCCAGACGGGGTGGCTGCCGGGCGGAGGGGCTCCTCACTTCTCAGACAGGGCGGCCGAGCAGAGACGCTCCTCACCTCCCAGACGGGGTCTCGGCGGGGCAGAGGCGCCCCCCACCTCCCAGACGGGGCGGCTGGCCGGGCGGGGGCTGCCCCCAACCTCCCGGACGGGGCGGCTGCCGGGTGGAGACGCTCCTCACTTCCCAGACGGGGCGGCTGCCGGGTGGAGGGGCTCCCCACTTCCCAGACGGGGCGGCTGCCGGGAGGAGGGGCTCCTCACTTCTCAGACGGGGGGGGGCCGGTCAGAGACGCTCCTCACCTCCCAGACGGGGTGGCGGCGGGGCAGAGACACTCCTCAGTTCCCAGACGGAGTCATGGCCGGGCAGAGGCACTCTTCACATCTCAGACGGGGTGGCAGGGCAGAGGCGCTCCCCACATCCCAGATGATGGGCGGCCAGGCAGAGACGCTCCTCACTTCCTAGACGGCGTGGCGGCCGGGAAGAGGCGCTCCTCACTTCCCGGACTGGGCGGCCAGGTAGAGGGGCTCCTCACATGCCAGAGGATGGGCGGCCAGGCAGAGACGCTACTCACTTCCCAGACGGGGTGGCGGCCGGGCAGAGGCTGCAATCTCGACACTTTGGGAGGCCAAGGCAGGCGGCTGGGAGGCGGAGGTTGTAGCGATCCGAGATCACGCCACTGCACTCCAGCCTGGGCAACGTTGAGCACTGAGTGAGCGAGACTCCGTCTGCAATCCCGGCACCTCGGGAGGCCGAGGCTGGCAGACCACTCACGGTCAGGAGCTGGAGACCAGCCCGGCCAACACGGCAAAACCCCGTCTCCACCAAAAAATACGAAAACCAGTCAGGTGTGGCGGCGCGCGCCTGCAATCCCAGGCACTCGGCAGGCTGAGGCAGGAGAATCAGGCAGGGAGGCTGCAGTGAGCCGAGATGGCGGCAGTACAGTCCAGCCTCCACTCGGCATCAGAGGGAGACCGTGCAAAGGGGAGAGGGGGAGGGGGAGGGGGAGGGAGAGGGAGAGGGAGTTGTTGATTTTTAAGTTTGTTCAGTTTTTACTTATTTTAAGGACAGAGAGGTGACTTCTAAGCTCCTTACATGCCAGACTGGAAACCAGAAGTCCCTCACCAAAATTATTCTGGTACATAAGATCTCTAAAAGGGCTTCCTCCACCCGGGAAGAATTGGATTTTAGTTAACATCTGTCAAGCACCATCTGTGAGCCAGATGTCTAGTAAATACTTTCACACGCATTGCTTCATTAAGTCCTCACAACAGCCCTGAGAGGTGGGTATTATTATTATCATCCCCATTTTACAGGTGAGAAAGCTGATATTCAGAAAACTAAAATGACTTGACAAAATTATAAAGGTAGAAGGCCGGGCTCAGTGGCTCATGCCTGTAATCTCAGCACTTTGGGAGGCCGAGGTGGGCAGATCACATGAGGTCCATGACCAACATAGAGAAACCCTGTCTCTCCTAAAAATACAACATTAGCCAGGCGTGGTGGTGCATGCCTGTAATCCCAGCTGCTGGGGAGGCTGAGGCAGGAGAATCGCTTGAACCCGGGAAGCAAAGGTTGCAGTGAGCTGAGATCGCGCCATTGCACTCCAGCCTGGGCAACAAAAGCAAAACTCCATCTCAAAAAAAAAAAAATTTACAAAGGTAGAAACTGGTAAAGCTAATATTAAAACAAGGTTTTTTTTGGGCGGCTGAGGCGGGTGGATCACCTGTGGTCGGGAGTTCATGACCAGCGTGGCCAATATGGTGAAACCCCATCTCTACTAAAAATATAAAAATTAGCTGGGCGTGGTGGCGCTGGCCTGTAGTCCCAGCTACTCTGGAGGCTGAGGCAGGAGAATCGCTTGAACCTGGGAGGTGTAGGTTGCAGTGAGCCAAGATTGCGCCACTGCACTCCATCCTGGGCAACTGAGTGAGACTCCATCTCAAAATAAATAAACTAATTAATTAAAAAATAAAACAAAGTCTTCTGACGCCAAGGCTAAGGACTTAACTTTAGAATATGAAAAGTCTCAAGTTATTTTCTGCTCCTCTTCCTTCTCTCTCTGGGACCTTTACTCATGTTTGGGTTTTCATGGCGGTGGGGGCATTGGCAGTACTGAACTCTGCCCACTGAATCTAATCTATAGCAGAGGCTTCAACAACTATATGGCCAATACAATTCAGATTTATTTTGACTTTCCAAAACATACCACCAGAATTAGCAGGCACCTGGCACAGTTCAATTTCAACAAGCAGTTCTATATATTTTATATATATATATACTTTTTTTAGATGAATTTTTGCTCTTGTTGCCCAGGCTGGAGTGCAATGGCACAATCTTGGCTCACTGCAACCTCCACCTCCCTGGTTCAAGTGATTTTCCTGCCTCAGCCTCCCAAGTAGCTGGGATTACAGGCACCTGCCACCAGGCCTGGCTAATTTTTTGTATTTTTAGTAGAGACAGGGTTTTGCCATGTTGGCCAGGCTGGTCTCGAACTCCTGACCTCAGGTGATCCACCGCCCCCCGCCACCCCGCCCCAGCCTCCCAAAGTGCTGGGATAGCAGGCATGAGCCACCACGCAGGCATGAGCTACCGCGCCAGGCCCTCTTCTATGTTATTTTTAACTGTTTAGAGCTTCTTAACCAAGGTCTATGGATTCCTTAAGGGTCCTCAGGGGCTTTAAGAGGTTTGCGAATCTCTTGAAACCATGTTACATCTTGTGGGTATAGGAAAAGGTGAATTTGTTTTGAGGAGAGGGTTTATCTTTTTCATTAACGTCTCAAAGAGGTCTCCAATGCAAACAAGGTTAAAAATAATTAATACAGGCTTTATCCAAGAAGGATTTGTTTTAAACTTTTTGACCTCAGCCTAGGGAGAAAACCAGATACAAGTAAGGAATGCAGCAGCTCATATCAGGAAATAATAATAACACTAATACTTCAGTAATTACTTTTTTCCTCTATGCTGATTGAGACATAGATCTGGCTTTCGCCAAACAAAAATAATAATAAAGAAAGAAACCCCAGTGATTTGTGCTGAGACCAAGAGGATGCATCTGTTTCCTGAATCAACCAGATCAAATGAACACTGGATCAAAAGCTGCCAATGCCGAGACTTCATTTTCTTTCAGAGAAAGATGAAGCAGCTATGCTAAAGAGAGAGGGGAAAAGAGTAAACCCAGGCAAGAGGAGAAATATAAGTTCTGGTTCAGGATGATGCCAATGGATTTCTTGATATGGTACCTTCTCTAGACTAAAGATCATTCCAAACAGGTATTTTTCTACAATACCTGCATGCTAACTCCTCTCTGAAACAGTTATGCAACGGAGGCTTTGGCTCAGTCTGTCTGCAAGAGCTACATTGAATCTTGCCACCCACTCCTGCATCTTACCCAGTCTTCCACATACCTGCCACGAGCCATGCTTAACTCTTTGTCATGTTCTCAGTTCCCATGGCATCTTTGCATTTGCTGTTCCCTGAGCATTTGCTGTTTCCTCTGCTTGAAATACCCTTCACTCCCTTTTCCCCCTGGCTATCTCCTCTTCAGCCCAAGGGACATCTCTTCTAAGAAGCTTTCTGTAACCCCTTAGGGAAAATTAGTATCTTTTATACATATATATATATATATATGTTTTTTGTTTGTTTGTTTGTTTGTTTAAAGGTGCAGTCTCACTCTGTCACGCAGGCTGGAGTGCAGTGGCATGATCTTGGCTCACTGCAACCTCTGCCTCTGAGTTCAAGCGATTCTCCTACCTCAGCCTCCAGAGTAGCTGGGATTACAGGTGTGCACCACCACGCCCAGCTAATTTTTGTATTTTTAGTAGATACACAGTTTTACCATGTTGGCCAGGCTGGTCTCGAACTCCTGACCTCAGGTGATCTGTCCACCTCAGCTTCCCAAAGTGCTGGGATTATAGGTGTGAGCCACCATGTCTGGCCTCATTATTTTATTTTTAATTGACAAATAACAATTGTATATATTTATGGGGTACAATATGATGTTTTGCTATATGTTCACAATGTGGAATGATTCAATCCTGCTACTTAACAAATTCATCACCTCATATAGTAATCTTTTTTTTTGTGGTGAAAACATTTAAAATCTATTCTTCTATAAATCAACACTTTTAAAGAATAGAAGAGCTGCTCTCTTTCCTGGAAGCAGGGAGCTGTGCAGAATGACTAGCGATGTTAGAATTCTCTGATTCTTTTTTTCATGTTAGAATGGCATAAGATCATAAGTTTTGAGATTTAAAAGGGACTTTGAAGACCCTTTGAAAATCCAAGCTTTCACTCTACCCATATCCTGATTTGATTCATATCTCTCTGTCATTATATTCCTGGAGAGCACAGGTGGAATACAATCCAAAATAGCTTTCCTTAGAAGGGTTTGGTCCTGTGAATACCTTCCCCAAGGATCATGTGGTGTAAACACCTTCATTTGAGGAAAATGATATCTAAATACATGCTCCCCACAGATGCGTCCAGTGCTTTATGGTTTATAAAATTGTCCTCCTTACAGTTTCTAACTCAATAAGGGATAACTCAGTGGCTTAAAGGTCATTCATCAAGGATAATTCGTCCAGGTCACCAGCTTGTTAATGGTGGAACTTAGGCCAGAACTCCTGGTGGAATGCACTTTATCCCTCACCCTGATACTTTCTTATTGAAAATTATTCTGAAATACTACTTGTACAATTTTGAGCAGAAGTGATGGCCATATCCAGGGATAATATAGAAGTAAGTTAAAGATTCCGATGTTTACAATGAAATTAGCAAAGCGTTTCTTGAAGTGGGCACAATCCATACAGCCCTTAACAAGGAAATGTTAGAGATGTTTTGAAGCTGAGAATTAACCAGTAACACCAAAGCCAGTGATGTTTTGCCTTATTTCAAAGCACTTCAGAGGCATCCTTCACAGGGCAGGATATGTTGTAAGCAGTGCTTGCTTCTCAAACACTGATATGTATAGAGGCATCTCAGGATCATGGTAAATGCAGATTCTGATTCTCAAGGTCTTGGGTAGGGCCCGAGATTATGCATTCCTAACAAGCTTCCAAGATTTGCCAAGGCTGCTGGTCCATGGACCACACCACAGGCAGCAAGTTGTAACGAAAGAACATCAGAGTTGGAAGCGTAAGACTTAGACCCAAGTTTCAGTTGTGCATTGATGAGTCCTGTGAACTTGGTCAGATTTCACTCTGAGTCTGTTTCCTTACCTGTAAAATAGGTTTATAATCATATCTCTATATGCACCAAGAGCCTTGAGACTGTTGTCCACCATTCCTTTCCTAGTACTCCATCCTAAACATGTGTACAGATGTATGTGTGGGAGCATTTTTTAGCAAACATGTTCATCACAATACTTTTTTTTTTTTCATTTTTCTTTTCTTTTTTTTTTTTTTTGAGACAGAGTCTCACTCTGTCACCCAGGCTGGAGTGCAGTGGTGTGATCTTAGCTCATTGCAACCTCCACCTCTTGGGTTCAAGCGATTCTCATGCCTCAGCCTCCTGAGTAACTGAAACTACAGGCACGTGCCACCATGCCTGGCTAATTGTTGTATTTTTAGTAGAAACAGGGTTTCATCATATTGGCCAGGCTGGTCTCGAATTCCTGGCCTCAAGTGATCCACCCGCCTCAGCCTCCCAAATTGCTGGGATTACAGGCATGGGCCACCATGCCTAGCCCTCAATACTTTTGTAATAGTGATAAAAAAGAAGCAACCTAAATAACGAAGATCAGGAAAACATTTTCTTTCTTTTTTTTTTTTTTCTACTCACCATGGAATCAGAAGGTAAAATATTTTAGTAAGCTAAAATATATCCATTAAATTGAATATTAGGCAGTCATTTCCAATCTTGTCTAGGGAGAAGATATACACAGAATACTATGAATATACATGGAATATTAAGCAGCTATTTAAAATCATGTCTAAGGAGAAGTATATCGAAAAATGCTCATGAGATAACAAATTTTTTCTTTTTTGGAGACGGAGTCTTGCTCTGTCACCCAGGCTGGAGTGCAATGGCGCGATCTTGGCTCACTGCAACCTCTGCCTCCCGGGTTCAAGCAATTCTCCTTCCTCAGCCTCCCAAGTAGCTGGGATTATAGGCACCCACCACCATGCCTGGCTAGTTTTTGTGTTTGTTTTGTTTTGTTTTGTTTTTTGAGACAGAGTCTCTGTCACCCAGGCTGGAGTACAGTGGTGCCATCTCGGCTTACTGTAACCTCCACCTCCCAGGTTCAAGTGATTCTCCTGACTCAGCCTCCCGAGTAGCTGGGATTAAAGGTGTGCACCACCACACCTGGCTAATTTTTTTTTTTTTTGTATTTTGTTAGTAGAGATGGGGTGTCACCGTGTTGGCCAGGCTGGTCTCGCACTCCTGACCTCAGGTGATCCACCCGCCTCAGCCTCCCAACGTGCCGGGATTACAGGCGTGAGCCACTGTGCCTGGCCAACATAAATTTTTTAAGCCAAAATACAAAATTGGCTGTATCCATAGAATAACCACAACCACCACACTAAATATATAAAATCCCTGGCCTGGCTCACTCACAGGAACACTGAGAATAAAATGAGACATTATTTTATTTATTTTTTTTTTTGAGACAAAGTCTCACTCTGTTGCCCATCCTGGAGTGCAATGACCAGATCTCAGCTCACTGCAACCTCCGCCTCCCAGGTTCAAGCAATTCTCCTGCCTCAGCCTCTCAAGTAGCTGGGACTACAGGCATGCACCACCACACCTGGTTAATTTTTTTTTGTATTTTTAGTAGAGACTGGATTTCAGCATGTTGGCCAGGCTGGTCTCGAACTCCTGACTTCAGGTGATCCACCCACCTCAGCCTCCTAAAATGCTGGGATTACAGGCCTGAGCCACCGTGCCCGGCTGAGAAATTAATTTATAACTTACTACATAACTATGAGGCATCACTACAATTATTTTCTAATGGTGTTGATAAAATCCAGGTCAGGTTTTGTCTCGTGCTGTGGCAGGCTGCCCTAATTCTGCAACATAACATTTCCTAGAAGCGCTGGCTTCTTCTTAGCAGGAAGTATCCATTCTGACTATGCTTGAAAATATGAATTCAAGAATCTCAACTAAGAATCTCTCAACTAAGGGCTTTCAAGAAAAGCAAAGCAAAGAATGTGTGTTTCCTACTTCTGTCGTTACCCTTTAGAAAGAGGAAGAAGGGGACGATTTTTAAACAAGTTTTCTGGACAAACTATTTAAAAGGAGAGAATCAAAGCACAGGAGTGGTTTTAAGATCAAATAGTCTTGGGTTTGAGTTCCCAATTTGTCACTTATTGGTTGTGGAACTTTGAAGTTTGAATAAGTGGAACTTTGAAGTTTGAATAAGTTAAACTTATTGGTTGTGGAACTTTGAACAAGTCAAACACCAGTTTCTCTGAGCTTCAATTTCCAAATCTGTAAAACAACTCTAGTTGTTTAACTCTTAAGGTTGTTTAGTATTATCTAGTATTTATCTCTTAAGGTTGTTTGAGGATGAAATGAAATAATTAATGAAAAGTGCTGAGTATAGTGTCTGGTACACAGCAGATTCTCAATAAATCATAGCTAATTGTAGAGGAGGAGTTCTAGGGTGGCCTCCTCTACAATTAGCTACATTCACACCCTGCATGGGTGTGAGTAGGACCTTTGACTTGCTTGTAACCAATAGAATGTGATAAAGATGTTTAAAGTTATGATCATATACGTAAGGGTCCATCCTGCTAGCATACATGCTAGAGAGACTGTCACTCCATTGCTGGCTTGAAAGAAGTAAGCTGCCATGCTATGAGAGGGGGCCCATGGAGAGGGTCCCATGGCAAGGAACTGTGGGCAGTCTCTGGTAGCTAAGAACAGCCCACCTGCAGCCAGCAAGAAAACAGAGACCTCAGTCACACAACCATAAAAAAATGAGGCCAGGCACCGTGGCTCACGCCTGTAATCCCAGCACTTTGGGAGGCCGAGGCGGGCGAATCACCTGAGGTC
The DNA here is from genome assembly GCF_000001405.40 of Homo sapiens. Classification (NCBI taxonomy): domain Eukaryota; kingdom Metazoa; phylum Chordata; class Mammalia; order Primates; family Hominidae; genus Homo; species Homo sapiens. Next base: position 47,885,298 of record NC_000011.10, on the reverse strand, counting down.
GGGAGTTCGAGACCAGCCTGACCAACATGGAGAAACCCTGTCTGTACTAAAAATACAAAAAATTAGCCAGGCGTGGTGGCACGTGCCTGTAATCTCAGCTACTCAGGAGGCTAAGGTAGGAGAATCACTTGAACCCGGGAGGCGGAGGTTGCAGTGAGCCGAGATCGTGCCATTGCACTCTAACCTGGGCGACAAGAGTGAAACTCCATCTCAAAAAAAAAGAAAAAGGGAAAAAGAAAATGAATCCTCCCAACAGCCTGAATGAGCCTGGAAGTTAATTAATTCATAGTGGAGCCTCGAGGTTAGAATGCAGCCGCCTTGATTGAAGCTTTGTGAGACCCTGAGTGGAAGACCCAGCAAGGCCATGCCCAGGCTCCTGACACACAGGGCTGTGAGACAATCTATGTGTTGTGTTCAGCCTCTAGATTTGTGGTCATTAGTTACACAGCAATAGAAAACCAATACATATGTCTTCTCAGCCTTTTGGCTAAGATCAAGTGTAGAAAACCAATACGTAATATAAAGCAGATAATCAACACTCAGCCTGTAGCCATTGCTTGCCATCAACAGGTTCATCTTCCTTCTGCCAGTGTTTTAATGAGCACACTATTGTGTTGGGGCAGAATTCAAGAACTGGAGACAGAACCTACTCATGTTGAGTAGAGGAGGCAGAGATGAAAACCGAAAAATTACAATAAAGGGCAATAAGTGTTATGATTAAGATGCTTTTGTTGTGGTAAAATTAGCATAACATAAAATTCACCCTTTCAGCCAGGTGCGGTGGCTCACACCTGTAAACCCAGCACTTTGGGAGGCTGAGGTGAGAGGAACACTTGGGCTCAGGAATTCAAGACCAGCCGAGGCAACATAGTGAGATCTTATCTCTCTCTAAAAAAAAAAAAAGGCCAGGCATAGTGGCTCACGCCTGTAATCCCAGCACTTTGGGAGGCCAAGACAGGTGGATCACCTGAGGTCAGGAGTTCGAGACCAGCCTGGCAAATATGGTGAAACCCAATCTCAACTAAAAATACAAAAAATTAGCCAGGTGTGGTGGCGCACGCCTATAGTCCCAGCTATTCAGGAGGCTGAGACAGGAGAATCGCTTGAACCTGGGAGGCAGAGGTTGCATTGAGCTGAGACCTCACCATTGCACTCTAGCCTGGGCAAGAAGAGCAAAACTCTGCCTCAAAAAAAAATCGCCCTTTAAATTATTTTAAAGTGTGCAATTCAGTGGCATTTAGCACATTCCTACACTGTTGTGCAGCCATTACCACTGTCTAGCTCTAGAACATTTTCATTGCCCCAAAAGGAAACTCCATAGACATTAGGCAGTGACTCCCCATTCTCCACTTCCCCCAGCCCCTGGCTAATCTGCTTCTCTCTCTATGGATTTGCCTATTCTGGACATTTCAGACATACGTGTATTGTATGATATATGGAATCATAAAATATGTAGCCTTTTGTGTCTGGCTTCCTTCACTTAGCATGTTTCTAAGATTCATCCAAGTTGTATAATAGCATGTATCATGTATCTTAATTCCTTTTTATGGCTGAATGATATACTTTTTAAAACATATGTATGTATTTATATATTTATTTAGAGACAGGGTCTTGCTCTTTTGCCCAAGCTGGAGTGCAGTGGTATAATCATTGCTCACTATAAACTCAAACTCCTAGGCGCAGCAATCCTCCTGTCTCAGATCCTCCTGTAGGACAACAGATATACACCACCACACCCAGCTACCTGCTGGAATTATTCAAACTAGCCAATCCTAAACTGCTTTTTTTTTTCCTTTTTTCTTTCTTTCTTTTTTTTTTCTGTCACCCAGGCTGGAGTGCAGTGGCACAATCTCGGCTTATTGCAACCTCCACCTCCTGGGTTCAAGAGATTCTCCTGCCTCAGCTTCCTGAGTACCTGGGATTACAGGTACCCGCCACCACACCCAGCTAATTTTTGTATTTTTAGTGGACATGGGGTTTCACCATGTTGGCCAGGCTGGTCTGGAACTCCTGACTTCAGGTGATCCACCCGCCTAGGCCTCCCAAAGTGCTGGGGTTACAGGCGTGAGCCACCGTGCCTGGTCTGCTTTTTTTTTTTTTTTTTCCTATTCATATTTAATGTATCCAACTGATCTAAACAGTTTACCCAACCATGCTTTGATTTTTCTGCTGAAACCCCAATAAAGGCTGTGGCCTATGCCTTCCCCTCACTCCTTTCTGCCTCCTGACCAAACCTGGTGTTTCTCCATTTGGGTCTGCATGTGAGGCGTGCCATGCCCACTTCTCTGGGGAAATGTAAGTAATAAACAATTCTTTCGGCTGGGCGTGGTGGCTCACGCCTGTAATCCCAGCACTTTGGGAGGCATAAGTGGGTGGATCACGAGGCCAGGAGTTCAAGACCAGCCTGGCCAATATGGTGAAACCCCGTAGAGATGGGGTTTCAAAAATTAGCTGGGTGTGGTGATGCGTGCTTGTAGTCCCAGCTACTCAGGAGGCTGAGGCAGAAGAATCGCTTGAACCCGGGAGGCGGAGGTTGCAGCGAGCCAAGATCTGGCCACTGCACTCCAGCCTTGGTGACAGAGTGAGACTCCATCTCAAAATAAATAAATAAATTAATAAATAATAATAAATTAATTATTATTTCAATGGCATGGACTTCTCCATGTCATCATGCAGTCACCTCCATAAGTTAAAAAATCCTGCAGGTAGGCCGGGCGCGGTGGCTCATGCTTGTAATCCCAGCATTTTGAGAGGCCAAGGCGGGCGGATCACGAGGTCAGCAAATCGAGAGAGACCATCCTGGCTAACACGGTGAAACCCTGTCTCTACTAAAAATACAAAAAAAAAAAAAAATTAGCTGGGCGTGATGGCAGGCGCCTGTAGTCCCAGCTACTTGGGAGGCTGAGGCAGGAGAATGGCATGAACCCGGGAGGCGGAGCTTGCGGTGAGCCGAGATCGCACCACTACACTCCAGCTTGGGCGACACAGCGAGACTCCATCTCAAAAAAAAAAAAAATCCTGCAGATATAATTGAGACTTGAATTTCCTATTCAAAGGAAATAGTGGGTTTGTTTGTTTGTTTGTAGAGATGGGGTCTTGTTATGTTGCCCAGGCTGGTCTCGAATTCCTGGGCTCAAGGGATCCTCCTGCAGGGGCCTCCCAAAGTCCTAAGATTACAAGGATCAGCCACCACACCAGTCTGAATTTCTTTTTTGACCAAAGCTAATTTGAAGTTTCAGTCACTTGCAACTTAAAGAATCCAGACTAATACCTACATATCCACAGGTTCTATCTCAAACTCTAAAATCTACACTTTTTTTTCTTTTAAGATGGCGTCTCGCTCTGTCCCCCAGGCTGGAGTGCAGTGGCATGATCTCGGCTCACTGTAACCTCCACCTCCTGGGTTCAAGGGATCCTCCTGCCTCAGCCTTCCGAGTGCTGGGATTACAGGCATGCACCACCATTCCCGGCTAATTTTTTTTTTTTTTTTTTTTTTTTTTTGTATTTTTAGGAGGGATGGGGTTTCACCATGCTGGCCAGGCGGGTCTCAAACTCCTGACCTCAAGTGATCTGCCCTCCTCAGCCTCCCAAAGTGCTGGGATTACAGGCGTGAGCCACCGCCTAGAATCTGCATCTGAATAAGATCATTCTTTTGTAGCTAACCATGCATAGACCCCAGGCTAGAGATTGAGAACCCTTTTGGGGGGCACAAAAGGCCATGACAAGTTAACAAGCATAAGCAGGTGGAATGAAATAATGATCCGATTTGGGTTTCAGGAAAATTACTTCTAGCAGTTGTTTTGGAAGATGGATCAAGAGGGTAAGAGATGAGAGAGAGGCCACTCCCGGGCCTGACCACGCCACACACAGACTGGTGGGGCAAATTCCCCAAGCTCTTGTGCCATTCCCAGGCCACTGGGTATAAAAGGAAAAGGAAGGGATGTGGGCATTTGCTGACGCCCAGAGCCGGGTCTGCTCCCTTTGTGCTACTTGCCCAAGAGGGCGTATTTTTGGGAAGGGGTGTGTTCTGAAAGTAAGGAGGAAGTCGCCACCCCATTGGAAAGAATCTGCCACCCTGCCTTCCAGCTGAAATATCAGATAGTCTGTTCTTCTCTGGGCCAGCAGAGAACTGGAATGTCCAAGGATTTTTTTTGTTGTTGTTGTTTTCTTTTTTTTTTCTTTCCTTCTTTTTGAAAGACTGCATGAAAGAACATGATGTTTTAGGTTCACAAAGGGAAAAAAGATAAGGGAAAAGTGGCAAGTTAGAAAGCCCATTGTGTATGTTATCTCTGTTATTTTAGAATAAAAAAATAAGTATGGCAGACTGGGATCACAGTTCATGCCAGCCTGGTCCAAAATTGTTGCTTTTATCCTTTTCCCTTGGTGTTCCATTTTGGCAGAGGGTTTTCCTCAGGAGCTTTCTGGTACTCAGAACCACACTGCCTGGCTAAGGAAGAGACTGGGAGGCCCCAGGGCAGCTTTAGCTCTTAGGGGCAGACACACATTAGCTAAGCTCATAAACCCGATTGGATGAAACTGGAATGCCAATTTATTTAACAGTAGACTTTGTTTTTTTGTTTGTTTGTTTGTTTGTTTTGTTTTGTTTTTTGAGACAGACTCTTGCTGTGTCACCCAGGCTGGAGTAGAGTGGTGGCACAATCTTGGCTCACTGCAACCTCTGCCTCCTGGGTTCCAGCTATTCTCATGCCTCAGCCTCCCTTATAGCTGGGATTACAGGTGTGCACCATCACACTTGGCTAATTTTTGTATTTTTAGTAGAGACAGGGTTTCACCATGTTGGCCAGGCTGGTCTTGAACTCCTGACCTCAAGTGATCCACCTGCCTCAGCCTCCCAAAGTGCTGGGATTACAGTTATAACAGTAGACTTTGAACTGTAGACTTTGGCTAGCTGAGCTGGAGCTCAGACATTTAATGTAGCCAAATTCTCCAGTAAATAATCATAATGATGAAAGTAATAATAAGAGCTAACATTTACTGGGCACCTAATATGTGCTAGTCACTATGTTAAACACTTACATGAATTTTTTTCACTTAAACTGAAGTAGGTACTTTTGTTATCCTCATTTACAGATGAGAAAATTGCAACACAAGGAAGGTAAGTAATTTGCCCAAGGTCATATGTCAACTCCCCATCTAGCCCTTGAACTGGAAGTGAAACTCTGTGAACAGAAAGTTGACAGAAAACTTGGATGAGAGACTTTGTGGGGGCACAAGCAGAGCTGCTCTGGAGTACAAACAGAGCAGATGACATTCTCCCCACTTCCTCTCCCCAAGGCAGGTGGTTTTAGAAGGCTGGAGAGATGGCCTGGGCACACACTTCGGTGTCCCCACATTGAGTCCCTTCAACTTTGGCCACCATGAGGCTCCATCAGCTGGCTTCATGGGCCAGGGACCTAGACCAGTGGAAGCTGAAACTGAAGAGGAGAGTGAGGTAGACTGACAGGCTGGTTTGAGAATGTGTGTGAGGTTGTGTGTGTGTATACATGTGTGTCTGGAGGTGGGGAGGATACAGAAGTTATTTGGGAGTACTGTGGGAACGCTGGTGGTAGATGCTAAATTCGTTCTTGAGCATGTAGCCAGTGTCATTTGATCACACATAACTGACTGCCATTTGCATATTCCAGTTCTTGAAGCCAAATGACGGAGGTGACACTCAATGAGAAGGAACTGCCATGGGGACCCTGAGTGCCCATGTCACCAGAACCAGGGCATTGCTCCCTGAAGGTGGAGGCACAGGGGACACCAAATCGTAATCCGTCAAGTGTCACTTCCTCCAAGACGCCCCCTCTGATCCCTCCTCCCTTCCCCTCTTTCGGTGTTGTCTTACTATAACACACTCCCTTCACCCTCCACCACTCTCTCAGAGAACTCATCGAAAGTGGAGCTGAATCATTGTTTGTCAAACCTGTCTCTCCTCTGCTGGACTGTCAGCTCCATGAGGTCAGGAACCACTTCTGTCGGTTCTCTGCTCTAACCTTGGCACTTCACACAAAGTGAGAGCATAGCAAACCTTCAATAAACAATATTTCTTGGCTGGGCACTGTGGCTCACACCTGTAATCCCAGCTCTTCGGGAGGCTGAGGCAGGAGGATTATTTGAGACCAGCCTGGGAAACATAGAGAGACCCTGTCTCTACAAAAAAAAAAAAATAGATTAAAAAAAAAAATTAGGCTCCTTTGCTTATGGAGTAGCCATTCTTTTGTTTATTTACTTTGTTTTTTTCTTGAGATGGAGTCTCACTCTGTCACCCAGGCTGGAGTGCAGTGGTACGATCTCAACTCACTGCAACCTCCACCTCCTGGGTTCAAGCAATTCTCCTTCCTCAGCCTCCCAAGTAGCTGGGATTATAGGCACCCACCACCACTCCCAGCTAATTTTTCTATTTTTCTATTTTTTAGTAGAGATGGGGTTTCACCATGATGGCCAGGCTGGTTTTGAACTCCTGACCTTAGGTGATCCACCTGTCTCAGCCTCCCAAAGTGCTGGGATTACAGGCATGAGCCACCATGCCCTGCTCGTTTATTTACTTCTCTAATAAATTTGCTTTCACTTAAAAAAAAAAATTAGCCAGACATGATTGTGCATGCCTATAGTCCTAGCTACTCAGGAGGCTGGGGCAGGAGGATCACTTGAGTCTTGAGTCCAGGAGTTCAAGGTTGCAGTGAGCTATGATCACGCCACTGCACTCCAGCCTGGGCAACAGAGTGGGACCCTTTCTCTAAAAATAATAATAATAATATTTCTCTGCTCTTCAGCACAGACAAGTTTCTCAAGTCATCTTTCTTCCTTACCACCCATTCCTTTTTCTGCCTGTTCCAATCTTGGGAACCTCTATTCTTCCTCAGGGCCTTTGCACTTGCTGTGATCCTCTTAGAAGGCTCTTCCAGATAATAGCATTGCTTGCTCTCCCACTGTCTTCAGTTCTTTACTCGAATGTAACTTTAGCAGATCATCTTGTAAAAAATAGCAACCCTGGCCAGGTGTGGTGGCTGACGTCTGTAATCCCAGCACTTTTGGAGGCCAAGGAAGGCAGATCACTTGAGGTCAGGAGTTCGAGACCAGCCTGGCCAACATGGTGAAACCCCATCTCTACTAAAAATAGAAAAAAAGTAGCCAGGCGTGGTGGCACATGCCTGTAGTCCCAGCTACCTGGGAGGCTGAGACAGGAGAATTGCTTGAACCAGGGAGGCGGAGGTTGCAGTGAGCCGAGATTGCGCCACTGAACTCCAGCCTGGGCAAGAGAGCAAGACTCTGTCTCAAAAAAAAAAAAAATAGCAACCCTTTTCCCATCCTTGGTTCTTCCAATTCCCCTTAATCTGCTTTTTTTTTTCTGTAGCTCTATGACCATCTAAAATACTACATGTTTACTTGTTTATTTGTTTATAGACCATCTCTCAATCAGTAGAATATATGCTCCATGAGAGAGAGAGTTTGTATCTTTTGTTCCCTGTTTATTCCTAGCACACAATAGATAAATATTTGTGGAGAAAGAGGAAGGAAGGAAGGAAGGAAGGAAGAAAGGAAGGAAGGGAGGGAGGGAGGGGGAGGGGAGGGGAGGGAAGAGAAGAAGAAAGGGACGGAGAGAAGGGGAGGAAGGGAGGAAGGAATAGAGGAAGAAAGGAAGAACTGCAGCATTTCTCATTCAGGTAGAGAAGGAATTGAGGAGACTGAGAAGTGGCCAGAGAGGTAGGAAAAGAAAAGCCAGGCACATGAAGGATAATAGAAGTGTAGAGAGAAAAGCAATTTTTTTTTTTTGAGAGGGAGTCTTGCTCTTGTCGCCCAGGCTGGAGTGCAGTGGCGCGATTCAGCTCACCGCAACCTCCATCTCCCAGATTCAAGCAATTCTCCTGCCTCAGACTCCCGAGTAGCTCACATTACAGGTGCACACCACCACACCCAGCTAATTTTTGTATTTTTAGTAGAGACGGGGTTTCCCCATGTTGGCCAGGCTGGTGTCAAACTCCTAACCTCAGTTGATCCTCCTGCCTAGGCCCCCCAAAGTGCTGGGATTACAGGTGTGAGCCACCATGCCTGGCCAGCATTTTTTTTTTGTGGTGAAATATACATAACAAAATTTAACATTTTTAACCATTTTAATTAAGTGTATGGCTCTGTGGCACTAAATACATTCATATTGTTGTGCAACCATCACCACCATCCATCTCCAGAACTTTTTCTTCCCACAGTGAAACTCTGTACCCATTAAGCATGAACTCCCCATTCCCACCTCCCTCCAGCTCTTGGCAACTGCCATTTTGCTTTCCTTCTCTATGCATTTGACTATTCTAGGTATCTCACATAAGTGGGATCGTACAGTATTGTCTCATTGTGACTACCAGCATATACACAGGTTTCAAGGTCCTATTTGGGGTCCCCATTCCTTCTCCTGATAACTCTCTCTCCATAAATAATCTGATCAATTTCCAAATTAAATATCGCATATAGGCTTCATGGGCAAGTGACCTGTGCAGTTACCTGTAGGTCTCTGTGCTTGGTTTGATGTTATCCTCTTGACGTCTGGAAGTTATTAATAATTTTTTAACATGAGGCTATTTATCTTCATTTTGCACTGGGTCCCACAAATTATGTAACCAGTCCTGCTCCCAAATGTGTAACTTTACCCTGGACTACTCTTCTGAGCTCTTGTCTCATATACCCAGATGTCTACTTGATATCTCCACTTGAATGATTTAAAGACATGCCAGGCTGTTGTGGGAAGTCAGGGACCCCGAATGGAGGGACCAGCTGGAGCCGCGGCAGAGGAACATAAATTGTGAAGATTTCATGGACATTTACCCGTTCCCAAATAATACTTTCATAATTTCTTACACCTGTCTTACTTTAATCTCTTAATCCTGTTATCTTTGTAAGCTGAGGATGTACGTCACCTCAGGGCCACTATGATAATTGTGTTAACTGTACAAATTGATTGTAAAACATGTGTGTTTGAACAATATGAAATCAGTGCACCTTGACAAACAACAGAATAACAGCGATTTTCAGGGAACAAGGGAAGACAACCATAAAGTCTGACTGCCTGTGGGTTCGGGCAAAATAGAGCCATATTTTTCCTCTTGCAGAGAGCCTATAAACAGACATGCAAGTAGGGAAGATATTGCTAAATTCTTTTCCTAGCAAGGATTAATACTGTGGGAAAGGAATGCATTTCTGGGGGAGGTCTATAAACTGCCGCTCTGGGAGTGTCTGTCTTATGCGGTTGAGATAAGGACTGAAATACGCCCTGGTCTCCCGCAGTACCCTCAGGCTTACTAGGGTGGGGAAACACCCCGCCCTGGTAAATTTGAGGTCAGACCGGTTCTCTGCTCTTGAACCCTGTTTTCTGTTGTTTAAGATGTTTATCAAGAAAATACGTGCACCGCTGAACATAGACCCTTATCAGTAATTCCGCTTTTGCCCTTTGCCTTGTGATCTTTGCTGGACCCTTATCAGGAGTTTCTGATTTTGCCCTTGTCCTGTTTCCTCAGAAGCATGTGATCTTTGTTCTTTTTGCCCTTTGAAGCATGTGATCTTGTGACCTACTGCCTGTTCTTGCACCCCCTCCACTTTTGAAATCCTTAATAAAACTCCTGGTTTTGTGGCTCAGGTAGGCATCACAGTCCTACCAATATGTGATGTCACCCCCGGCAGCCCAGCTGTAAAATTCCTCTCTTTGGGCCAGGTGCGGTGGCTCACGCCTGTAATCCTAGCACTTTGGGAGGCTGAGGTGGGTGGATCACAAGGTCAGGAGATTGAGACCATCCTTACTAACACGGTGAAACCTCATCTCTACTAAAAATACAAAAAAGTTGCCAGGCGTAGTGGTGGGTGCCTTTAGTCCCAGCTACTCGGGAGGCTGAGGCAGGAGAATGGCGTGAACCCGGGAGGCGGAGCTTGCAGTGAGCCAAGATGACACCACTGCACTCCGGCCTGGGCAAGAGTGCAAGACTCCGTCTCAAAAAAAAAAAAAATTCCTCTCTTTGTACTCTTTCTCTTTCTCTTTATTTCTCAGCTGGCTGACTCTTACAGAAAATAGAAAGAACCTACGTTGAAATATTGGGGGCGGGTTCCCCCAATACCAGACTGGGCACAGTGGCTCATGCCTGTAATCCCAGCACTTTGGGAGGCCAAGGTGAGAGGATAGATTGAAGCTTGAGACCAGCCTTGATGACAAAGCAAGACTCCACCTATACAAAACGTTTTTTTAAATCAGCTGGGTGCAGTGGCACGTGACTGTGGTCCCAGCTACTCAGGAGGATTGTTTGAGCCCAGAAGTTCAAGGTCACATTGAACTCAACCAGGCGCAGTGGCTCATGCCTATAATCCCAGGATTTTGGGTGGCCAAGGTGGGCCTATCACTTGAGGTCAGGAGTTTGAGACCAGCCTGGTCAACATGGTGAAACCCCATCTCTACTAAATTAGGTGGGCATGGAGGCATGTGCCTGTAATCCCAGCTACTTGGGAGGCTGAGCCAAGAGGATTGCTTGAGTCCAGGAGGTGGAGGTACCAGTGAGCCAAGATTGCACCATCTTGTCTCAAATGAATAACTAAATAAATAATAAAAATAAATTTTAAAAAAAGATATCTTTAACATATCAAAAAACAAACAAAACAAAAAACTAACATATCAACATATCCAAAAGTAAGTTCTTCTTTTTTTATTTTATTTTATTTTTTTTGAGACAGAGTTTTGCTCTTGTTGCCCAGGCTGGAGTGCAGTGGCACAATCTTAGCTCACTGCAACCTTTGCCTCCCAGGTTCAAGTGATTTTCCTGCCTCAGCCTCCCAAGTAACTGGGATTACAGGCACCTGCCACCATGCCCGGCTAATTTTTTGTATTTAGTAGAGACAGGGTTTCACCATGTTGGTCAGGCTGGTCTTGAACTCCTCACCTCAGGTGATCCACCCACCTGGGGCTCCCAAAGTGCTGGGGTTACAGGTGTGAGCCACTGCGCCTGGCCCAAAACTTAGTTCTTAATCTACTCCTCTAATCTTTACTCCATCATTCTTGCCCACCATTCCAACCAGAAACCTGGGAGCCATACTTTCCTCCTCTTTCCCCCATTCTCTCCTACCCCATCCAACCCACCAACAAGTCAGAAGGATTGTACTTCAAAAGTATGTTTCAGATTCGTCCACTTCTCTCCAGTCAGCTACCCTGTTCTAAGCAACTATCATTTCTCATCTGGACTCCTGTAGAAACTCCTAGCTGGTGTCCCTACCTTACTCTGGCTCCTTCCTCAAAGCTAAAAATGGTTATTTTCCATATGACATTTAAGTGCTCTTTTAAAATAAATCATAATGTGCCCAGGCACGATGGCTCATGCCTGTAATCCCAGCACTTTGAGAAGCTGAGGGTGGCAGATCACCTGAGGTCAGGAGTTTAAGACCAGCCTGGCCAACATGGCAAAACCCCATCTCTAATAAAAATACAAAAATTAGCCAGCTGTGGTGGCAGGTGCCTGCAATCCCAGCTACTCGGGAGGCTGAGGCAGGGAGAATCGCTTGAAACTGGAAGGTGGAGGCTGCAGTGAGCTGAAATTGCGCTACTGCACTCCAGCCTGGGCGACAGAGCAAGACTCCATCTCAAAAAAAAAAAAAAGTCAGCTTTGAATAAATCTGTTGAATGCAAATGAATGAATGAGAAGGTGCTTGCTGCGGAGAACAAGGACTTAAAGGCGAATGGCATCGGACTCTCCTAATCAGATGCTTCCATCTCCACAACAAGGGTGACTAGTCAATGGGACCAGAAATCCTACAAGTATGTTGGCTGAGTCTTCCTGGTCAGTGCTTGAAAGAACAGGAAATGTTCCATCTTCTGGTTTGATCAAATCCTTATTTAATGAATACATTCTTTCTTTCTATTTAAGACTTCTGGCCAGGCACAGTGGCTCACGGCTGTAATCCCAGCACTTTGGGAGGCCAAGGCGGGCAGATCATGAGGTCAGGAATTTGAGACCAGCCTGACCAACATGGTGAAACCCTGTCTCTACTAAAAATACAAAAATTAGCTGGGCTTGGTGGCAGGTGCCTATAGTCCCAGCTGCTCAGAAGGCTGAAGCAGGAGAATTGCTTGAACCTGGAAGGGAGAGGTTGTGGTGAGCTGAGATCACGCCATTGCACTCCAGCCTGGGCAACAAGAGGGAAACTCTGTCTCGGAAAAAAAAAAAAAAAAAAAAAAGACTTCTAATCAACTTACATTTATGTCTTTGGAGTCACATTATTGTTTCCAGAGGGGCTACATAACCTGACTCTGATTCCCTGCATGTGTCAGTAGTGTGATGTAAGGCCTAAAATCAATTTTTTTTTTTTTTTGAGATGGAGTCTGGCTCTGTCGCCCAGGCTGGAGTGCAGTGGTGCAATCTCAGCTCACTGCAAGCTCCACCTCCCGGTTTCACACCATTCTCCTGCCTCAGCCTCCCGAGTAGCTGGGACCACATGTGCCCGCCACCACGCCCAGCTAATTTTTTGTATTTTTAGTACAGACAGGGTTTCACCATGCTGACCAGGATGGTCTCGATCTCCTGACCTCATGATCCACCGCCTCGGCCTCCCAAAGTGCTGTGATTACAGGCATGAGCCACCACACCCCACCCTAAAATCAATATTATGTGCTGTCTTGACTGGAACTGGGTGTGGGGGGCCTTGAGTGGCCTGACAGCAAGTTTTCCTCCCCACTCTGCTCCGGTGGATAAGATCCTCTAGCCAGATAACCCTCACTATCAAATGGACTAGGTGCAATTCCTGCTTATTCCTGAGTAGCAGGTTTCAGTTCCCATGGAATTATTCAAACAAGCCAATCACATCCTCCTTAAGAAATCAGGAAGCCCCTCACCCTCTTGATACTGCAAAGCTTGACCCTTCCAGCCCCTGACAGTTCACTCTTTTCCCGGGTGTAACCGCCATGTGGCTCTGTGAGGGGCAGAGTCCTCCCCTGCCTGAATCTATGTGACTAATAAACTGCTGTGGGTCTCATCTGCCCAGTATTGGGTGTCACGGGTTTGGCCATCTCCATAATTCTAGGGCAAGCATCCCTCTCTTCCCAACAGATAAGTAGGAGGTGATCAAAACAAGTAGTTTAATTTTTAGAGGGTATATCGGCCAGGTGCAGTGGTTCACGCCTGTAATCTCAGCGCTTTGGGAGATTGAGGCAGGCTGATAACTTGAGGCCAGGAGTTCGAGACCAGCCTGGACAACATGGTGAAATCCCATCTTTACTAAAAATACAAAAATTAGCTGGGTGTGGTGGCACATGCCTGTAATCCCAGCTACTCAGAAGGCTGAGGCATAAGAATCACTTGAACCTGCGAGGCAGAGGTTGCAGTGAGCCAAGATTACCCCACTGCACTCCAGCCTGAGCACAGAATGACTCTGTCTCAAAAAAAAAAAAAAAAAATTCAGAGGTCTATTAGTAAGGTGCATGTGCAGGTATCAAAGACCCAATAGAGTGGTTTAAACAAAACAAGTCTGTCCCCCTCCACGGTGAAGCAGCTCATTCCTCAATGCCATCAGAGGCCCAGCTCTTCTGTCTTGTAGCTCCCCCACCCCTAAGGCATGGCCCTCACCACATGGTTCTTATGGTGGAATCAGTGCATCTCACTTGTTGGGATGTACCCAAGTTTACTTTATCCCCGTGAAAAGAACTGCAAATGTCCCCAACTCCATGACTTAAGACCAGTTATAGAAGCTCAAAAATTAGATGTTCCAACATATTTCAAAATCTTAAACCCAAAAGCAGTTGGGACACCCAGCCCCTCAAATGGAGTCTGGCACAGTGACAGTATAGAATCATAGTTAAGGATGCAAATTCTGGGCAGGTGCAGTGACTCACACCTGTAATCCTAGCACTTTGGGAGGTGGAGGCAAACAGATCACTTGAGGTGGTCAGGAGTTTGAGACCAGCCTGGCCAACATGGTGAAACCCCGTCTCTACTAAAAATACAAAATTAGCCCGGGGTGGTTGTGGGCACCTGTAATCCCAGCTATTCGGGAGGCTGAGGCACGAGAATCACTTGAACCTGGGAGGCAGAAGTTGCAGTGAACCAAGATCACACCACTGCCCTCCAGCCTGGGCAAAAATAGGGAAACTCTGTCTCAAAAAAAAAAAGTGGGGGGTTGTGATGGATGTGTGCACCTAGCACAGAGCTGGGCACAGTGCAGGGATTCAATGAATGGTAGATCTGGTACTCCTTACCCCACTTGCCCAAAGAATTTGAAGGGGGCAGTAAATATTCAAGATTGGGGTAATTTTGACCTAGTGTATGACAGTGAGACGTATAAGTATAGACACACTGAAAACGGCAAAGCCAGGCCGGGCTCGGTGCCTTACTCCTGTAATCCCAGCACTTTGGGAGGCTGAGGCAGGCAGATTGCTTGAGCCCAGGAGTTTAACAAAACCATCCTATGCAATAAGGTGAAACCTTGTCTCTTGTATCTACAAAAAAAAATACAAAAGTTAGCCAGGCATGGTGGCACATGCCTATAGTCCAGGTACTCGGGAGGCTGAGGTGGGAGAATGTATTGAGCCCGGGAGGTTGAGGCTGCAGTGAGCCATGATGATGTCAGTGAACTCCAGCCTGGGTGACAGAATGAGACTCTGTCAAGAAAGAAAAGAAAGAAAGAAAGAGAGAGAGAGAAAGGAAGGAAGGAAGGAAGAAAGGAAGGGAGAAAGAGAGAAAGAATGAGAGAAAGAGAGAAGGAGAGAGAGAGAAGGAAGGAAGGAAGGAAAGAAAGAGAGAGACAGACAGAGAAGGGGAGGGGAGGGGAGGGGAGAACAGAAGGAAATGGCCAAGCCTATATGTAGCTACCTTATGTGACTACCTTAAAGGAGATTGTTGTGAGGATAAAATTAAATGAGTTAATGTGTGTTAATGTTTAGCACCATGCCTGCCTCATAGCAAATACTATGTAAGTATGAGCGATTATAATTATTATGGTCATCATATCTACAAGAGATTGATATTATTTACTTGTCCTTGGCATAGCCTGTGGGCATTTGTTACTTGCTGGTATTTAAATGTAAAATATCATAAATGTGACATTGTCTGTCTCTCCTAATAGAGTTTCCATGTATGAGGTAATTGGAATTTTACTACCCCCATTTGTGGCAGTTGAGTGAAACTGGCAATTGCTAACATCGTAAAAGGGACACAAACTGCCACCCAGCTGTGCTAGAAAACAAGGTCAAATTTTTTTAGAGTTCCTGACTGTCCAGGATTTTTCTTAAAGCTATTCTGTAGAATTTTCAGTACAAAAATAGGTGTGAACTGTATTCACTTTGTAAAGGAATGAGTTGGCCACTGTAGGACCAAGACTGGTATTGTTCAGTGAACCAAATTCCTGTTCACTGATGTTTTGGGTTGGGCTGACCTTATGAACTGGATTTCTTTTCAAATGGGTGTATTTTTCCTTATTGCAAATTTCCTTCAATTCATCAGCAGAGATTCTAGCCACTCTGTTGGGAGCTTGTGACCCTGGTTTGGATGGCTTATGAACTTGTCTTTCAACAAATGCTTATTTTTTTTTTGTAGTTTCTGCTTGGCACTGCCCACTTTCCCTCTGGGACACCATCTTAGGCTTCTGTCACCACCCTCTGCTTTTGTCCCCTATGAATCACTTCCTTTGGGTCACTTGAGACTTTTCTCCTGTAGAAGAATCTAATCTGCACTAACAACCAAGTTGAAAAAGACCTTCCTAGAGTACTGCTTTACCATTCATTCAATGGTTCCTGGGCTCCATGACTTGAATGCAATTCACACACCCGCTGCTTTATTTATCTATATTATAAGGATTGACATGGCGCTTAAAAGGGCATTGCATTTTCTAATATAATCTTCACTGTACTGTGGGTAATCTGTGGCAAGCCTAGGTTTTATCAATGGAGCTATCTGCTGCCTTAAAGAACTCACTTTTCTCTGGATTTTCTTATCTACAAATGTCTATTTTACTTATTTATCTATACCCTATCTTCTTACAAGAATAATCTAAAGGCCACTTATACAAACACTATAGCAAGATAAAATAAATTTGAAACAGAAACCACATAGCAAAGGGAAAGTAAAGGTATAGAGGTAAGATGCAAGTCATGAAGTTTTTGCTATAGATGGCATAAAAGTTGACTCGGAAACTCCTGGTAAGGCCAGGTGCAATGGCTCATGCCTGTAATCCCAGCACTTCGGGAGGCCGAGGCAGGTGGATCACTTGAGGTCAGGAGTTTGAGACCAACCTGGCCAACACGGTGAAACCCCATCTCTACCAGAAAATATAAAAATTAGCTGGGCATGGTGATGCATGCCTGTAATCTCAGCTACTAGGGAGGCTGAGGCAGGAGAACCGCTTAAACTGGGGAGACGGAAGTTGCAGTGAGCTGAGATTGCACCACTGCACTCCAGCCTGGGTGACAGGGCGAGACTCCATCTCAAAAAAGTATAAGAAGAAGAAAAGAAACTCCTGGTAATCAACACAAAGGGAGAAATCAGATGAGGTACAAAATGCATAGTCTCTAAAGGATAAACATATCAGTTGCATAGGTGTAGCACAATTCTTCTAGAGCTATAATCTTTCCCATGAGTCCTCCCAAAGGAATTTCCCTAATACCTTTTTTTCTCTTTTTTTTTTGAGACGGAGTTTCCCTCTTGTTGCCCAGGCTGGAGTGCATAGGCGTGATCTCAACTCACCGCAACCTCTGCCTGCCAGGTTCAAGCGATTCTCCTGCCTCAGCCTCCTGAGTAGCTGGGATTATAGGTATGTGCCACCACACCCAGCTAATTTTGTATTTTTATAGAGATGGGGTTTCTCCATGTTGGTCAGGCTGGTCTCAAACTCCCGACCTCAGGTGATCCACCTGCCTCGGCCTCCCAAAATACTGTGATTACAGGCTTTAGCCACTGCACCCCAGCTTTTTTTTTTTTTTTTTTTTTTTTTTTTTTTTTGAGAAAGGGTCTGGCTCTATCATCCAGGCTGGAGTGCAGTGACTCAATCTCGGCTCATTGCAACCTCTGCCTCCTGGGCTTCCATCCTCCCACCTCAGCCTCCCAAGTAGCTGGGACTACAGGACCACCACACCTGGCTAATTTTTCTATCTTTTGTAGAGAACGGGGTCTTGCCATGTTGTCCAGGCTGATCTCAAAGGGATTATAGTCATGAGCCATGGTGCCCGGTCAATAACATCTTTCTCAAAGCACAGTGATGAATTTCATGGACCTTCCTTATAATACCAAGGCACAAGTTAGCAGAAGCATTTCTGCCAGAGGCTGGAAAAAGTGACTAATCTCCTCTGACACTACCAGGGAATAAAGGATGAATAGAATGATTTCCGAGGAAATGCTATGGGGGCCTTAGAGAAGAGGAATGAGAAAAGTGTGTGGTGACAGCTATCCAAACTTTTGAGGTCCTATAAAATGCCAAACACCATTCAGGATTTGATCAAATCTATTATTTGAAGCTATGGTGACCAAAGAACCTATCTGTTTAACTCAATTATCTGAATTCCCCAGCCATTCCCTAACCCTTGTCCTTGTTTGACCTTTTTGTCCCCACAAAGAAGAATGGGGGCTGGGTGCAGTGGCTCACACCTGTAATCCCAGCACTTTGGGAGGCCGAGGCAGGTGAATCACTTGAGCTCAGGGGTTCGAGACCAGCCTGGGCAACATGGCGAAACCCCATCTCTACAAAAAATATGAAAATTAGCCAGGTGTGGTGGTGCATGCCTGTAGCCCCAGCTACTCAGGAGACTGAGGTAGAAGGATGGCTTGAGCCTGAGAGGCATAGGTTGCAGTGAGCTGAGATTGCACCACCACACTTCAGCCTGGGCAACAGAGCAAGACCCTGCCTCAAAAAAAAAAAAAAGAGGGCAGGGCACGGTGGCTCATGCTGTAATCCCCCCAATACTTTGAGAGGTCAAGGTGGGCGGATCACAAGATCAAGAGATCAAGACCATCCTGGCCAACATGGCGAAACCCCATCTCTACTAACAATACAAAAATTAGCTGGGCATGGTGGCATATGCCTGTAGTCCCAGCTATTCAGGAGGCTGAGGCAGGAGAATCACTTGAAGCTGGGAGGTGGAGGTTGCATTGAGCCGAGATTGCACCACTGCACTCCAGCCTGGCAACAGAGCGAGACTCCGTCTCAAAAAAAAGAAGAAGAATTTGGAAGGAGGAAGACAGTCTTGGGAAAGGCTGAGAGACAGTCCCAGGAGGGCATGTAAAAGAGGGTTGAATAGGATGTGAACGAGCACTCAAAGAAGGCCTCATTTAAATGGAGCCAGATGAACTTCTGTAGGTTCTTTGACCCCATACTGACTTTAGCTTTTTTTTTTTTTTTTTTTGACGCAGTCTTGCTCTATAGCCCAGGTTGAAGTGGCACAATCTCGGCTCACTGCAACCTCTGCCTCCCAGGTTCAGGCGATTCTCCTGCCTCAAGCTCCCAAGTAGCTAGGATTACAGTTGCACGCCACCACATTCAGCTAATTTCTGTATTTGTAGTAGAGACGGGGTTTCACCATGCTGGCCAGGCTGGTCTTGAACTCATGGCCTCAAGTGGAATATTCTGTGAGTTTTGACATGTATCTACCATCATAGCATCATACAGAGTAGTTTCACTCTAAAAAATTCTGTGTTCTGTTTCACTCTCGAAAATTCTCTCTCCAACCTACCCCTGCGTGCTTTTAGCTTTTAAGAAAATTCTGGGCTGAGCGCAGTGGCTCACGCCTGTAATCCAAGCACTTTGGGAGGCCGAGGTGGGTTGATCACGAGGTCAGGAGATCAAGACCATCCTGACCAACATGGTGAAACCCTGTCTCTACTAAAATACAAAAAATTAGCCAAGCCTGGTGGCACACGCCTATAGTCCCAGCTACTCGAGAGGCTGAGGCAGGGAAATCCCTTGAACCCGGGAGGCAGAGGTTGCAGTGAGCCGAGATCGCACCACTGCACTCCAGCCTGGGCAACAAGAGCGAGACTCCATCTCAAAAAAAAAAAAAAGGAAAAAGAAAATTCCGGCCAGGCACGGTGTCTCATGCCTGTAATCCCAGCACTTTGGGAGGCTGAGACAGGTGGATCACCTGAGGTCAGGAGTTCGAGAGCAGTCTGACAAACATGGAGAAACCCTGTCTCTACTAAAAATACAAAATTAGCCAGGGGTGGTGGTGCATGCCTGTAATCCTAGCTACTAGGGAGGCTGAGGTGGGAGAATCGCTTGAACCCGGGAGGCGGAGGTTGCAGTGAGCTGAGATCACGCCACTGCACTCCAGCCTGGGCAACAAGAATGAAACTCTGTCTCAAAAAAAAAAAGAAAATTCTGTTGAGTCAGTTCTACATACAAGGACATTGCCTGGCAAGGATGGCAGTATTGGACATTAGATTTCCTTTCTTCACTACCAAGTTTTGCATAGTATCTCTTTGATTAAAATCTAATTTAGCTTCTTCCTATCAGGGCCCATCAGTTTAAATCTCATGATATAACCCAGGAGATGGATAAATTGTCTCCAACTAGAGAAAAAAAATTCAGCTTAGCTGAATAACTAAATTTACATAAATAAAACTCAGCTATTGTGGACATTATTTAATTGATGTTAATTTGAAGTTATACAGTGTTTTCTTTTTCTTTTCCTTTTTTTCTTCTTTTTTGAGGCAGAGTCTCACTGTTGTTGCCCAGACTGGAGTGCAGTGGCGTGATCTCAGCTCACTGCAACCTCCGCCTCCCAGGTTCAAGTGATTCTCCTGCCTCAGCCTTCTGAGTAGCTGAGATTACAGGCGCCCACCACCACACCCAGCTAATTTTTGTATTTTTAATAGAGATGGGGTTTCACCATGTTGGCCAGGTTGGTCTCAAACTCCTGACCTCGGGTGATCCGCCTGCCTTGGCATCCCAAAGTGCTGGGGTTACAAGCATGATCCATCACGACTGGCCTACAGTGTTTTCATTCTGAAGCTCAAAAAAATCAGCATGTAATCAGCACATGAATTTTCATAATTGTCCTGTTAAGTGCACAAAGGGAGATCCAAATGAATCCAAGAAAACAGGGCTCACATGTTTCTACACATTAGAAGGGAATGGAGAAGGGAACAGGGTAAGGACGAGAATGAAAGCTAAAAAATGTCGGCAAATGTTAATAATGAAAACTTTAAACCCTGAAAAAGGAAGGATAATAATAGCTTTCTCTGAGTCAGCTTTCAATCTGCACAGAATATCATCGCTAACAGGGATCTAAACTTACCAAAAAAAAAAAAAAAAGGCGGAGGGGAAGAGAAAGAATTTTTTTCTAACTTCCCTTTTGTAGATTAATTACCAATTTATTCACCAGTTGGTGATTTGGCATCATTTCGAGTCAAAACAAATGCTTTTGTGTAGACTAAAGTTCACTGGTAAATTTAAACTAAAAATAAGATTTTCAAAAGTATTTTTAAACCGAATTTAGAAATTTAAAACATTTTTAAGACTTTCAAAAACTGTATGTTACTAAAAGTAACATTGACCCTTGATATTTATCTGAGGAATTCTCTGGAGGAAAAAAAGGATTTCATCCTGGAGATAAATTGGGCCAACTCATCTGTAGTCTTTGGTTTAATTAGCTAAACTCTTCCAGATGGAGAACATTTGAAGCAAAGGAATATTTCTGAGCCCCCTGGAAGTGTTAATAAACACAATAATATGTTACATGTAAAAGAAAATGTGCCCTTTATCTTTGAGGAAGTGTTTGGTAGCATTATAATTTTCAGTTTGACTATTGAAGAAAAAAGCTCTCATTTTATTCAACATTCAACAAACAAATACTGAGTGCTTGCTTTTCGCCAGTGCTAAACACCAAGACAGGACAGGACCCCTGCCTTTATGGAATCTCACAATTCCACCAGAATTTGCACTCCCACCAGAATTTGCCTGGCACATAGTAGCAGCTGGGTAAGTATTTGTCGAATACGTGAGTGAATGATACAGACACTTGAATAAGGAATTGTATTCGTAAAGATTTGAACAAATTACTATGGTCAGAGGGAAGCATGGGGGCCTCAAGCTGTCAGAGAAGGCTTTGCAAAGGAGTTTGTCAGATAGGAGCAGGAAAGACTTGCAGACACAGAAAATGGCACTTGCAAAGTCAGGGAGAGAAGAAACAGTAACATATATTTAGGCAACAGCTAGTAATTTGTGTGGTTGGAGAGTAATGTGTATAAGGAATGTGCCCAGAAGGTAGTAAGACCACAAAGATGGGTTGGGGCTTATTTGAGGAGGACCCTGAAAACCTGCTAAGGTTAGACTTGACCCTTTAGTATGTGTTGGTGTTTTAGAAAGATAACTCGAGACATAGTATTAGAGGATACACAGAAGGAGAGAAGGAAGGAAAAGATACCAAGGGTTAAGTGCCATGTTTGTGCCCATCCCTAGGCTAGATCCTCTATGTATTTATATTAAACTCATTTAATCCTTGCAATACTCCCATTGGTTACCTAATATTGTCCTTATTTTCAGCGGGAAACATTCAGAGAAATTATGCAATTTCCCCCAGACCATACAGTTAATAAAAGATGGGACTAGGATTTGAAACCAGGGTTCTAAAAAAATCTTGTTGGAGAATAAAAATACCAATGGACTCATACAAATTAGTATTAGGGAAAATAAACAGTAGAAGACTGGAGAAAGTGAATATTAAGAAAGACACACATGTAAGACGCAAGGGGAAAAAAGCATGACTATACAAAAGGATATTTACAGTAAGGAGATACAACACAGGAAGTGGAAAGATAATCACAGAAAAACCACAACATGTGTTTTTAAAATGCAAAGCCCCTGGGAAGAGAAAGCAAATGATACAATAATGCCATTCACTCTGGCATCCTGTGCATTTGGTTTTGCTCTTTACTCTTTTTTTTTAACTTTAAACAATTTGTTATGAGAGTAACAAAGATACGGCTTATGATCTTGTAACTCTAATGCTCTAAATCAGAAACAGATGGTGCCTAGTGTACCCTGTTTCCTAGAAACTGCAGAACTTTGAGGACAACACCCTCTCTGCACTGCACCACTGATTTCAGTTCCTTCACAGATACTAATACATGGCTAAATAACGTGGTTGCTGAGTATTGTATTGGAATATCTGTTTTCCTTGCTCGGGAATCTTTTTGAAGTTTAAAACTTTTCTCCATTTTTATTCCTTTTTCTGATTCAAAAAGTAATTCCTTTTTATTGTGACAATTTTTAAAAATATGGAACAAAGAAAAAAATAAAAATCCCCATTCCCTTCCCACCCAGCAATAACCAACGACCACTGTTAACATGTTGACAACATTCTTCTAGTTATTTTTCTGCACACACAAACACACTTCATAGAAAACTGAATGTATAGAAATTGTTTTCTAATTGTTTTGTTCACTGAGCAATAAATACTTTACATTTTTTCACATCATCAAATGTTTATGATAATTGCCAGTATTCCATCATATTGGAGAAGTTAATTTATTTATCTTCCCACTTTTTCATTCAACAAATTCTTTTATTTTTTTTTGAGACGAGTCTCGCTCTGTGGCCCATGCTGGAGTGTAGTGGCATGATCTCGACTCACTGCAACTTCTGCCTCCTAGGTTCAAGCGATTCTCCTGCCTCAGCCTCCCAAGTAGCTGGGATTACAGGCATGCACCACCACGCCCAGCTAATTTTTGTACTTTTAGTAGAGACGGGGTTTCACCATGTTGGCCAACTGGTCTCAAACTCTTAACCTCAGGTGATCCACCCGCCTCGGCCTCTTAAAGTGCTGGGATTACAGGCGTGAGCCACCATGCCTGACCCTCTTTCAACAAATTCTAATTAACACCTACTATTTGTCAGAAATGTGCTCAGCACTGGATACACAGTGGTGAGCAAAGCAGGCAAAGATCTTGCCCCCATGGAGTTTAAAGTCCTCTATTGACCTATAGTTTGCTTGAGAACTTTTTTTATTTTAAAAAAATAGCACAGTGAGGCTGGGCGCCGTGGCTCAAACCTGTAATCCCAGCACTTTGGGAGGCCGAGGCAGGCGGATCACAAGGTCAGGAGTTCGAGACCAGCCTGGCCAACATGGTGAAACCCTGTCTCTACTAAAAATACAAAAATTAGCCAGGTGTGGTGGCACACACCTTTAATCCCAGCTACTCAGGACGTTGAGGCAGAAGAATCGCTGGAACCCAGGAGGCAGAGGTTGCAGTGAGCTGAGATCGCACCACTGCACTCCAGCCTGGGTGACAGACTGAGTGAGACTCCGCCTCAAAAAAAAAAAAGCTCAGTGAAATCTGGCAAACACTACCTCAGCTAAGTGACTAAGCTTAACATAATCAGCGAAAAGTCACGCAGACAGCATGTACCCCTGCTGCTGTGCTGGGACAAGAATGGCACTTTACCTCTGTGGTCTTCCTCTCATAACCCTAATCTAATCATGATTTTTTAAGAGAAAAATCAGACAAAAGACATTCTACAAAATACTTGTTCAGTACTTCTCAAAACTGTCAAGGGGAATTCCTGACTAGCTTGGGCAACATAGAGAGATTCCATCTCTACAAAACATTTAAAAATTAGCCAGGCATGGTGGCATGTGCCTGTAGTCCCAGCTACCCAGGAGGCTGAGGCGGGAGGATCACTTGAGCCTGGGAGATTGAGGCTGCAGTGAGCTATGATCATGCCACTGCACTCCAGTCTGAGCGACAGAATGAGACCTTGTCTCTTAAAATTGGGGGAAAAAAAGTATGGATTTTAGTTAATAATACTGTATCAATATTGGTTTATTAGTTTGGGCATGGTGGCTCATGCCTGTAATCCCAGCACCTTGGGAAGCTGAGGTGGGCAGATCACTTGAGGTCAAGAATTCAAGACCAGCCTGGCCAAAATGGTGAAACCCCATCTCTACTAAAAATACAAAAACTAGCCAGGCATGGTGGCAGGCATCTGTAATCCCAGCTATTCTGGAGACTGAGGCAGGAGAATTGCTTGAATCAGGGAGGTGGAGATTGCACTGAGCCGAGATCAGGCCACTGCACTCCAGCCTGGGTGACAGAGCGAGACTCTGTCTCAAAAATATATATATATATGTATTGGTTCATTAGTTGTGACCAATGTTTCATACTGTTACAGATAGGAAAGGGGTCCCGATCCAGACCCCAAGAGAGGGTTCTTGGATCTCACACAAGAAAGACTTCAGGGTGAGTCCGCAGTGCAAAGCAAAAACAAGTGTATTAGGAAAGTAAAGTGGTGAAAGGACAGCTACTCCATAGACAGAGTAGGATGTTCCCAAAAGTAAGAGGAGGAACGCATCCACCCTAGGTACAAAGCTTGTATATATGGGGAGATGTGCTCTGCTACAAGGGTTTGTGATAAAGGATTAAGTTTTTTTAATTACTATATTTTTCAAAAATCAATATTATTATCTTTAAAGCAAAATTAGGAATGCCTTTGTTCTCCAGATATCGGGATATCTGGACACTCCCAAGTCTGGGTCTGTTCAGTAAGCATTATTAATTTGTCCCCTTAGCCGTAAACATCTAGAGGTTAGGAATGCCTAACTTTCTGAGAATGTAGCTCAGCAAGTCCTGGCCTCATTTTTCCAGCCCTCACTCAAAATGGAGTCGCTCTGTTTCGAACGCCTCTGACAATACTAACATAAACTGTTAACAATAGGGGAGCTGGGGAGAGAGAATAGATGGAGTATACGGGAAATCTCTGTACTACCTTTACAATTTCTTTGTAAATCTAAACCTATTCTAAAATTAAATGTTTATTTTGGGAAAAAAAGCAAACACTGTGACAGTCATCCTTGTTTTTTGTTTGTTTTTGAGTCTCGCTCTGTTGCCCAGGCTGGAGTGTAGTGGCGCGATTTCAGCTCATTGCAACCTCCGCCTCCCAGGTTTAAGCGATTCTCCTGCCTCAGCCTCCTGAGCAGCTGGGATCACAGGCACGTGCCACCACACCCGGCTAATTTTTTTGTATTTTTAGTAGAGACAGGGTTTCACCATGTTGGCCAGCCTAGTCTCGAACTCCTGACCTCAGGTGATCCACCCGCCTTGGCCTCCCAAAGTGCTGGGATTATAGGCATGAGCCACCACGCCCGTCAATCCTTGTATCTTGAAGCATATCTGTGATTGTTTCCTTAGGATAAAACTCTGAGTGAAATTGCTGAGTCAACTGTACTGTACACATATTTTTATCCACTAGAGATTGTTCTTTTGAAATGTTATAGATGTTTTTCTGACTTTTTAAAGATGTTTATACCTATACCTTTATCTTAGCATTTTCCTAGTTGTGAACCAGGAAACCTAAGAGATCATGAAGCCCAGAGGCCTCATTTTACAGATGAGGAAACTGAGGCCCAGAGAAATGAAGTGACTTGCCAAGGCCAAGTGGTTAGTTAACAGTGGGAACTGGAACCCCTATTTGTGTCAACAGCAATCCCTACTGAACTGTCCCGGGGTTTGGCCAAATGAAGTAAAATTTTCTGGCTCATGGTGGAATCAGTGATCAACAGCCAGACCTGCATCTTTCTATTTCCTGTAGGTAAATACAAGGGTTTGCTTCCTTTGTTTTGGATATGGTTGCTAGGAGCTAAAAGCATTTTAAAATGTTTAAAGAATGGATTCAGACACAACTAATAGAATTGCCTGACTAAATGCCTGGGCAAATCACTTTTTCTTTTTGAGGTACTCCTTTCTTTTTTTTTTTTTTTTTTGAGACAGAGTCTCACTCTGTCGCCCAGGCTGGAGTGCAGTGGCATGATCTCAGCTCATTGCAACCTCCGCCTCCCGGGTTCAAGCAATTCTCCTGACTCAGCTTACTAAGTAGCTGGGATTACAGGCACACACCACTACACCTGGCTAATTTTTGTATTTTTAGTAGAGACTGGGTTTCACCATGTTGGTCAGGCTGGTCTTGAACTCCTGACCTCATGATCCACCCGCCTTGGCCTCCCAAAGTGCTGGGATTACAAGGGTGAGCCCCCGCACCTGGCCTTTTTTTTTTTTTTTTTTTTTTGAGTCAGAGTCTTGCTTTGTCACCCAGGCTGGAGTGCAGTGGCATGATCTTGGCTCACTGTAACCTCCATCTCCCAGATTCAAGAGATTCTCCTGCCTCAGCCTCCCAAGTAGCTGGGATTACAGGTGCCTGCCATCACACCCGGCTATTTTTTGTATTTTTAGTAGAGACGGGGTTTCACCATTTTGGCCAGGCTGGTCTCAAACTCCTGACCTCAAATGATCCACCCACCTCAGCCTCCCAAAGTGCTGGGATTACGGTGAGCTACTGCTTTCTAATCAGAAAATTCAGAATTCCAATGCCTCCTTTTAGTCTTCTGACAGGCACCTAGGAAAAATCAAGTAGTTAGTGCAGATAGATCTGAGGAAACCTTAGAAATATCATTTAAGGAGGCCGGGCACGGTGGCTCATGCCTGTAATCCCAGCATTTGGGGAGCCCAAGGTCGGGGGGATCACCTGAGGTCAGGAGTTGGAGACTAGCCTGGCCAACATGGTGAAACCCTGCCTCTACTAAAAACACAAAAATTAGCCAGGCATGGTGGTGGACGCCTGTAATCCCAGCTACTCGGGAGGCTGAGGCAGGAGAATCGCTTGAACCTGGGAGGCAGA
The DNA here is from genome assembly GCF_000001405.40 of Homo sapiens. NCBI lineage: Eukaryota > Metazoa > Chordata > Mammalia > Primates > Hominidae > Homo > Homo sapiens. The sequence goes on along the minus strand of NC_000011.10, from coordinate 47,858,688 downwards.
GGTTGCAGTGAGCTGAGATCATGCCACTGCACTCCAGCCTAGGTGACAGAGCAAGACTCTGTCTCAAAAAAAAGAAAAGAAATATCATTTAAGGAAAAGGCATTTGAATGAGAACAAAGGGCACATTTTCTGTTAAGTGGTCTGTGGTATCCCAAGAAAGTTCATTTCCTTGCCCCTGTGGTCTTTAGACAAGGAAAATCCCAGACTTGGCATTAGTAAGGAAGAAGAGGGCGATGGAAAGGAAAGGAGAGAATTGTTAGACTTCTTGGCTGGAATTCAGAAACAAATAGTTCCAGAGCCTGGCATTGTCGAGGCCAGCGTCAGGACCAGCCCAAGGAGGCAGACAAGGAATATTACCGTTACTGACTTGGCTCCACATACCGTTACTCAAGAGAAACTGGTGCGTAAGCAAGATCCTGGAGGATGCGAGAGAAATATAAACAATCACTGGGTGTGGACCTGTGGCTGCCCATAGAGGCTTTGCCAGCTCTGAAATTGTAGTCACACATTTTGACTAATTTAATTGCCAGAAATTCTTGCAAGATTTGGGCAGTGACAAATGCAAGCCAAAACAAGACTAAAGTCTGGGGGTTTGGAAAAGCATTGGCCTCTGACCTCAAACTGGAGCCTCTCATCAAAGTTCTAACCCCTATTCGGGTCACTGAGCATCCTTGCTCTGAGACGTGGAAGTGACTTATTTTATTTGCCTATAAACATCTTTCGGCACCTGCACCAAATTGAAACTTGGCAGGCAAAATGAGGAAGGAGTGATACTTCTAAAAACTCATCCTATTTTTATGATTTGAAGCTTTTTATTCTTTGTAGGGGTAGCACAGGAGAAGGATATTAAAAAAAAAAACTCTCAGGAGCAGATGAAAAGAGAAAAGAATGAAACAGACTGCAAAAATCTCTCAACTGATATTTATTGCCATCATTATTTTGCAGAGAAAGACATAAAGACGTGAGCACATTGATTGGCATTGCCCATGATCATGCAGCAACAAAGGAAGTGATAGCCCTGAGGTTTTAAGACAGAACCGAATGAGAAGGGAGGGTTTGAAGTGGGTGCAACTTCAAGATGGTCTAGATATAGGTGAGAATCTCTACTCAAATATCTGAATTTCTAGCCTCTTAATTGTATTGTACACTTTTATATTAAAAAGCACTTCTGAGGCCAGGCACAGTGGCTCACACCTGTAATGCCAGCACTTTGGGAGGCCGAGGCAGGCAGATCACTTGAGGTCAGGAGTTCAAGACCAGCCTGACCAACATGGTAAAACTCTGTCTTTACTAAAAATACAAAACAATGAGCCAGCCGTGGTGGTGCGAGCCTGTAATCCCAGCTACTTGGGAGGCTGAGGCAGGAGAATCACTTGAACCTGGGAGGCAGAGGTTGCAGCGAGCCTTGATCATGCCACTGCACTCCACCCTGGGTAACAGAGTAAGACCCTGTCTAAAAAAAAAAGCACTTTTGGACTCTATACATGCAAATAACCCTTTTTACTGGATCAACTTTTGATCTTGATTTTTTTTTTTTTTAAACAGGGTCTCTGTTGCCCAGTAATGTGATCTCAGCTAGCTCACTGCAGCCTCAACCTCCCTGGGCTCAGGTCATCCTCCCTCCCACCTCAGCCTCCAGAGTAGCTGATACTACAGGCATGTACCACCACACCTGGCTAATTTTTGTACTTTATGTAGAGATGGGGTTTCGCCATGTTGCCCAGGCTTGTCTCAAACTCCTGTGCCCGCCTCGAGTTCGAGACCAGCCTGGCTAACATGGCGAGACCATGCTTGGCCCACCTTGTTTTTTAAGACTAATATTGGCCAGGCGCGGTGGCTCACGCCTGTAATCCCAGCATTTTGGGAGGCCAAGGCAGGTGGATCACCTGAGGTCAGGAGTTCAAGACCAGCCTCGCCAACATGGTGAAACCCTGTCTCTACTAAAAATACAAAAATTCGCTGGGCGTGGTGGTGAGCACCTGTAATCCTAGCTACTCGGGAGGCTGAGGCAGGACAATGCTTGAACCCAAAAGACAGAGGCTGCAGTGAGTGGAGATGGTGCCACTTCACTCCAGCCTGGGCAACAGAGTGAGACTCTATCTTAAAAAAGAAAAAAAAAAGACTAATATTAAACATATTTTACTGAGATGAACTTAACTGCCCCTACTGAGGCTACCTGCACATCTGGTTCTTTGTTGATGCCTCCAATTCCACCACTAGAGTTTAATCCCTTTGAATGAGATGGTAAGTGGAGTATATAGATAACGTGCCAATTCCAGTCAGCTGATAGCTCTCTGAATCACTCTGTTGAAAATGATACCGAGGCAGTAGAAAAGGACTCCCACAACTGATTAGCAAGAGAGGGAGGAGGGGCAATGCCCTACCAGTTAAGGTAGTGTATGTTGCCATGACTTACCTCTGGGAAAGGCAATTTATGAAGTTTTTATAGTCATCAGCACCTCAGTGTGAATTACTATAATGTCAACTCATTTCCAGTTATACCAGAGCTAGTTTTAATAGGTAAGGCATTCATATTTTCAGAAGTAAAACTCAGAACATATGGTTCAAGCGAGGATTTTTTTTTTTTTTTTTGAGATGGAGTCTTGCTTTGTCGCCCAGGCTGGAGTGCAGTGGTGCCACCTTGGCTCATTATGGCACCACTGCAACCTCCACCACCCAGGTTCAAGCAATTCTCCTGCCTCAGCCTCCCTAGTAGCTGGGATTACAGGTGCATGCCATCATGCCTGGCTAATTTTTTTTATATTTTTAGTAGACGTGGGGTTTCACCATGTTGGCTAGGCTGGTCTTGAACTCCTGACCTCAAGTGATCTGTCGCCTCAGCCTCCCAAACTGCTGGGATTACAGGCGTGAGCCACCTCGCCCACCTTAGCAAGAGTTTGTTTTGATTTTGTGAATTAAATTACATGTAAGCTCCTACAAAGATACAGAAGTAACATTTAACTAATCATATAATGAATCATAATTGAAATTTACAGAAAATTGGCTGGGCACAGTGGCTTACGCCTGTAATCCCAGCACTTTGGGAGGCCAAGGTGGGGGATCACTTGAGGCCGGGAGTTCGAGACCAGCCTGGCCAACATGGCGAAACCCTATCTCTACTAAAAATACAAAAATGTTGTTAGAGGTACACGCCTGAAATCCCAGCTACTAGGAGGATGAGGCATGAGAATTGCTTGAACCTGGGAGGTGGAGGTTGCAATGAACCAAGATTGCACCTTATACTCCAGCCTGTGTGACAGAGTAAGACTCTGTCTCAAAAAATTTAAAAAAAAATTTTTAAAAGGCCAGGCATGGTCGCTCACACCTGTAATTCCAATACTTTGGGAGGCCGAGATGGGAGGATCACCTGAGGTCAGGAGTTTGAGACCAGCCTGGCCAACATGGTGAAACCCCGTCTCTACTAAAAATATAAAAATTAGCTGGGCGTGGTGGTGCACGCCTGTAGTCCCAGCTACTTGGGAGGCTGAAGCAGGAGAATCACTTGAACCTGGGAGGCGGAGGTTGCAGTGAGCAGAGATCAGGCCACTACACTCCAACCTGGGCGACAGAGTGACACCCTGTCTCAGAAAAAAAAAAAAAAAGTAAAAAAAGAGAAATTTATAGAAAATATTACCTGAAAGGTGAAAACAATCCAGGGTGTATAGTTCCCAAGGATAAGTCCAAAGCACAGGAGGGTCAAGTCTAGGTGGGAGCCCTGGGCTTTCAGGGCCCCTCAAAGGCCCTGGAGTCTAAAGTCATGGTGGTTTCCTAAGTGGGTAGAAAGAATACTGAAAACGGAATTGAGAAGTCACTGACATACTTCATTTATTCCACAATTCTGCTTTTTTTTTTAGAAACAGAGTCTCGTTCTGTCACCCAGGCTGGAGTGCAGCGGCACAGTCATAGCTCATTATAACCTTGAACTTCTGGGCTCAAGGGATCCTCCTGCCCCAGCCTCCCAAGTAGCTGAAACTACAGGTGTACACTACCATACTTGGATAATTTTTTTTTTTTTTGTAGAGATGGAGTCTCACTATGTTGCCCAGGGTGGTCTCAAACTCCTGGGCTCAACCAATCCTCCTGCTTCAGCCTCCCAAAATGCTGGGATTGTAGGTGTGAGCCACCATGCCCAGCTGATATTTTTAACCTATGGGCAAAATGAAAGTAAAGCCATGTTTTCCAAAATATATTCTCAAAGAACAATGGTCCAATGAGTTGCCCCTTGAAAAGAGTATTCTGTATGTCAAAGAGTCTGGAAAGCAGTATCATGCATAAGGCCTTCTTGGAACTTCACAAAGCTATTATATTAATGTCTTTGAAAAGTTCTTCAAGAAAGAAATATGTTTAACTTTATTTATCATCATTTCCCACACTTGTTTAAACCACCAAATTCTTCTTTCAAGGAGTAGCTATCAAGTTGGTTATGAAAATCTGCTTAAAGTTCAATTAACAGTATTGTTCAGCTGAGCGCAGTGGCTCACACCTGTAATCCCAGCACTTTGGGAGGCCAAAGTGGGTGGATCACGAGGTCAGGAGTTCAAGACCAGCCTGGCCAAGATGGTGAAACCCTGTTTCTACTAAAAATAAAACAATTAGCCGGGCGTGGTGTCGGGCACCTGTAATCCCAGGTACTCAGGAGGCTGAGGCAGGATAATCACTTGAACTCAGCAGGCAGAGATTGCAGTCAGCTGAGATCATGCCCCACTGCACTCTAGCCCGGGCAACAGAGCGAAACTCCGTCTCAAAAAAAAAAAAATAAAGAAAAAGTCCGGGCGTGGTGGCTCACGCCTTCGGGAATCCCAGCACTTTGGGAGGCCGAGGCGGGCGGATCACGAGGTCGGATGTTCAAGACCAGCCTCACCAACATGGTGAAACCCCATCTCTACTAAAAGTACAAAAATTAGCCAGGTGTGGTGGTGCGTGCCTGGAATCCCAGCTACTCAGGAGACTGAGGCAGGAGAATCGCTTGAACCTGGGAAGTAGAGGTTGCAGTGAGCAGAGATCGCGCCACTTCACTCCAGTGTGAGCAACAGAGCGAGACTCCATCTGAAAAAAAAAAAAAGTATTTAAATAAAACTTGCTGCACAATATTGGTAACATTCTGCATTTTGTTTCTAAACGAAGTCACTACCTAACCACTAGATGGCAATATGATTCAATTTATGTTATAACCATCCCCCAGAACATTAATAGTTCAAAGGGTATTTGAGTTTTCCAAAAATGCATATATGCACTTATTCATTCATTTAATTATTCCTCAAACATTTATTAGGTAACGTGAAGTTCCCGGAATTCTGATGGATGTTGGAGATAAGACAGTGATCTAAAGCTAAAAAGTGTTCACTGTCAAAAAATGTAATTCCTAGATTCCTATAAAACCGAAACATGCCTCATCAATTTAACATTTTTTTCTGAGAAAAAAATGAAAAAACATTACTACATTAAATATGTACATTGAGGCCGGGCGCGGTGGCTCATGCCTGTAATCCTAGCACTTTGGGAGGCTGAGACGGGTGGATCACTTGAGGTCAGGAGTTCGAGACCAGCCTGGCCAACATGGTAAAACCCCACCTCTACTTGAACCCAGGAGCTGGAGGTTGCAGTGAGCCAAGATTGAGCCACTGCACTCCAGCCTGGGCGACAGAGTGAGATTCTGTCTCAAAATTAATTAATTAATTAATTTAATTTAATAAAAATAAAAATAGCAATCATGTATTTAGCTCATTAATATGCAATTTGGACAGGGCTCAGTGGTCATGACTCATCTGTGCTCTACAAAATATCTGGGACCTGGGGACTTACCAGGCATCTCTCACTTCAAGTAGAATTAGAGTCTCTGTGTGTGGTCTCTCCCTGCAATCTGCCTAGGATGGCCCCGGCGTAGCCAAATTTCTTACATGGCAGCTTGCTTCCCCTATAGCCAGTCTTCAAAGAGAGATGTAGACTCTCTTAAGCTAGGCTGGCACAGCATCACTTTTGCTGTATTATATTCCTTATAGCAGTTACAGAACCCTCCAGATTTAAGGGGAGGGGACAAAGAAGGCTACACTTCTGGATGGGAACAATGTCAAAGAATTTGTGGCCATCTTTCTTTTGCCATATGGATATATGAGATTTGGGTGTTGGGATTAAAAGAGAAAAGTCCAGGGTAATTACTAGATTTCTAGACTGGGCCACAGTGGTGATGTCCACACAGATATAGACTACATGTGAGAGTATATAGTGAGACTATATAGAGAGGGGTAACATTTTGGATATGTTGAATTTGAGATGTCCATGGGAAATCCAAGGGGCATCAAGGAGGCAACTGAATATAAAAGGCTGAGAACTCGGCAAAAGAGGTCTGACCTCTAGATATGAAAGTGGAAATAATCAGTCTTCGGAATAGTTCTCTCTACTGTGGCACATCAGTGTCATGAGCAGTTATAACTTAGATAACCAGGAATTTGTAAATAATAACAGTTGAAGTGTGGCCAGGCGCGGTGACTCACACCTGTAATCCCAGCACTTTGTGAGGCCGAGGCAGGCAGATCATGAGGTCAGGAGATTGAGACCATCCTGGCTAACACTGTGAAACCTCATCTCTACTAAACATACAAAAAAAATAAGCCAGGCGTAGTGGCAAGCACCTGTAATCCCAGCTACTCAGGAGGCTGAGCAACTGGAACAGTGCTGGTAACTGCGATGGGGAAAGTAAGTGTGGGGAGAGAGGTTAGGACTTCAGTTTCAGACATGTTACATCTAAGATACAAAATAGGCCGTTGAATATATAAACCTGGACTTCGGGGGAGAAGCTTAGACTGGAGGTATACATTTGGGGATGATCGGCATATAACAATGCAGTATTTAAAGCCAGAAGACTGGGTGAGATTCTCAGGGGAGTGTTTGTAGATGGAAAGGACCAAGAACTGAACTCTGGACACTCCAACATCAAGAGGTTGGGGAAAAGAGGAGCATCTAGGAAAGGAGTCTGAAAAGGAACAGTTAGTGAAATAGGTAGAATCAAGAGAGTGGCGTCCTTGATGCCACATGAAGAATGTGTTTCCACGAGGAAGGAGCAAGCAATTGGTCAAATTCTACAAGTAGTCAAATAAGCTTAGAAATAACAGTTCAGGCCAGGTGCTGTGGCTCACGCCTGTAATCCCAGCACTTTGGGAGGCAGAGGTAGGAGGATCGCTTGAGGCCTGGAGTTTGAGACCAGCCTGGGCAACATAGGAAGACCTTGTCTCTACAAAAAATAAAAAATAAAAAATTTGGCAGGGCATGGTGGCACAAGCCTGTGGCCCCAGCTACTCGAGAGGCTGAGGCAGGAGGATCACCTCAGCCCAGGAGTTTGAGGCTGCAATGAGCTGGGATCACATCACTGCACCCCAGCCTGGATAACAGAGCAAGATTATGTGTCAGAAAAAAGAAATAGCAGTTTAGTATTAGACAGATAATGTGGATGCCATTGATAACCCGGAAAAAAGCAGTTTCAGCAAGGCAGTAGAAGCAAAAGCCTGAAAAACATGGATTTAATGAGGCCAGATGCAGTGGCTCACGCCTGTAATCCCAGCACTTTGGGAGGCCGAGGCAAGTGGATCACTTGAGGTAAGGAGTTCGAGACCAGCCTGACCAACATGGTGAAACCCTGTCTCTACTAAAAATACAAAAAACATTACCCAGGCAGGGCAGCGCATGCCTGTAATCACAGCTACTTGGGAGGCTGAGGCAGGAGAATCTCTTGAACCCAGGAGGCGGAGGTTGCAGTGAGCCGAGATTGTGCCATTGCACTCCAGCCTGGCCAACAATAGCGAAACTCCATCTCAATAAAATATATATATATATATATATATATATATATATATATATATATATATATATATGAGAATGAGAGAGAAGGAATTAAAACACTCTTGAGTTTTGCTGTGGGTGAGAGGAGAAGAGATATGGAGTAGTAGCTGCAGAGAGTGGAGGTCGAGGGAATGTTTGTATGCTTAGTACATACAGTACTAAGAGAAAAGGGGAAAAGACTGAAAATGGAAATAATTGAATTGCTAGAATGATGTCCTTGAGCAGGTGTTCTAAGGAAGTAGAAAGGTTGTCTCTGCATAAGCTCAGAGACAGTTTATAGTAACAGGAAGGGAAGGCAAAATATGTGGTTACAGATGCTGGTAGGTGGGGAGATGTCATTATAGAGGAAGTCCTCCCTTCCTCCTTCCTTCTTTCCAGATGGGTGTCTTTCTGGCCATGCTGGAGCACAGTGGCAGGATTGTAGCTCACTGTATCCTCCAACTCCTGGGCTCAAGAAACCTCCTATAGCTGGGACTACAGAGGCACACAACTATGCCTGGCTAGTTTTTTAAAAATTTTTATTAGAGATGGGGGTATGTTGCCCAGGCTTGTCTTGAACTCCTGGCCTCAAGCCATCCTTCCATCTCAGCCTCTGCTTTAATTTTCTAAATGAAGAAGCAAGCTGAGAGTCAGGATGACAAAGGAGGCAATGGAGGTTATAGGAGTTATGAAATATTCATTTAGAACAGTAAATGGAGAAGGCAAATACAATGTGTTTGCTGGGCAGCATTATGGGCCCACTCAAGGTACATGGTCCTGATGGAGTTACAGGGAGGCATGTCAGTATGGGTGTATAGTTTTCTGTTTTCTTTCTTTTCTTTTTTTGAGACGGAGTTTCGCTCTTGTTGCCCAGGCTGGAGTGCAACGGCGAGATCTTGGCTCACTGTAACCTCCACCTTCCGGGTTCAAGCGATTCTCCTGCCTCAGCTTCCCAAGTAGCCGGGATTACATGAGCGCACCATCATGCCCAGCTAATTTTTCTTTTTTTCTTTCTTCTTTTTTTTTTTTTTTTTGAGACAGTCTCGCTTTGTCACCCAGGCTGGAGTGCAGTGGCGCGATCTTGGCTCGCTGCAACCTCCACCTCCCAGGTTCAAGCGATTCTCCTGCCTCAGCCTCCCGAGTAGCTGGGATTACAGGCGTGCACCACCATGCCCGGCTAATTTTTTGTATCTTTAATAGAGACAGGGTTTCACCATGTTGGCCAGGTTGGTCTGAAACTCCTTACCTCGTGATCCACCCACCTCTGCCTCCCAGAGCGCTGGGATTACAGGCGTGAGCCACCGCGCCCGGCTAATTTTTCTATTTTTGGTAGAGACCGGGTTTCACCATGTTGGCCAGGCTGGTCTCGGACTCCTGACCTCAAGTGATCCTCACGCCTTGGCCTCCCAAAATGCTGGGAGCCACGCCCGACCCGGGTGTATAGTTTTCTCCAGTCATGTTCAGCTACAGATTTGAATGTAGTCGAAGTTGTAGTTTTTACCGATGAAGAGTTAGGCAATGAAGTAATTTAATGGTATTCAGGATAAGAAAGAAACACCAAAGAAGTGTGGGACAGTGAAGATTTTGTAGAACAATGGATTCCAGGTAGAATGAGGGGACTGCACTGCCAAAGTTGGTGTCCCAGAGGGAGTGAAGTGGAAAGATAGAAAATGATGGTCGGAACCAGATAAATGAAACGGAGAATGACAGGGAATGGTTGTGGTCACTGGTAATAGAAGTGCTTTAACTTCTATTGGCTATCACTAAGGAACAAAACCTTCCCCGCTGGAGATTAGCATTTTCCTCGATTTTGAACATCTACTCCCACAATATCTTCTAAACACCCACTATGGGCCCTTACTGCATTGACAGCCAAGTGCAAGATCACGGGTGGAAGGAATGGCAAATTCCTTTCACGTATCCAAGTGAGTAGCACTCAGGTAACCTCAGCAAGTGGCAGCACCAAGGTTTACCACATTACGTTTCATTATACAGGAATACACGAATACAGTCTCTTGGGGAGGGGAAAGACCAAAACCAAAGGCCTTTCCCTCACTACCCCTTCCTCACCCCGCCATCCCAAGTGTCGCCACTGAAGAGCGAAGGGAGGATCGCCAAAGATTTACAGACGGACACCCTAACCGAGGGAGAGGTGACCATAAACCCGGGATCCGGCAGAGGACGCCGAAAGGCCGGGACTCCCCGGACCTCGCCCCTCCTGGTCGACTGAGCCCCGCGTTTTAGAAACAGAAACAAACCCGGCCCCGCCCCCTGCCCTGCGGCCGCTGAGAAAAGAGCACCGCCCTCCGGAGGCGTTCCAGCCGGCCACTGGAAGGTTCCCGCAGATAGAGTCTGCCTCCCCTGCCCCCTTCTCTTCTGGATTCCTCGCTGCCCACCCTCATTCTCCCGGTGGAAGCCTCGCAACGAAGGGCCGGAGCCGCCTTTCTGCTCCCGGAATGCTTCACCTGTCCGCAGCTCCGCCCGCCCCACCCCCGGAAGTGACGGCGACCGCGCGGCCCTGCCTTTGTTCCGTTGGGCGTCGCGGCGACGGCGGGAAGATGGCGGCGGCGGGAGCCCTGGAACGGAGCTTCGTGGAGCTAAGCGGAGCTGAGCGCGAAAGGCCGAGGCACTTTCGGGAATTCACAGTCTGCAGCATTGGTACGGAAATGGCCAGGGAGGGTGCGATCCCATCTGTCCCCTCGGGCTCCTCTCATGGGTCCCAGGGTCCCTGACGCCCTGTTTCATCCTCCTGAGTCCACATGCCTCTAGCCCCGGGATCAGAGATTCCTTGATGTCCGACGTTTTCCTCTTTTCTTTGTATGGGTTGTCAGTCTGTCACTCTCTGCTTTGTCAGCTCCCTTAGTCCCTGTCATTTCTCAGAAGACGCGTGTGCAGGCTGACCACGTTCATTTTGCAGGGACTGCAAATGCCGTGGCTGGCGCCGTAAAATACAGTGAAAGCGCGGGAGGCTTTTACTACGTGGAGAGTGGCAAGTTGTTCTCCGTAACCAGAAACAGGTTCATTCATTGGTAAGTGTTGTGGTTCGCCAAACTCCCCTGGAAGGTAGGGTTTGGTGTATAAATTTTCGTCGCTGTACCCAAAGTGCTATTCTAGAAGCGGTAATTGACACTTAGGGAAAGAGAAAGATTGTTTTTTCAGTTCGTATCAGAATCGGGAAAACTGAGACACAGAGTTCTAGAAGAGATACCTCTCCCCCTCCCCCCCCCCACCCCCACACACACATACACCAAGCAACACCAGAAGCAGAGGAAATGTAGCTTAGGGGAATAAAGCCCATAAGACCAATTTTAAACATGAACCCGTTATGTTTTTATAGTGCTTTACAGCTTCCTTCATTGTACAAATACGTTCGAGCTTCAATATGTCAGGCATTGTGCTAGGTACCAGGACGAAATGAACAAAACTGCAATTTTCATCATGCAAGACGTTGTAGCAATGTCAGAATAGATGTAGACCCACTTTTCATGGGGAAATTTTTTGGAGGAAAACTTGCCCTAGAGGAAAAATATACGGGTTATGAGAGGCTAATAAGAGGACCAAATATAATTAGTGGGGCAGGGAAAGGCTTTAAGGAATTCACAGTTACCCTGAGATCTAAAGGACACGAGGTTAGCCAGGCATGGGGAGTGGACAGAGAGGAGTCCAGCAAGTAGGATCACCATATGCAAAGGTCATGAAGTGGAAAGAATGTGGCGGGTTTGGAACTGACCAAAGATCTGTGTGGCTTAAGTGCAGTGGGTAAAACAGAAAGTGATGTGAGATACTGAGGCTGGAGAGGTAGGCAGGACTCGGACCATGAGGGACCCTTAGGCCATTTTTAAGGATTTTTGGATTTTATCCTAAGTACATTGAGTAATAATTGAAAGATTTTTAAAGAGTTACTAACATCAAAATTGCATTTTTGGATGGGAACAGTTAACACTAGGGATTCCAAAAGGAGGGAGGGAGGGGAGCAAAGGTTGGAAAACCTATCGGATACTGTGTTCACAACTTGGGCGGCAGGATCATCAGAAGCCCAAACCTCATGTATATAGGAATATACACACAATATACTCATGTAACAAACCTGCACATGTACCCCTGAATCTAAATTTTTTTAAATGTATTTTTAGAAGATCTCAGTCTACTTTGTGGAAAGTGGATTTGGATTAGATGGGTATAATACAAAAAAAATTTTGCTTTTATCATGGCCCAAGTAAGGGTTGCTGGTGGCTCAATTGTGGGAATGACTAGAAATAGAAAAGTAGATGGATTCAAGATACCTTTGGAAGATAGATTCACTAGGGCTTGGTGGTGGATTGAATATGGGGTAAGGGATGGTAAAAGAAGAGAGAACAAGGACAGCTCCCTGGTGTCTCATGTGACTAACCAGATGTGAGTGGGGAGGGGTTGCCATTTACAGAGATACCCGGAAGATGGATTTTGGATAGATATGAATAATTCTATTGGACATAGTAAATTTGAAGTACCTGGGGAGCAGCCCTTTGGAAATGTCAAGTAGGCATTGAAGTTTACAGGTCTAAGGCTCAAAAGAGTGACTTTATGTTAGAGATACAAATTTCATTTAATTAAATATTTTGGCTGGGCACAGTGGCTCACACCTGTAATCCCAGCACTTTGGGGGGCTGAGGTGGGAGGATCTCTTGAGGCCGGGAGTTCAAGACCCCATTTCTACAAAAAAAATTTTTTTTTCTTTCTGCTTTTTTTTTTTTTTCTTTTTGAGAGACAGTCTGGCTCCATTGTCCAGGCTGGAGTGCATTGGTGCAATTATGGCTTACTGCAGTCTCCGCCTCCTGGGTTCAAGTGACCCTCCCACCTCAGCCTCCCAAGTAGCTGGAATTACAAGTATGCACCACCATGCCCAGCTAATTTTTCTATTTGTTTTTGTAGAGATGGGGTTTTGCCTTGTTGTCCAGACTGGTCTTGAACTGCCAGACTCAAGCAGTGCCCCGTTCTCGGCCTCCCAACTTGCTAGGATTACAGGCGTAAGCCACCGTGTCCAGCCTGATTTTTTAAAATAAGCCAGGCGGAGTAGCGTGTGCCTTTCATCTTAACTACTCAGGAGGCTGAGGTGGGAGGATCCGATCATGCCACTGCACTCCAGGTGGGAAAAAGGGTAAGACCCCATCTCTTTTAAGAAAACAGGAAGAAAGAAAGAAAATTTGCTTGCCTAATGTATTTCAGTCCGTTTTTAGGGAACAGGGATATAGCAGGGAACAAAACAAAGTCCCTACTCTTATGGAGGAAGATAGGCAACAACAACAATAACCAAAAAACCCCAAGTACATGCAGTTTTGTTACAGGAAAAGGGTGCCGATCCAGACCCCAAGGGAGGGTTCTTGGATCTCGCACAAGAAAGAATTCAGGGCAAGTCCGCAGTGCATAGTGAAAGCAAGTTTATTAAGAAAGTAAAGGAAGCCAGGCATGGTGGCTCACACCTGTAATCCCAGTACTTTAGGAGGCCGAGGCAGGTGGATCACCTGAGGTCAGGAGTTCGAGACCAGCCTGACCAACATGGTGAAACCGTGTCTCTACTAAAAATACAAAATTAGCTGGGCATGATGGCACATGCCTATAATCCCAGCTACTTGGGAGGCTGAGGCAGGAGAATAGCTTGAACCCAGGAGGTGGAGGGTGCAGTGAGCTGAGATCACACCATTGCACTCCAGCCTGGGCAACAAGAGCAAAACTGCATCTCAAAAAAAAATGTAAATAAAAGAATGGCTACTCCATAGACAGAGTAGCTCCGAGGGCTGCTGGTTGCCCATTTTTATGGTTATTTCTTGATGATATGCTAAACAGGGGTGGATTATTCATGCCCCCACTTTTTAGACTCCTGATGTAACTTCCTGATGTTGCCATGGCATTTGTAAACTGTCATGGCGTTGATGGGAGTGTAGCAGTGAGGACAACTGGAGGTCACCCTTGTCGCCATTTTGGTTTTGGTGGGTTTTGGCTTGCTCCTTTATTGCAACCTGTTTTATCAGCAAGGTCTTTATGACCTGTATTTTGTGCTGACCTCCTATCTCATCCTGTGACTTAGAATGCCTTAACTGTCTGGGAATGCATCCCAGTAGGTTTCAGTCTTGTTTTACCCAACTCCTATTCAAGATGGAGTTGTTCTGGTTCACATGCCTCTGACAGTTTGTCAGTTGATTAATGGAATAGGAAAAAGGGAACAGCATAAGAGGGAAGAGGAATACCTGTGGGAGTTAATGTTTTATGTAGGGTGGTTGGGCAAGAGCCAGGGGTAAGCTGACATTTGAGCAGAAGAAAGGATATCTGGGGAATGAGTATTTCAGGTGGAGCCTTCCAAGAAAAAGGAATAAAAAGTGCAAAGAACCCTGAAACAGGAGCCTGTTGTGTTCAAAGAGTGGAAAGGAGCCAGGAGTCTGCAGCTGAGTGAACAAAGGGTAGAATAATAAGAAAGAGATAGTTGAGGGCCAGATCAGGGCTTTGTTGGTTATTTTAAGCTTTGGCTTTTGCTCTGAGTAAGATGAGAAGAAGCTGTGGAAGGTTAAAGTGGAGGAATGACGTGATCTAAGATCTGGGCTTCTAAAGGATTGCTTTGACTGCTGTCTTGAGAATAGAGCGTGGTGGGGGAAAGGGTAGGTGCAGGGAGACCAGTTAGGAGGCTGGTGCCACAATTCACACATGATGGTGGCTTAGATCAGGGTGGTAGTGACAGAGGCAGTGAGAAATGTTGTGATTGTGGATATGTTTTCAAGGTGAATTTGTTAGAATTACTGTTGCATTGGATGGGGAGTATACAGAAAGAAAAGAGTCACAGGTGAGCCCTAGATTTTTGGCTTGAGCAATTGGAAGTTAGGGAGATGTCATTAATTGCGATGGAAAAACGTATAGGTGAAGCAGGTACTTTTGTTTTCTTCAGGTTCAGTGAGTCCAGGAGTTCTGTTTTGGACAGGTGTAATCTGAGATGCCTGATAGATATCCAAGTGAGTGTTGAGACAGTAGTCAGGAGTTGAGTGGAGAAGTTGGGCTAAAGATACAGATTGTGAAATTGTTGGCATTAGATCGTGCTTAAAGCTGTTCTACTGAATGAGATCACCTAGAAAGTGAGAATAAATTAGGATTTTTCACCTTCTGCACTATTATTGTCAGCTAAGTCTTCATTGTGGAAGGCTGTCCTGTATGCTATAGGGTGTTAAGCAGCATTCCTGGCTTCTACCCTCTGCATAGCAATAGCACATCTATACCGCCACTTCTACCCTAGTTACAATAACCAACAATATCTCTAGATATTGCTTAATATCCTGGTGAATGAGGAAGAATCGCCCCCAGTTGAGAGCCACTTGAGTAGAGCAGTCTGGGACTGAACCCTGGGGCACACCAACATTTAGAAAAATGACGAACCAACAAAGGAGCCCAAGAAGGAGTAACTGAAGTGAGAGTTGAACAAAGAACGTGGCATCCCAGAAGCTAAGGGAAATGTTTCAAGGAGGAGGAGAGTGAAAACCTGTCAGTGTTGCATTTAAGCCAGGCAAGATGAGAAACGAAAATTGGCCTTTGGATCATGGAGGTCATTGATGACCTGGTCAGGAATTGCTGCAGTAGTCGTACAAAAGCCTCAGTGGAGTGGGTTCAAGAGGGAAAGGGAGGAGAGGAATTGTGAGTATAGAATAGCCCTTCCAAGGTGTATTGCTATAAGGGAAGCAGAGAAATCACATGGTAACCAGAGAGCAAGGGAGGAACAGAGAAAATATAATAATATATCTATGTGCAGTTGGGAATGACCTAGTAGATGCAGTTGAGAGCAATCACTAGAGGAAAGGAATTTGGGGAACTGAGAAGGTAGAGTGTTAGGATAATTGGATATTGTTTATTCATTTGTTTGTTTGTTTTTTTTTAGAGTCAGAGTTTCACTCTGTCACCCAGGCTGGAGTAAAATAGCACAGTCATGGCCTACTGCAGCCCGAACTCCTAGGCTCAATCGATCCTCCCATCTCAGCCTCCCAAGTGGCTGAGATTACAGGCGGGCATCACCATGCCTGGCTAATTTTTTTATTTTGTAGAGATAGGGTTTTGCTGTGTTGCCCAGGCTGATCTCGTACTCCTGGGCTGAAGAAATCCTCCTGTCTTGGCCTCCCAAAATGCTGGGATCATAGGCATGAGCTATTGTACCTGGCCCTGATACTGAAATCATTAAGAATTATGGTGAGAGTAGTGTGGGAGAGAGTGACAGTGGGCCAGGAGCTAAAATCAACTGCAGTGAGCATGGGTAGCAGGTGGTATCTGATTCCATGAGCTTCAGAGCTGAGTGATTCGGGTAGCAGAGGAGGAACAGTGGCCTAGAATGCCAGTGGGGAACAAGGACATCTGTATGTTTTCCTTGAGGCCCCACCCCAAAGGGCATGGTAGAGAAAACTCTGGGGTCACTGTCCTCACGGGAGATCCAGGATCCAACTTTAACCGTAAGGCAGGAAAGCGAAGGAATTATTCAGAGATGAGGTTGAGGATCCAGAAAATTGTGCTGATGCCGTGAGTTACCAGAAGCAAAGTAGCTCTGGGAAATCATCAGCGCTGAAAAGGTACTTACATCCTTGGGAGTAGATAAGATGTGCCTTGGGAGAAAGTGTACAGTGAGAGAAGATGGTCCAGGATCAAGGTTTGAGGAAATCTAGCATATAGGGGTCAGGTCAAGGAGAAGGGGAAGAAATGGACAGGAATGTGGGAGGAAAACTGGGAGAGGGTAGTATCATAGGATTCATGAGAAGAGACTGTTTAAAAAGGAAGGCAAGGTCACATATGTGGAATGCTGCTAAGAGATCAAGTAAGAGGGCCAGGCATGGTGGCTAACACCTGTAATCATGTGGAATGCTGCTAAGAGTCAAGTAAGAGGGCCAGGTGTGGTGGCTCACACCTGTAATCCCAGCACTTTGGGAGGCCGAGGCAGGTAGCACTTTGGGAGGCTTGAGGCCAGGAGTTCAAGATCAGCCTGGCCAACATGGTGAAACCCCGTCTCTACTAAAAAATACAAAAATTAGCCAGGTGTGGTGGTGCACACCTGTAGTCCCAGCTGCTGAGGAGGTTGAGGTGGGAGGATTGCCTGAGCCCAGGAGTTCGAGGCTGTAGTGAGCTATGATTGCACCACTGCACCCCAGCCTGACAGAGTGAGACCCTGTCTCAAAAAAAAAACAAACAAACAAACAAAAATTATCAGATGGTACATGCTCCTTAGAGCCCTCAATCTCTCGAACTAGAGCACGTTCCAGGATCACATGGCCTTCCTTGTAACACTGGCTGTCTTCGGTGGCAAACTCGTAGATCCATCCCAGTTTGCTGCTGCAGTTTTTCAGCTCACATGTTGGACCATGTGGTGGCCAGTGAGCATGACCCAATCTAGAGCTTCATTGTACTGCAGGTTCACTACCTTGTTAAAAAGAAATGCTCTGCCAGTGGCGCCTGTGAACCAAGTGGAGATGAATTCTGAGCGGTTGGTCAGGATTGTATCACAGTTTGCATAAGAAAATGGACAGGTACCACGAATATGATCAAGGAAAATTCTGCCCATTTTTATGGCTGAAGTTCTAAAAACCCTGTGCAGCAGTGAGATCTGTGGCTGCCAGTGGCTCCTTGCTCCTCAGCTGGGATTAATAAACAAGCTCCTTTTGGGGAGGGTGGGGGAAAAAAGAAAAAAATAAATAAACAAGCTCCTTTTGAGGAGTAATAATGAAAGTTAGAATAGCTTAGTATAGAAACTAACCCTGATATGTTCAATTTGCGAAGGTATTTTTATATTAAAATATTTATTTTTGTAATATTTTTGCACATACATGTAAGCGCATGTATAAAATTGCTATTCTGTGTGTGTGTGTGTATATGTGTGCGCATGCATGCTATTGCAGGTTAAGAAGTAATAGAAACAGGAAATAACCGCAATTATTAAGGTCAGTTTTGTTTGATGCTGTAGTATATATGGAGGCCACATTCCACTACAAGCAATGGCCGGGGTATGGTGTTAATTTTTATTATAGTAGAGTTAATTGCATAAAATATTGTCCTAAATAAATGGCCTATCAAGTTTGGAAATGTCTCTATGTAACAGAATCACAGTGAAATTTGGATTTTGTTATGCTGTTTTTTATAAATGTACATAATGTGATTTGGCATGCAAAAGTGGTCCAAATCTGTTTATCCAAAATTTTCAAATTTGGTGAGTTCACTTGGACACTGTTCTCATATATTTCAGTAGAACAGTCAGTGAGAAAAGCATAAACTTTTCAAACAAATGTCTCTTTTTCAACAGGAAGACCTCTGGAGATACATTGGAGCTGATGGAGGAGTCACTGGACATAAATCTGTTGAATAATGCCATTCGCCTAAAATTCCAAAATTGCAGTGTTTTACCTGGAGGGGTTTATGTCTCTGAGACTCAGAATCGTGTGATAATCTTGATGTTAACCAATCAAACAGTGCACAGGTTACTTTTACCACACCCCTCCCGGATGTATAGGAGTGTAAGTTGGCTAAGTGCAATATCTTTTATTTCCCAAATTACTCTGGGTGTCACAAATGTAGTGCTGGAGCGATGTCTTTTGGAATTGAAGGAAATTTGGATTCTCGTTATCCCTCACCAAGCATACTTTGATAGCTACCGCTTAAAATGATCAGGCATACATTTTAAGTTGAGAATTAGTTTTCATTAAGAAGAATAGCTTTCTTAAACTTGACAGTTTTTTACTTTAAAAACTTTTTTAGCAATAGAGAGGAACTGAGCAAAATTCTGGTTATTTTGATTTAATAGATTTTTCTTTTTAATTACTCAACAGGAGTTGGTAGTTGACAGTCAGATGCAGTCAATATTCACTGACATTGGAAAAGTTGATTTCACAGATCCTTGCAACTATCAGTTAATTCCAGCAGTACCTGGAATATCTCCTAATTCCACCGCCTCTACAGCCTGGCTCAGCAGTGATGGGGAGGCCCTGTTTGCCTTACCATGTGCTTCTGGGGGAATCTTTGTTCTTAAGCTACCTCCTTATGACATACCTGGTAAGAATGGGAACTGAGCATGGATTTAACTTTAAACAAGGAATGTTAACATTGAAACAGTTCAACCTCGTCATCCAATGCAGGGATTGCATCTCTACTGCCCCGGAACTGGTCATTCATTATTGCTTGCCTAATGAGTCCCTAATGCTTTACTTTTATACAGTGGATAAGGAACTATAAAGCATATTGGAGCACGGAAAAACAAATAGACAAGTATAAGACAGCCTATTCTAAATCTTGTAGTAGAGATGGGTTGCCTAATTGTCTGCCCTGAGATGGAGGCATTATAACATTATAATTAAATTAATTGAAACAAAGACATTAAATACCCTGCACCAAGTTGCCACTGTGTCTTGCCTGGATTATTGTATTAGCTTTCTATATATCTCCCCAGATCTGTCTTAACCCTCTTCAGACACTTCTCAGGTGGACTGATATATTTAAAACCCAAGGGCCAGGCGCTGTGGCTCACGTCTATAATCCCAGCACTGTGGGAGGCCAAGGCAGGTGGGTCACCTGAGGTTGGGAGTTGGAGATCAACCTGACCAACATGGAGAAACCCCGTCTCTACTAAAAATACAAAATTAGCTGGGCATGGTGGCCCATGCCTGTAATCCCAGCTACTCGGGAGGCTGAGGCAAGAGAATCGCTTGAACCCAAGAGGTGGAGGTTGCGATAAGCCAAGATCGTGCCATTGCACTCCAGCCTGGGCAACAAGAGCGAAACTCCATCTCAAAAAGAAAAACCCAAGTTGGGTCATGTCACTGCACTGTGTAAAGCCGTCCTTTATGTAGTGCAGTGACATGACACAACTTTTCTTTTATTCTTTTTTTTTTTTTGAGATGGGATTTCTCTCTGTCGCCCAGGCTGGAGTACAGTGGCATGATCTCAGCTCACTGCAATCTCCACCTCCTGGGTTCAAGCGATTCTCCTGCATCAGTCTCCTGAGCAGCTGGGATTACAGGCATTTGCCACCATACCCAGCTAATTTTTGTATTTTTAGTAGAGACAGGGTTTCACCATGTTAGCCAGGCTGGTCTCGAACTCCTGACCTTGTGATCTGCCCACCTCAGCCTCCCAAAGTGTTGGGATTACAGGCTTGAGCCACCGCACCTGGCCTTTCTTTCTTTCTTTTGAGACAGAGTCTCACTGTCACCCAGGCTGGAATGCAGTGGTGCCATCTTGGCTCACTGCAACCTCCGCCCCCCCCAGGTTCAAGTGATTCTCATGTCTCAGCCTCCCAAGTAGCTGGAATTACAGGTGTCCACCACCACACCTGGCTAATTTTTGAATTTTTAGTAGAGATGGGGTTTTGCCACATTGACTAGGCTGGTCTCGAACTCCTGACCTCAAGTGATCCGCCTGCCTCAGCTTCCCAAAGTGCTGGGATTACAGGTGTGAGCCACGGCACCTGGCCAACATGACCCAAGGTGGGATTCAAATATATCATGTTATGCTGAATAAACCCAGAGTCCTTACACTGGCCTAGAGTGACCCACTGCTGTCTCCAACTTCATCTGTTCACTCTTCCCCTCTTCACCAGCCACATGCCTTCTTGTAATTCCTTGAATATGCCAGGAACACCCCTACTTCAACAAGGCATTTGTTTGGTATTGTCAGCTACTAGCTTGGCTCATTCCCTCAGCTCCTTTAGGTCTTTACTCAATGTCACCTTGTTGAGGCCTTCCCTGACCATCCTTTTCAAAATTGCAGTGCCCCTGCCTGCCCTCCCTATATCCTGGCACTCTCTGTACTCCTTTTGTGTCTTATTTTTCTGACTTACTACCATTCTACTTAATTTAACTGTCTCTGCTTCTCCCCTTCCCCCAAAGGAATATAAGTTCCAGGAGGACAGGAGTTTTAAAATTTGTTTTGTTTACTGCTATGTCACTACCATCTAGAACTGTGCCTGGCACATGAAAGGTACCTAGTGATTGTTTTAGAAAGAATGAAGTGATTCTGCCGGGTGGCAATATGGGTTACTGTCTGTAAAAGGCAAAAATTTCCATGAGAAGTATAAAAATGCTATTTTTATGGATCTAATAATGATTCAAAATATTTTAGGTGTGATATATGCAGGAAAGTTACATCCTAAACCTTTGTTAGTACAGAAATACGGAAGTCTGTTGCCTATTATAAAGACCTTGTTCATGGTTACATCATTCTTGCCTTTGGGTTTCTCTAAGTGTGTTCAAGAGGTGCCTTGGATATCATTGCAGGTATGGTGTCAGTCGTGGAACTGAAACAGAGTTCAGTAATGCAACGATTGCTTACAGGCTGGATGCCAACAGCTATCAGGTGAGTGGTGTCTGGCAGGTAAATCAAAGGGCCCAAGAATTTAATCTTTTTGCACTGGTCGGCAGTTATTGTTTCCAGTCTTATTCCAAGGCAAACATTATACTGGAAAGGAGAACAGTCAGAATAACATTAAATTCCATCTGAGGAAAGCCACACTCCCGAGTCCCTTTCATCTGCAATTGGATGCCTTGTCAGCATAAATCGGCCTGTTTATATTCTCACAATATCCAGTTCAGTGCTCTGCCCCGACTTACCCAAATCCAGTTTCGTGTAAAATTATTAGAAATAGAAAGTTTTTGATGGTTACAGGAAAACAATATAAAAGGAAACAGTCTTCCATTGTTATGTAGAGCCTTTTAAATTTTATTATAGTAATTGGCGATAAACCAAATAGAAATGTAGTTGTCTTATACCAGCATATAAGCTCTTGGTCCTTCTGCTAAGAGTGTACATTTATAATTTTATTATATTTCTTGAATTGCAAATTCTAATGATCAGATTCTTTGCAGCAGTAAAACTCTAAAACTGGGTCTTATGTTTTAGGGGTGACCAGTCGCCTTCAGATCGTCCCCTCAGTCTTGCTGTTCATTGTGTGGAGCATGATGCCTTCATCTTTGCTTTGTGTCAGGATCATAAACTACGAATGTGGTCTTACAAGGTAAGTGCTACATTTATAGTTGCTGTAAGTTAAAACAGGATTGTGAATCATGAGAATTGAAGTAAATTTTGCTGTTTCTCTAAAGATTATTAGATCAATTGGTTTGGAACTTATTGGTCACTGCCAGATTCAGACAGTTTCATTTAGCTTTATTTTGCATATATTTTCCTCCTAACTTACTGTCTTTTTATTTGGAAAAATTATCAACCTAACAGGAACACTGAAAGAGTAGTACAAAGTACACCTTTCACTTTTTTTTAAATTTTTTAATTTTTTGAAACAGTCTCACTTTGTCACCCAGGCTGGAGTACAGTGGCATGAATATAGCTCACTGCAGCCTCTGCCTCCCGGGCTCAAGCAATTCCCCACCTCAGCTGCTCAAATAGCTGGGACTACAGGGGCACGCTACCATACCTGGCTAATTTTAGTATTTTTTGTAGACAGGGTTTTGCCATGTTACCCAGACTGGACCTTTCATTTAAGAGCAACAAATATGTTTTTAAAATGTAAGTTGGTAAAATGGTTTTCAAGATTCATCTAAAAAATACAGCTTATATTTTATATAAGTCTGATCTTATGTTTCAGACTGAAGAGATGTTTTTCATGTTAGCCCCTCCCTCCCTCTTTTTATTTTCCCCCGAAACAGAGTCTCGCTCTGTCACTCAGGCTGGAATGCAATGGCGCAGTCTCACCTCACTGCAACCTCCGCCTCCCAGGTTCAAGTGATTCTCCTGCCTCAGCTTCCCAAGTAGCTGGGATAACAGGCATGCACCACTGCACCTGGCTAATTTTTGTATTTTTTAGTAGAGATGGGGTTTCACTATGTTGGCCAGGCTGGTCTCGAACTCCTGACCTCAGGTTATCCACCCACCTCGGCCTCCCAGAGTGCTGGGATTACAGACGTGAGCCACTGCGCCCGGCCTGTGTTAGCCCTTTTGAAACAAAAACCTGTAAGGTCTTTTAGCAGATAAACTAGATAGAGCAGTAGATACAATGAAAGGTCCATCCTTTCAAAAGGTATGTTCTTCTAGCCTGAATATCCCTTGAATATCACCTATTAACTATTTTCTTGGACAGGAGCAAATGTGCCTAATGGTAGCTGACATGCTGGAGTATGTCCCTGTGAAGAAAGACCTTCGGCTTACTGCTGGAACTGGACACAAATTACGGCTTGCTTATTCCCCCACCATGGGACTCTACCTGGGGATATACATGCATGCACCAAAACGAGGACAGGTATGAAACAAATAAGACACATACCAAGTTATTCTGTGTGTACTGATGTGGAGAAATGGCTGTAGACTCAGTGAGTCTGTTCAAGCTCTTTTCACCGACCTAGATGTGTTTCTGAGGTGATGGTTGGGTTTCGTGCTACTATGTGAATTAGAAGATCTTGAAGGAGGGGTCAGTATGAAAGGAAGTAGAGAGTTTAAAGTAACATGAAAGGAAAAGTTAACAGAAACTAAACAAGAAGAGCAAATTAGGAGTTCTAGGTGAAAAAACAGAATTCCTGAAAGGGATGTAGGTGTTATGTGGTGTTAAGTTAATTTTTCTAAATAAATTTGCTTAGCATCCAGACAGTAGCTGCTGTCTGTAGATGAGATACGTAGGATGTGATGTAATAGTGTAATCATTTAATAAACAGCCATTTGTTGAGCATTGTGTGTTTGGTGCTGTGCCAGTCCCTTTATGCACATTAATAATAGCAGACACTGGGATTGTGCTTACTCTGGGCTCATATGCTATATGCGTTTTATCCATTTAATCCTAATAACAGCCCAGTGAGGTAGGGTCTGTCTCCCTTACTATGCAGGAGCTCTGATTCCCCCACTGAGTCCCCACGCTAGGCCACTGCCCTTCCTGGATGCCCTTCTCACTTCTGTTGGGATCTCATAGCCCACTCCACATTGCTCCTCCAATGTGGGTGCCCTCCTTACCCTGTTTGGGCCCTGAGACCACCAGACTGCCCCCATGCAATGGACCTCCTCCTCACCCAACCTGAGTTTCCATCCTGCACCAAGCTTTCTGTCCATGTGGAAGCCATCTCAAACTGTTCGTGCTCCTCCCCCCGAAGTCAGGCAGTCCCAAATGTGGACAGTCTTCTTATGTCCCTAGGCTCTTGCCTCATCACACCTGGCCATATCACCCCTGCATGCACGCCCTTCTCACTCACTAGTGTTCTCACTCCTGTGCTGGGACATGCCTGCACCGATGTTCTCTTCAACCTGTTCAGACTGACTCCTTATGCCGAACCCCAACCCCCCAGGTCCCCGACCCTTACCTTCTGGCCAGCAAGGATATCTACCTTGCTCTAGGTTTTTAGATTGGATTGCTCAGGAACAGAATGGAAGGGAAGAGGAAGAGCTCATTCTTGCAGTTTTTTCCTAATATGGCCCAAAAGTATCATGCTATCAAGACATTTATCTTGATTGCACATAATTGTTCTATTCTCTCTTCTGGAGGACAACCCTTGAACTATTTGAACATACCTATCCATCTCCTCTAAGTATACTCTTCTCTGCATGTAGGTTGTGGGTGGTAGGAGAATTGACCCTGCTCTAACTTCCTTAGTTCCTTCCATTGTTATTCATGTAACATCCTGTTGATCAGTCTCCTCGACATGTTACAATTAGTTTGTCACACTAAAATAGTGGTTCTCAAACTTTTGGTCTCGGGACCCTATTATACTCTTACCGAGAACTGCAAAGAGCTTTTGTTTATATGGGTTATACCTATAATTTATTAGAAATTAAAACTGGCTGGATGTGGATTGACACATTTTATATTATGCAGTATCTAAATTACTGTTTTGGGGGGTAATCCCCAAGACCACCTCACCTCCATGTCCAGTAATACTCTGAAAGGACTCATAGGGCTCAGTATGTAGTTGTGCTGACAGCTAAAATGTATTACAGTGAAAAGATACAAAGCAAAGTGAAAAAAGGGAAAAGGCACATGGAGTGAAGTCTGAAGCCAGACACAATCGTCTAAGAGTCCCCTCCCAGTAGAGTCTCACAGGACATGCTTAATTCTTCCAGCACTGAATTGTGATGATGTGTGTAAAATGTTGTTTCCCAGGAAAGCTTGCTAGAGGCACAGTGCCCACCATATTGGCCAGGCTGGTCTCGAACTCCTGACCTTGTGATCTGCCCACTTCGGCCTCCCAGAGTACAAGCAAGACTTTCTAAGGAGAGCAGCCTCAGGCCTGCTATGTTAACCCTTTCTGCACAACTATTATCATTGATGATATTATCATTGGTGATCACTCAGAAGAGCCTTGAGAAGCTCTGGAGTTCATGTTAGTGGATACGAAGTTTTCTGAAATCATAGTTTTCACTTTAAAACTTGAAATGTATCATTGGCAACAAATACTGTCATTTGTTTTCCCTGAAATGACAGGTTCACTTTATTCTTTTTTTTTTTTCTTTTGTGATGGAGTTTGGCACTCTTGTCACCCAGGCTGGAGTGCAGTAGCGTGACCTCAACTGACTGCAACCTCTGCCTCCTGGGTTCAAGCAATTCTCCTTCATCAGCCTCCACAGTGGCTGGGATTACAGGTACCTGCCACCATACCCGGCTAATTTTTTGTATTTTTAATAGAGATGGGGTTTCACCATGTGGGCCAGTCTGGTCTCGAACTCCTGACCTCAGGTGATCCACCCGCCTCAGCCTCCCAAAGTGCTGGGATTACAGGTGTGAGCCACCACGCCCAGCCTATTCATTTATTTAAACAGCTTTCTTGAGATGTAATTCACTCACCCATTTAAAGTATACCATTCAATGAGTTTTAGTATATCCACAGATACGAGCAACCATTACCATAGTCAACTTTAGAACATTTCCATCACCTCAAAAAGAAACCCCATACCTTTTAGCTATCATTCTTCCCTTCCCCCATTTCTTCCCAGCTCTACACAACTGCTAATCTATTTTCTGTCTCTATAAAGTTACTTATTCTGGTCATATTATGTCAGTGGAATCATATAAGTGGTTTTCTGTGACTGGCTTCTTTCACTTAGCTTAATATTTTCAAGGTTCATCCATGTAGCATGTGTTGTCAGCACTTCATTCTGTAAGTGCCCAATACATACAGCTGATTTATCAAGACAGGAATTGGAATAGAGAGAGTTTAATACACATAGAGCCAGCTAAACAGGAGACCGGAGTTTTACTGTTAACTCAAATCAGATCAGCCCCCCTGAAAATTTAGAGGCTAGGGTTTTTCAAAGATAGTTTGCCAGGCAGGGCGAGGCTATGAGTGCTGCTGACTGGTTGGAGATGCAATTGTAGGAGTGTGGAAAACCATCCTATGCGCTGAGTCTGCTTCTGGGTCGGGGCCACAGAAGAGTTGCTCATCTGGCTGGGGCCAGAAATGTAAAAAACTGAAAACACATTTTAAAAGGCCAGTGTAAGGTGCTACAATGGTGATGTTATTTACAGAAGTAATTGGGGAAGTTGCAAATCTTATGACCTCCGGAATAATGACTGGTAATCATTTAACTATGAATTCGGGCCCCTCTCATCTTCCTAACCTGGTGGCCTTTCATTAGTTTTACCAAGGTGGTTTGGTTTTGGGGAAGGGCTATTATTATTTAAACTATAAATTAAATTTCTCCCAAGGTGAGCCTTGCCCATGCTCAGGAATGACCAGAGGCAGTTTGGAGATTAAAGACAAGATGGAATTTGTGGGCCAGCACAGTGGCTCACGCCTGTAATCCCAACACTTTGGGAGGCTGAGGCAGGCGGATCATGAGGTCAGGAGATCGAGACCCTCCTGGCCAATATGGTGAAACTCCTTCTCTACTAAAAATACAAAAATTAGCTGGGCGTAGTGGTGCATGCCTGTAGTCCCAGCTGCTCAGGAGGCTGAGGCAGGAGAATGGTTTGAACCTGGGAGGCGGAGGTTGCAGTGAGCAGAGATTGCACCACTGCACTCCAGCCTGGTGACAGACCGAGATTCTGTCTCAAAAAAAAAAAAAAAAAAAAAAAAAAGGAATTTATTAGATCAGATCTGTCTCTTTTTTTTTTTTTTTTTTTTTTTTTTGAGAGAGAGTCTCGCTTTGTCACTAAGGCTGGAATACAGTGGCGCGATCTCAGCTCACTGCAACCTCTGCCTCCCAGGTTCAAGCAGTTCCCCTGCCTCAGCTTCCCAAGTTGCTGGGATTACAGGCGCATGCCACCATGCCTGGCTAAGTTTTTGTATTTTTTTAGTAGAGGTGGGGTTTTGCCATATTGGCCAGGCTGGTCTCTCCTGATCTCAGGTAATCCGCCTGCCTCGGCCTCCCAAAGTGCTGGGATTACAGGCGTGAGCCACTGCACCTGGCCCAGACCTCTTTCATTGTCATAATTTTCTCACTGTTATGATTTTTGCGAAGGTGGTTTCAATTCCTTTTATAGCTGAATAATTTTCAGTTGTATACCACCATTTATTTATTCATTTGTGTTGGAATTTTTTCATTTGTGTTGGACATTGTTGTTTCTACCCTTTATCTATTATGAATACTGCTGCTATATACTTGTCAACACTTGTTGTTATCTGACTTTTTAATTCTAGATATCCTAGTGGGTATGAAGTATTATCTCATTATGGTTTTTGTTTTAATTTCCTGATAACTAATGATGCCAAGCATCTTTTTAGTGCTTATTGGTTATTTGTGTCTCTTCCTTGGAGAAATGTTTATTCACATCATTTGCTTTTTTGTTGTTGTTGTTGTTGTTGTTGTTGAGATGGAATCTTGCTCTGTTGCCCAGGCTGGAGTGCAGTGGCGTGATCTCGGCTCACTGCAACCTCCGCCTCCCAGGTTCAAGCGATTCTCCCGCCTCAGTCCCCCAAGTAGCTGGGATTACAGGCTCACGCCATCATGCCTGGCTAATTTTTGTGTTTTTGTAGAGACGGGGTTTCACCATGTTGGCCAGGCTGGTCTCGAACTCCTGACCTCAGGTGATCCACCAGCCTCAGCTTCCCAAAGTGCTGGGATTACAGGCATGAGCCACCACGCTCGGCTGCTCTTTTTTTTTTTAACTTTTGTTTTAGGTTTGAGGGTACATGTGAAGCTTTATTACATAGGTGAACTCATGTCATGGGGCTTTGTTGTACAGATTTTCTCATCACCCAGGAATTAAGCCCAGCACCTAATAGCTATCTTTTCTGCTCCACTCCCTCCTCCCAACCTCCACCCTCAAGTAGACCCTAATGTTTGTTGTTTCCTTCTTCGTGTTCATAAGTTCCCATCATTTAGCTCCCATTTATAAGTGAGAACATGTGGTATTTGGTTTTCTGTTCCTGCATTATTTTGCTGAGGATAATGACCTCCACTTCCATCCATGTTTCCACAAAAGACATGATCTCGTTCTTTTTTGTGGCTGCATATATTCCATGATATATATGTACCATGTTTTATTCAGTCTGTCATTGAGGGGCATTTAGGTTGATTCTATGTCTTTGCTATTGTGAACAGTGCTGTAATGAACATTCATGTGCATTTGTCTTTATGGTAGAATGATTTGTATTCCTTTGGGTTATATACCCAGTAATGGGATTGCTGAGTGGAATGGTAGTTCTGTTTTTAGTTCTTAGAGGAATCACCACACTGCTTTCCACAATGGTTGAAGTAATTTACAGTCCCACCAACATTGTATAAATGTTCCCTTTTCTCTGCAACCTCACCAGCATCTGTTATTTTTTGACTTTTTAATAGCCATTCTGACTGCTGTGCGATGGTATCTCATTGTGGTTTTGATTTGCATTTCTCTAATGATCAGTGATAGTGAACTTTTATTCATATGCTTGTTAGCTGCATACTTCTTTTTTGAAAAGTGTCTGTTCATGTCCTTTGCCCACTTTTTAATGAGGTTGTTTGCCTTTCATTTGTAAATTTAAGTTCCTTATAGAGGTTGGAAATCAGACCCTCGTCAGATGCATAGTTTGCAAATATTTTCTCCCATTCTGTAAGTTGTCTGTTTACTCTGCTGAAAGTTTCTTTTACTGTGCAGAAGCTTTTAAGTTTAATTAGATCCCACTTGTCAATTTTTGCTTTTGTTGAGATTGCTTTTAGTGTCTTCGTCTTGAAATCTTTGCCCGTTCGTATGTTCAGGATGGTATTGCCTATGGTTGTCTTCCAGGGTTTTTATAGTTTTGCGTGTTATGTTTAAGTCTTTAATCCATCTTGAGTTGATTTTTGTATATCGTGTAAGGAAGGGATCCAGCTTCAGTCTTCTCATGTGCCCATTTTTTAATTAGTTTGTCTTTTTTGTTATTGAATTGTAAGAATTCTGTAAACAGGCCAGTGCGGTGGCTCATGCCTGTAATCCTAGCACTTTGGGAGGCCAAGGTGGGTAGATCACTTGAGGCCAGGTATTTGAGACCAGCCTGGCCAATATGGTGAAACCCCATCTCTAATAAAAATACAAAAAATTAGCCGGGCATGGTGGCACGTGCCTGTAATCCCAGTTACTTGTGAGGCTGAGGCACGAGAATTGCTTGAAACCTGGTGGTGGAGGTTGCAGTGAGCCGGGATCGCACCATCCAGCCTGGGCAACAGAGCAAGATTCTGTCTCAAAAACAAAGAAACAAACAAAATGGTATTATAAACTTAATCTTATGGAGTCACCATTGTATATGTGGTCCATATACCAAAGCATCATTATATAGTATGTAACTGTATTATTCTGGATCTAAATCTCTAATCAGATTTATGACTTGCAAGTAGTATTTTCTACCACGTGAGCTGTCTTTTCACTTTCTTGATGGTGTCCCATGAAGCACATGTTTTTAATTTTGATAAAGTCCAGATTATCTATTTTTTCTTTTGTTGCTTTTGTTCATAGTGTCATACCTTAAGAATCCTTTGCCAAACCTAAGGTCATAACGATTTACTCTTATGTTTTCTTCTCAGAGTTTTATACTTTTAGCTTTTATATTTAGGACTTTGATTCATTTTTTTAGTTTTGTGGGGTTTTTTTTTAATAGTGTGAGGTAAGCATTCAACTTCATTCTTTTGCTTGTAGATATTCAGTTTTCTCAGCACCATTTGTTGAAAAGATAGTTCTTAACACATTGAATGGTCTTGGCACCCTTCTCAAAATCATTTGACCTCAGACACATGGTTTTATTTCTAGGCTCTCAATTCTGTTCCATTGATCTATATATCTGACCTTGTGCTGGTACCACACTGTCTTGATTACTCTTGCTTTGTAGGAAATTTTGACACCAGGAAGTGTGAGCCCTCTTACTTTGTTCTTCTTTTTCAAGATTGTTTTGGCTATTCTGGGTCCCATTCAATTCCATATGAGTTTTAGAATCAGCTTGTCAGTTTCTACAAAGAAGTTAGCTGAGATTCTGATAAAAATTGTGTTGCCTCTATAGATGATATTATAAAATATTGCCATCTTAGCAATATTAAGTCTTCTGATCCATGAACATGGGATGCTTTAGTTTTCAGAGTGTAAGTTTTATACTTTTGTTCAATTTCTTCTTAAATATTTGATTCTTTTTGATGCTATTGTAAATGAAATTTTCTTGATGCTATTATAAACGAAATTATTTTCTTAATTTCATTTTCAGAGTGCTCATTGGAAGTTGATAGAAATACAGTTGATTTTTGTATATTCATAATTGTATCTTGCAACTTTGCTGAACTCATTTATTAGTTCTGATAGATTTTGTAATGGATTCATTAGGATTTTCTTTATACAAGATAATGTCACTTGCAAATAAACTTTTGATTACAATGGCTCACACCTGTAATCCCAGCACTTTGGGAGGCCAAGGTGGGCAGATTGCTTGAGCTCAGGAGTTCCAGACCAGCCTGGGCAACATGGCGAAACCCTGTCTCTACAAAATAGCAAAAATTAGCTGAGCATGGTGGCTCATTCCTATAGTACCAGCTATTTGAGGGGCTGAGATGGCAGGATCACTTGAGCCTGGATGGTTGAGGCTGCAGTATTCCTGATTGCCTCACTGTACTTCAACCTGAGCAACAGAGCGGAACCCTGTCTCATAAAAAAGTTAGTTTTATTACTTCCTTTCTAAACTAGATGCATTTTCTTTTTTTCTTTTCCTTCTTTCTTGTAGGGTTTTTAAAAATTTTTTTGGAGGGAGGTGGGTACTAATTGTCCTGGCTAGATCCTCTAGTACAATGTTGAATAGAAGTGGCAAGAACCTGCATCTTTTTTGTCGTCTTTTTTTTTTTCACTCTGTCACTCAGGCTGGAGCGCAGTGAATGCACTCTCAGCTCATTGCAACCTCCTGGTTCAAGCGATTCTCCCACCTCAGCCTTCTGAGTAGAGTTGCCGGGACCACGGGCATGTGCCACCATGCCCAGCTAATTTTTATATTGTTGTTTTTTGGTAGAGAAGAGGTTTCACCATGTTGGCCATGCTATGCATCTTTGCCTCATTCCTAATTTGTATTGCTAAGGGAGAAGTTACCAGTGTTTCACCATTAAGTATAATGCTAGCTGTGAATTTGTCTTTTTTTTTCATTGTGATGCAACAGTAAGCTGTGAATTTTTTTTTTTTTTTTGAGACAGTGTCTCACTCCGTCACCCAAGTTGGAGTGCAGTGGCGCAATCTCAGCTCACTGCAACCTCCACCTCTCAGGTTCAAGCGATCCTCCCACCTCAGCCTCCCAGGTAGCTGGGACCACAGGTGTGTGCGACCACACATGGCTAATTTTTTTGTATTTTTGGTAGAGACGGGGTTTCGCCATGTTGCCTGGTCTCAAACTCCTGAGTTCAAGCAGTCCACCCACCTCGGCTTCCCAATGTGCTGGGATTACAAGTGTGAACCACAGCACCCAGCCTGAATTTTTCGTAAGTGCCCTTTATATTGTGTTGAGGAGGTTCCCCTTTATTCCTAGTTTCTTGAGTGGTTTTCTCTTGAAAGGGTGTTCAGTTTGGTCCCACTGCCTTGATTTATGTTAAGACACCAGTAATTTTACCCACCACTGATTTTGCATCATTGATGCAAATATCAACAAAGTGAAAAAGGCAAATAATGCAGTGTTATTATGCAAAGGGTTTGGGGCTGGGTGCAGTGGCTCACACCTGTAATCCCAACACTTTGGGAGGCCAAGGCGGGCAGATCACCTGAGGTCAGGAGTTCGAGACCAGCCTGGCCAACATGGTGAAACCCCGACTGTACTAAAAATACAAAAATTAGCCAAGCGTGGTGGCGGGCATCTTTAATCCCAGCTACTCGGGAGACTGAGGCAGGAGAATTGCTTGAACCCAGGAGGCAGATGTTGCAGTGAGCGGAGATTGTGCCATAGCACTCCAGCCTAAGTGACAGAGAGAGACTCTGTCTCAAAAAAAAAAGGGGGGGGGGATTTTTACCTCACTGACCCCCTGAAATGGTCTCAGGGACCTCTAGGAATCTGTGGACCACATTTTGAGAACCACTGCTCTAAAGGTCAGATCGGGAATGAATGTAGTAGTTCAGGAGTGTGTCAAATTGAGCAGAGCTATTACTTCCTTTGTTTTGAGCATTATGATTCTTCATTGAAGCCTAAAATCAGAATAACTTTTTTGACAGCTATGTAACACTGTTAGCCTATCCAGATTATAGTGAACTTATAGTATTTTATTTCTTTTTTCTTCACAAAAACTGATCTTCGGCTGGGCCTGATGGTGCATATGTATAGTTCCGGCTACTCGGGGCTGATGCAGGAGGATCATTTGAGTTCAGGAATTTAAGACCAGCTTGGACTGTTGGGTTTTTGTTTGTTTGTTTGTTTGTTTGTTTGTTTAATGCTGTTTGAGACCTGCTAAATTGATTTTATGTCCCACTAATGGATTGAGATTTGTAGGTTTTAAAACACAGGTTCAGGCTACAATGGATATAAGCACTACATATTTTTTTTCATATTTCATACACTATGTTTCTCAAAAAGGAATTTTGCTGCTTTTTTTTCTTTAATACTTTTTTGTGAACAGCTGCATATAAGGGTCATCATCACTCTTATCAATTTACAGTAAATTTTCTTTATAAAAACAGTTAATTTAGGCTGGACTTGGTGGCTCACGCCTGTAATCCCAGCACTTTAGAAGGCCGAGGTGGGCAGATCACCTGAGGTCAGGAGTTCGAGACCAGCCTGGCCAACATGGTAAAACGCTGTCTCTACTAAAAATACAAAAATTAGGCTGTATGGCTCATGCCTGTAATCCCAACATTTTGGGAGGCCGAGGTGGGTGGATCACTTGAGGTCAGGAGTTTGAGACCACCCTGACCAACATGGTGAAACCCTGTCTCTACTAAAATACGAAAACTAGCTGGGCATGGTAGTGCGTGCCTGTAAATCCCAACTACTCGCGAGGCTGAGGCAGGAGAATTGCTTGAACCCAGGAGGCAGAGGTTGCAGTGAGCCGAGATCGTACCACTGCACTCCAGCCTGGGTGACAGAGCGATACTCCGTCTCAAAAAAAAAAAAAAAAGGCAAAAATTAGCTGGGCATGGTGGTGGGGACCTATAATCCCAGCTACTTGGGAGGCTGAGGCAAAATTGCTTGAACCTGGGAGGCAGAGGTTGCAGTGAGCCGAGATCACACCACTGCACTTCAACCTAGGCAATAGAGCGAGACTCGTCTCCAAAAAAAAAAAGTTATTTAAAAAGTTCATCAAGCCAGGCACTGTAACTCACTCCTGCAGTCCCAGCAATTTGGGAGGCCAAGGCAGAAGGATCACTTGATACCAGGAGTTTGTGACTAGCTCGGGCAACATGGTGAGACTCCGTCCCTACAAAAAATAAAAGTCCGGCTGGGCGCGGTTGGCTCATGCCTGTAATCCCAGCACTTTGGGAGGCCGAGGCGGGCAGATCACGAGGTCAGAAGATCGAGACTATCCTGTCTAACACAGGGAAACCCTGTCTCTACTAAAAATACAAAAACTTAGCTGGGCGTGGTGGCAGGCGCCTGTAGTCCCAGCTACTCAGGAGGCTGAGGCAGGAGAATGGCGTGAACCCAGGAGGTGGAGCTCGCAGTGAGCCGAGATCACACCACTGCACTCCAGCCTGGGCGACAGTGCGAGACTCCATCTCAAAAAATAAATTAAATTAAATTAACGTGAAAAAAAAAAACAAAAGAAAAAGCTGGGTCGGGTAGAACATGCCTGCATTACTAGCTATTAGGGAGGCTGAGGTAGGAAGATAGCTTGAGCCCAAGAGTTGGAGGTTAACGTTGAGCTACGATCATGTCACTGCACTGCAGCTTGGGTAACAGAGCAAGACCTGTCTCTAAAAATAAAAATAAATAAGTTTGTTTTTTATTTTATTTTATTTTTTTTTGAGATAGAGTCGCTCTGTTGCCCAGGCTGGAGTATAGTGGGGCGATCTTGACTCACTGCAAGCTCCGCCTCCCGGGTTCACACCATTCTCCTACCTCAGCCTCTCGAATAGCTGGGACTACAGGTACGTGCCACTGCGCCCGGCTAAATTTTTTTGTATTTTTTTTAGTAGAGATGGCGTTTCACCGTGTTAGTCAGGATGGTCTCGATCTCCTGACCTCATGATCCACCTGTCTCGGCCTCCCAAAGTGCTGAGATTACAGGTGTGAGCCACCGCACCCAGCCAACAAATAATTTTTTTTACCACAGTGAGATAATCACCTCACATCTATTAGGATATCTACAATTGAATGAATGAATAAATAAATAAATGTCTTGGCAAGGATATGGAGAAATTAGAACTCTTTTGTTGTTGTTGAGAAATCAGAACTCTTGTACATTGCTAGTGGGAATGTAAAATGCTGCAGCCATTATGAAAAACAATATAGTGGTTCCTCAAAAAATTAAACATAGAATTACCATATATTCCAGAAATTCCACTTCTATGTGTGTGTGTATATATATATATATATATATATATATATATATATATATATATATGCAAAAGAATTGAAAGCAGGGTCTCAAAGGTATATTTGTACAACCATATACATAGTAGCATTACTCACAATAGGCAATAAGATAAAGCAGCCCAAGTGTCCATCCACAACAAATAGGTAAACAACCTGTTGCATGTACGTACAGTTTAATATTTCAGTTTTTAAAAGGAAGGAAGGCCAGGAGCAGTGGCTCACACCTGTAATCCCAGCACTTTAGGAGGCTGAGGCGGATGGATCACAAGGTCAGGAGATCAAGACCATCCTGGATAACACGGTGAAACCCCGACTCTACTAAAAATACAAAAAAATTAGCCAGGCGTGGTGACAGGCGCCTGTAGTCCCAGCTACTCAGTAGGCTGAGGCAGGAGAATGGCAGGAACCTGGGAGGCAGAGCTTGCAGTGAGCCGAGATCGCACCATTGCACTCCAGCCTGGGCGATAGAGCGAGGCTCCTTATCAAAAAAAAAGAAAAAAGGAAGGAAATGCTGACACATGCTACTACATGGGCGAGCCTTGAAGACATTATGCTAAACGACATAAACCAGTCACAAAAACACAAATAATATATGACCCTTCCACTTACATGGAGTACCTAGAGTAGTCAAATTTATAGAGACAAAGTAAAGTGGTGTTACAAGGGGCTAGGAATTGAAGGGAAATGGGAAATTGTTTATTGAGTATAGAGTTTTAGTTATGCAAGGTGAAGATGAAAGGAGTTCTATAGATTGGTTGTACAACAGTGTGAATATACTTAACACTGCTAAAAATAGTTAAAATGGTAAATTTGACGTTATGTGTATTTTACTACATTAAAATAAAGTGGTTCTACCTGGCCTGTGTGGGTGAAAAAGAAAAAATTTTTGAAGACTATACTTTCAGGGATCATTTCTGCAGTAAATACCATTTGACCCAGCCATCCCATTGCTGGGTATATACCCAAAGGATTATAAATCATGCTGCTATAAAGACACATGCACACATATATTTATTGTGGCACTATTCACAATCGCAAAGACTTGGAACCAACCCAAGTGTCCATCAATGATAGACTGGATTAAGAAAATGTGGCACATATACACCATGGAATACTATGCAGCCATAAAAAAGGATGAGTTCATGTCCTTTGTAGGGACACGGATGAAGCTGGAAACCATCATTCTGAGAAAACTATCACAAGGACAGAAAACCAAACACCACGTGTTCTCACTCATAGGTGGGAATTGAACAATGAGAACACTTGGCCACAGGGTGGGGAACGTCACACACTGGCACCTGTCGTGGGGTAGGGGGAGTGGGGAGGGATAACATTAGGAGATATACGTAATGTAAATGAATTAATGGGTGCAGCACACCAACATGGCACATGTATACATATGTAACAAACCTGCACGTTGTGCACATGTAACCTAGAATTTAAAGTATTAAAAAAAAAAAAAGAAAAGAAAAAAAATTTTTGGCCGGGTGCAGTGGCTCACGCCTGTAATCCCAGTTCTTTGGGAGGCCGAGGCAGGCGCATCATGAAGTCAGGAGTTTGAGACTAGCCTGGCCAACACGGTGAAACCCCATCTCTACTAAAAATACAAAAATTAGCCGGGCATGGTGGCGGGCACCTGTAATCCCAGCTACTCGGGAGGCTGAGGCAGGAGAATAGCTTGAACTTAGGAGGTGGAGGTTGCAGTGAGCTGAGATCGTGCCATTGCACTCCAGCCTGGGCAACAGAGCAAGACTCTTCTTTCAAAAAAAAAAAAATTTTTTTTTAAAGGTTTCTGAATGGTAATAGCCCTTGCTTCGAAAAGTAACATGTTGATTATTTCAGGTAATAAATGATCATCTTGTGTTTTAACAGTTCTGCATTTTCCAGTTGGTGAGCACTGAGAGTAATCGCTATAGTCTCGATCATATTTCTTCACTGTTCACTTCTCAGGTAGGTTGATTCATCCTTTGCATATCACATAAGTACAAGAAAAAGAAGTATTGACTAACTCTGTTATGGTATAATGGGATTGTAGTCTTAAAATGGAATTATTTCATGATATATGGAACAAAATTTCATTTAGACTTTACCAAATTCATGTGGTACCATGTTTTGTTTTCATACATTTACCTCTCCTACTGATGAAAAAGTAAGTCACCGTGAACTACTACTTTCTTTCTTATTTTATCCCTTTTTTTCCCACATTTCCTCCTAGGAGACACTGATTGACTTTGCCTTAACTTCCACGGATATCTGGGCCCTGTGGCATGATGCTGAGAACCAAACAGTAGTGAAATACATCAACTTTGAACAGTATGGGTCACTTAATTCTGTCATCCTACCTCACCCCAAGCAATTTCATGCTAAGAAGACGAGAGGCCGGGCGCCGTGTCTCATGCCTGTAATCCTAACACTTTGAGAGGCCGAGGCAGGCAAATCACTTAAGCTCAGGAGTTCGAGACCAGGCTGGGCAACAGAAACCCCGTCTCTACTAAAAACACAAAAAATTAGCTGGGCCTGGTGGCAGGTGCCTATAATCCCAGCTCCTCGGGAGGCAAGGCTGTAGCATGAGAATCGCTTGAACCCAGGAGGCGGAGATTGCAGTGAGCCAACATTGCTCCACTGCACTCCAGCCTGGGCAACAGAGTAAGACTCTATCTCAAAAAAAAAAAAAAAAAAAAAAAGACAAGGGAGCTTTTTATGTAGAACCAAGTCAAGGGTTTTCATTCGAATAATTCAGCCCTGGGTTTTCGTCTTGTTACTGTCTTCCTGAAATACCTCTTGTGCATTTTGTGTTATTTTTTACATTTTTGTTTTAGGACAAAATGAGAATTTTGGGGGTTGGACTAAGATAAAATGTCATATTTCTTGGGAGAGATAGCACATATCCAAAATACCTCTAATCTGGGAGTTTTCTTTGTTTCTAAGCTAAGACTATTCCTGATTCCTGCAACTTCCTTAGGATACTATAGCCTTTGTGTTTTCAATTTTCTCATCATGAGATGAGAAATAGATTGGACAAGTGCAGTGCTTCTCAAATTTATTTTAAAACAGGGCTGGGCACAGTGGCTCATACCTGTAATCCAAGCACTTTGTGAGGCTAAGGTGGGAGGATTGCCTGAGGCCATGGTTCAAGACCTGTCCAGGCAACATAGCAAGACCTTGTCTCTATAAAAAATAAACTAGTGGCCAGGTGCGGTGGCTCATGCCTGTAATCCCAGTACTTTGGGAGGCTGAAGTGGGCAGATCACAAGGTTGGAAGTTTGAGACCAGCCTGGCCAACATGGTGAAACCCCATCTCTACTAAAAATACAAAAATTAGCCGGGCGTGGTGGTATGTGCCTGTAATCCCAGCTACTCAGGAGGCTGAGGCAGGAGAATCTCTTGAACCCAGGAGACGGAGGTTGCAGTGAGCCAAGATCATGCCATTCACTCCAGCCTAGGCGACAAAGTGAGACTCCATCTCAAAAATAAATAAATAAATATAAATAAATAAAATAAACTAGCCAGGTGTGGTGGCACGATGCACCCTATTAGACTGAGGCAGGAGGATTGCTTGAGCCTCAGAGTTCAGGCTTCAGTGAGCTATGAATGTGTAGTATTTTATGAGTATAAAATTATAACACAATTTAATGTTGATTGTACCTAATGTTAGATATATTTGGTATCTAATATTTTTTAATGTAGATGATATTAGTTTGCAAGCCTTAGGTAGTTAAAAATACATTTTACAAAACAATTTTTGGCTGGTCCCATGATAATGGATTGTCAGAACTTAACATTAGTGTCACTAAAGTTGGCATACAGCCCTCCACTGCTAAATTTGGCCAAAAATAAAAAACAAACCATTTTGAAGCAAAGACTTGTCTAACCCCTGAAACATCTGTAGAGGCTCCCTTGGGACAGAGCTTGAAGACCACTGAACTAATTGAACCCTCTGGGTCCCTGATAACCCTAGAGCCTAAGGTAGAATTCTGGGAATGATTGCCCTCCAGATTGACCTCAGGCCATACCTGGGAAGATAAAAAAAGCACTCCTTGTAGATGGCATTTGAGCAAAGTAGTCAGAAAGCACAGGCTGCAGAGTTGGAGCAGGGTTGGAATCCTAGTTGTGCAACTTACTAGCTGTGATATACCCTCAGCCTCACTGTGTACATCTGTGAAATGGGAGTACTATATCCTTCAAAGAATTATAAGGCATACATGAATAATGTCTAAAACTGCATCTAGCATAATATCTAGCAAATAATAAATGCAGAATAAAAGTTAGTTATTCTTTGTATTTGATGCCTTAGTGTTAAAATGACATTAAAGATTATGGGCTTGAGATCTGAAACAATGAGTTTCAATTTTAGGAAGATAATTATTAAAACATGGTAAGCAAACTTGTATAAAAACTAGGCTCTGCTAAAAATGTTTCTTTCTTTCTTATTTAAAAAAAAATGTTTTTAATAGAATTGATGAAGCAGTCATTGCCGGGTTCCGTGATGGGGTCCTCCCTGCCCAGATACTGCCAACAGCATACATTTCATTTTTAGTGATCATTTCTGTATAAACTGGTGGACTTTTTTGTCTCTAGTAATGTTGCAGGTCAGTGGAATCCAGTTTTTATGCAGCCTCTGCCAGAGGAAGAGATTGTCATCAGAGATGATCAAGACCCCAGAGTAAGTAGATGCTCAAATGTTATATAAGGGAATGATTTACTTTGATCTTTTTTTTTTTTTTGAGACAGAGTCTCGCTCTGTGGCCCAGGCTGGGGTACAGTGGCATGATCTTGGCTCACTGCAACCTCTGCCTCCCAGGTTCAAGCAATTCTCTTGCCTCAGCCTCCCGAGTAGCTGGGACTACAGTCACGTACCACCACACCCAGCTAATTTTTGTACTTTTGTAGAGACGGGGTTTCACCATGTTGTTCAGGCTGGTCTCCAACTCCTGACCTCAGGTGATCCACCCACCTCGGCCTCCCAAAGTGCTGGGATTACAGTCGTGAGCCACCGTGCCCGGCCAAATCTCCACATTTTTAAGGGACACCCTCAGGATAAATAAAAAAGCTTTCAGTTGATGCCTTAGTATTACAATGACATTAAAGATTATGGGCTTGGGATCTGAAACAATGACTATTTGCAGGAGTAGAAAACATACTTCAAAAATCTTAAATTGAATATTACTGCACTCTTAATCCCAAGAGTTTATTGGTGGTAGTTATTTATTGTTCCAGTTAACTACTGGCACTTGGCTTTTGTCTAAAAGCCAAAATCATATGCTGATTACTAAAACTGTTGTTTTTCTCCTTCATTTTGGTCATTTTATCATCTCAGTAGAAGGAAGGAAACTTGAATGACTGTTAGTCAGATTTACTACTTGGGGGCAAATCTGGTTTAGGAGAGTTGGTCAAAATCATTAGGCAATATGAGATTTTTCCATGTTGTTCTCTCTACTTCATTTCCCTACTTGTGAGAGTTTATTGCTGTTTGTTTTGTTTTGTTTTGTTTTGTTTGCATATAATACCTATTATTACTGGTTCCATTTCTTTTACATGTGAGTCATAAAATGAATACCATAGATGGTGTAGAAACCAGCTTCGTTTACTTGTTCTCTTACCAGTGTATATCACCAATTAGATTTGCTTCTTCCATTTAAGATTGGCATTTGACAAAGCTTGTTTTCTGCCGGAACCCAATGAAGCTCTCCGTGAGGAACACACCATTTTAAGTATAGTACCTCTAGTTGACTCAAAGACATTGCAGTCTTCACTTTCAGTGTGAAAACATGTAACCGCACTACTGTTATTGCCCACATATAGAAGGGCAAAATGGCAATGTTCATATAGTAGAAACTCAAACTTTGGTGTTATGTGTTGAATTCCAAATTTTGTTTAGGACAATAGTAACTTTTGTTTTAATGTTCTAATAGGAGATGTATCTGCAAAGTCTTTTTACACCAGGACAATTCACAAATGAAGCTTTATGTAAGGCTTTACAGGTCAGCAAAAAAAATTTACTGTTTGTTTAAGACTATTTCTTATTTTATTACTGTATATAATTACTATTAAGTTTTTGCATATATTAAACACTGAATGTACTTCTGTATTCATACATATGTGTGTTTGTAAATACTTTTATAATTTTTTTAATGTTCTTTCCATTAAATACAGTATTCATGGTGGAGAGGTTGGAGGGGGGACCACTTTCCCAGTAATCAGTGACACATGCCAGAGTTAGAAAGAGAAACCTCTACCTACAGTACTGTAAAAAGATACCATACTGCACTGTATAGAATCTCTGTACTTGAGAGAAACTTAAAGTGGTTTTTTGTTTAGTTTTGGTTATACTGTTTTAACCTTTTTATTAGGACAGTGAAGGTCTGACTTGGTTCAGATTCAAGAAAACTCTAGGCCGGGCGTGGTGGCTCACGCCTGTAATCCCAGCACTTCGGGAGGCTGAGGCAGATGGATCACGGGGTCAAGAGATCGAGACCATCCTGGCCAACATGGTGAAACCCCGTCTCTACTAAAAATACAAAAATTAGCCGGGCGTGGTGGCACACGCCTATAGTCCCAGCTACTCGGGAGGCTGAGGCAGAAGAATTAATCTCTTGAACCCGGGAGGCAGAGGTTGCAGTGAGCCAAGATTGCGCCACTGCACTCCAAACTGGCGGCAGAGTGAGACTCTGTCTCAAAAAAAAAAAA
Source organism: Homo sapiens (assembly GCF_000001405.40). Classification (NCBI taxonomy): domain Eukaryota; kingdom Metazoa; phylum Chordata; class Mammalia; order Primates; family Hominidae; genus Homo; species Homo sapiens. Next base: position 47,817,349 of record NC_000011.10, on the reverse strand, counting down.
AAAAAAAGTTTTTGGCTTCAAATTCATTGTATAAGAGAAGCCCAGTGCTTTACAAAAGGATTCTTTGGCCAACGGTAGTGACTCACACCTGTAATCCCAAAATTTTGGGAGGCTGAAGAGGGAAGATCACTTGAGCCCAGGAGTTTGAGAGCAGCCTGGGCAACAGAGGGAGACCCCATCTCTAAAAAAAATAATAATAATAGAAAAATAGCCAGGTGTGGTGGCATGCACCTGTGGTCCCAGCTACTCAGGAGCCCTAGGTTGGAGGACTGCTTTAGCCCAGGAGGTAAAGGGTATGGTGAGCCTTGATCATGCCACTGCATTCCAGCCTGGGAAACAGAGTGACACCCTATCTTAAAAAAAAAAAAAAAAACTGAAAGGATTTTTTAAGGTTACAAAGGCTTCTGGCTGGGTGCAGTGGCTCACACCTGTAATCTCAGCACTTTGGGAGGCCAAGGGGGTGGATTGCTTGAGCTCAGGAGTTCAAGACCAGCCTGGGTAACATGGCAAGATTCCCATCTCTATTAAAACAACAACAAAAAGTTACATAGACTTTTTTTTTTTTTTTCCCTTTGAGGCAGGGTCTCGCTCTGTTGCCCAGGCTGGAGTGCGGTGGCACGATCTTGGCTCACTGCAACCTCTGCCTCCTGGGTTCAAGTGATTCTCCTGCCTCAGCCTCCCAAGTAGCTGGGACTACAGACGCATGCCACCACACCCGGCTAATTTTTGTAGTTTTTAGTAGAGACAAGGTTTTGCCATATTGGCCAAGCTTGTCTCGAACTCCTGGCCTCAAATGATCCACCCGCCTCAGCCTCCCAAAGTGCTGGGATTATAGGCATGAGCCACCACACCCAGCTTGCATAGGCTTCTTTAAATTACTACTTAGCTTCATGGATGGATTTAAAATACAATAACTCATATAATTGAAAATTATATTAGAATATTTTAGACTGACCTCCCACATAAAACAGAAATGCCTTCTGAGGCTTTTGTGATAGTTATTCAGCCTTTAATTGTCTCTACCTCCACTGACCACTTTGTCACTACCTCTTGTGGGAGTTATTATTCCCAAACTGTGTCATTGAAAAGGAAGCCTCTCTTCTATAAATCAACCCTTCAAGTATTTTAAGAATCTTTCCAGGTCACCTTTCTCCAGACTAAATACACCCAGTTTCTTAACTTTCTCTTGGGTGATGTGTGTTCCAGGTATGCCAAATCTCTATTATATAGTTTTATATTGCCTCTATGTCTTCTAAACTGAAACGTTTTCCATTCAGTTTTGGCTATTATATAGAAGTCTAAAATGTCTTTTAATGTTAGATTTTCTGCCGAGGAACTGAGAGGAATTTGGATCTTTCCTGGAGTGAACTGAAGAAAGAAGTTACTTTAGCTGTTGAAAATGAGGTGAGGCTTGGGTAGAGAAAGAATAAGAATTCCTTCCATCTTGATATAGGGCAGATTGGTACTGACCGAGGAATTACTGGAATTCTTCACTTGACCTTGTTTGTTGGAACATATAAATGTTTAAACCTTTTAACTAGAGAATCAGATACACATTTGCATAGTCTATGGCCTTTAATACGTAAGGAATATTCATTTGGCTGTAGCTTAGTATAATGATATTGGACAATTATGTTTTTTGTGGACAAAGATCCTGAATGGCATCAAAAGTTTAATTTCTTTCATTTCTTCTTTGCCAGCTTCAAGGAAGTGTAACAGAGTATGAATTCTCCCAGGAGGAGTTTCGAAATTTACAACAAGAATTCTGGTGCAAGTTCTATGCCTGTTGTCTTCAGTATCAAGAAGCCCTCTCTCACCCTCTTGCCCTACATTTGAATCCACACACAAACATGGTGTGCCTGCTGAAAAAAGTAAGTGAGCTAAAGCATAGAGAAGACCTTCTTGAGACAGTTCAGTGGCTGTTATAACAAAATGCCTTCAGAAAACAAAAAGTTCAGTGGCTCTTGCCGAATGTTAGTCTGGTGAATGTTGCGGTTAGCATTTAGGACTTTGCATTTGTATTTTTTCCCCTAAAATTGTGATTCATTCATTTAAATAGTTTTCTGTGTTATTCTCTATACTTTTTTTGTATTTTATTGTATTTATTTCTTTTTCTTTTTTTCTCTTTTTTTGAGTTGGAGTCTTGCTCTGTCACCCAGGCTGGAGTGCAGTGGTGTGATCTCAGCTCACTGCAACCTCCGCCTCTGGGATTCAAGCAATTCTCCTGAGTACCTGGGACTACAGGTGTACACCATCACACCCGGCTAATTTTTGTATTTTTAGTAGAGGTGGGGTTTCATCATATTGGTCAGGTGGGTCTTGAACTCCTGTCCTTAGGTGATTCACCCGCCTCAGCCTCCCAAAGTGTTGGGATTACAGGCGTGGGCCACCACACCCGGCCTATTTACTTTTTATATTGAAGTAATTTCCAACTTAAGGTAAGAGTTACAAGAATAGCACAAAGAATTCCTGTATACCCTTCATCTGGATTCATCATTTGTTAACTTCCATATGCTTTTCTTCTTTCTCTAAACAGTTTTTCCTGAACTACTGAGAAGTTAGTTGTAGATATCATGCTCCTTTATCCTTAAATATCCTTAAATATTTCAGCATGTATCTAAGAACACAGATATTAAATAACCACAGCCCAATTTAAAAATCAGGTTATTTGATATTGACATAATATTATACAGCTTATATTCAAATTTTGCCAAATATAACATATATATATATATAGTTTATATTCAGATTTTGCCAATTGTGCCCATAATTTTTTTTCCTGATCCAGGATCCAATCTTTTTTTTTTTTTTGAGACAGTCTTGCTCTGTCGCCCAGGCTAGAGTCCAGTGGTGCAATCTCGGCTCACTGCAACCTCCGCCTACTGAGTTCAAGCGATTCTCCTGCCTATCCTCCAGAGTAGCTGGGATTATAGGCACGCGCCACCACACCTGGCTAGTTTTGTATTTTTAATAGAGACGGAGTTTCGCCATGTTGTGACCAGGCTGGTCTCAAATTCCTGGGCTCAGGTGATCCGCCCACCTTGGCCTCCCAAAGTCCAGGATCCAATCTAATATATGTATTTAGTTATTGTGTCTCTTTAGCTTAACCTCAAACTGTTATCAGCGTTTCTTTGTCTTTCATGAGAATGATGTTATTTGAAGACTATGCTTGTTTCTTTTTTTTGTTTGTTTGTTTGTTTGTTTGTTTGAGGCAGGGTCTTGCTGTGTCACCCAGGCTGCAGTACAGTGGCACTCTTTTTTTTTTTTTTTTTTTTTTTTGAGACAGAGTCTCGCTCTGTCACCCAGGCTGGAGTGCAGTGGCACGATCTCAACACACTGCAACCTCTGCCTCCTGGGTTTATGCCATTCTCCTGCCTCAGCCTCACCAGTAGCTGGGACTACAGGCGCCCGCCACCACACCTGGCTAATTTTTTGTATTTTTAGTAGAGACGGGGTTTCACCGTGTTAGCCAGGATGGTCTCGATCCCCTGACCTCGTGATCCACCCACTTCAGCCTCCCAAAGTGCTGGGATTACAGGCGTGAGCCACTGCGCCCGGCCCAGTGGCACTCTTAAGGCTCACTGCAGCTTCAACCTCCCAGGCTCAGGTGATCCTCCCACCCCAGCCTCCCTAGCAGCTAGAATTAAAGCTGTGTGCCACCACACTTGGCTAATTTTTTTTTTTTAGAGATGGGGTTTCATCATGATGCCCAGGCTGGTCTTGAACTCCTTGGCTCAAGTGATCCTCCCACCTCAGCCTCCCAAACTGCTGGGATCACAGATGTGAGCCACTGTGCCCAGCCAAGACTTACACCTATTATTTTATAGAGTGTATTGCAACTTGGGTTTGCCTCATGATAAGATGCACATCTCAATTATTTTATACCTTTAAAATTTTACTGACAAAAATGTAACTGGAAAATTTGTATTTCCAGGGGTACCTGTCTTTCCTTATTCCCTCATCCTTAGTGGATCATTTGTATCTCCTGCCTTATGAGAACCTTTTGACAGAAGATGAGACAACCATATCTGATGGTAATAGTAATTGTTATGTCCATATTTAATCCCCTTCCTATATAAACCCTATGCTTCGTTTCACATGGATACAAAAAATATCGATTGCCACACCTGTCTTGGTCACTTTACCACACCACAAATATTTTAATGAACACTTAAGAGACCAAAGCATCTCTGAGACCTCAGATAGATTTCTTGTCATTTAATTATTAACATTTTAATGTAATATCAATCAATAGATTGTCATTGGCTTAAGACATAAATGTTAACTTTCTCTTATTTGTAGATGTGGACATCGCTCGGGATGTCATATGTCTTATAAAATGCCTCCGGCTGATTGAAGAGTCAGTAACTGTGGATATGTCAGTTATAATGGAAATGAGTTGTTATAACCTACAGTCTCCGGAAAAGGCTGCAGAGCAGATTCTGGAAGATATGATCACTATTGATGTGTAAGGAGAATTAGGGTAAAGTGCATTTCCTAATGGAAATTCAGCATTTTTAGCGCCAAAGTTGGAATTTTAATGTATGTTCCAGAGCGTACAGAATAGTAGCTTAAAGTCAAACTGATGCGCCATGATTCTAAGTACATATTTCTACTTTTAACAGAAAATTTAACACGACTTCAAGTCTAGAAATAGACTTATAAAATATGCTTTAACAATTAACCGAGCTAAAAATTCTAAAAAGCAAAAGTGTTCTTCTCATGTTTGTTTTGTGTGTTGTTTATGAAAAACTGAGAGGAAATTTGCTATGCATAGGGACTGTATCTTATATGCCAGAGTGATTATCTTCATTCCTTTATCTGGTTCTCTTGTTTCATAATGTATTTAGCTTATAGGACATATAGAACTTGCCTTACGTATTCTCGGTAGTAATAAGAGTTTTGTAATTGTCCTTATAGAGAAAATGTGATGGAGGATATTTGTAGTAAACTGCAAGAGATTAGGAACCCAATCCATGCAATTGGACTACTTATACGGGAAATGGATTATGAAACAGAAGTGGAAATGGAAAAGGGATTCAATCCAGGTAAATGACAGAACAACAAATGTGCCTCTTTGATTAAAACAATGATGCATTCAACTCCATTTTTCTTCTTTTTACAGCTCAGCCTTTGAATATTCGAATGAATCTTACCCAGCTCTATGGTAGTAACACAGCAGGGTATATTGTGTGCAGAGGGGTGCATAAAATCGCCAGTACTCGTTTCCTGATCTGCAGAGATCTTTTGATCTTACAGCAGCTGTTAATGAGGCTTGGAGATGCTGTAAGTACTGCTTGAGGGAAAACTTGTAAAATCTAAAACCTGTTATAGGCCTACAAGCACTTAGGAGCAAAATGTCAGCCCTACTAGCACAGATACTTTTGTCTTGGTTCACTGCTTTATTCTCCCAAGCTTGGCCTTATGAGATGCTCTATAAATATTTTTGAATTAAGAATGAATAAGCATTGTAATCCTTGTGAGAGTATAGATTAAGAGCATATATGGAGGGGACGGTGGGGAGGGAGAACATCAGAAAGAATAGCTAATGGATCCTGGGCCTAATACTTAGGTGTTGGGTTGATCTGTGCAGCAAACCATCATGGCACACGTTTACCTACGTAACAAACCTGCACATCCTGCCCATGTACCCTGGAACTTAACAGTAGATTTTAAAAAACATACATGAAGCAGATTGCTTTACTCTTAACCTTTGTATGTGTAGTAGTGGAAAATTTTCCCAAGTTGGCTCTCCCAAAATGTAGTATTATTAGTAACTATGAATGTGGTAAGCATACCCTTTAGTATGGAGGAAGAAAAAGAAAACTCTTTTTTTTTCCTGTCTCTCTCTCTTTTTTTTTTTTTCTTGAGACAATCTTGCTCTGTTGCCCAGGCTGGAGTGTGGTGGCCTTATCTCAGCTCAAGCAATTCTCCTGCCTCAGCCTCCTGAGTAGCTGGGATTACAGGTGCGTGCCACCGTGTCCGGCTAATTTTTGTATTTTTAGTAGAGACAGGGTTTCACCATGTTGACCAGGCTGATCTTAAACTCCTGACATCAGGTGATCCACCTACCTCGGCCTCCCAAAGTGCTGGGATTACAGGCATGAGCCACCTTGCCCAACCTAAGAACTCTCTACAGTGCAAGGCTTACCCTAAACACAGTTTTGAGATGCAGGTTTATCTTTGTGGTCCTCCTAACTCTATTCTGTGCTTTCTTTTTCATTCTGTTCTTCTTAGACCACCAGACTCTTGTTGCTAATATATAGTCCTAATCACCCACCCTACTGAATGTCCCATGCTAAGAAATTATTTTTCTCCCCACAGTCAGACATCCCATTTTTTTCTAAGTCAGTAATCTCATTTGAGCCTGTCAAAGAAGGAATCTAATTAAACCAATTCATATTAATGTGTAAATAGCCAAAAGTCCTTTGGGGCTCCCATTTTAATTCTGACTTAAAATGTATAAATGTACTTATACATTTTAAGTCAGAATGTATTAACTCAGGCTGGGCACAGTGGCTCACACCTGTAATCCCAGCACTTTGCGAGGCTGAGGTGGGCAGATCACTTGAGGCCAGGAGTTCGAGACCAGCCTGGCCAACATGGCCAAACTCCATGTCTATTAAAACAAAAAAGTTAGCGGGGTCTGGTGGCACACTCCTGTAATCCCAGCCATTCAGGAGGCTAAGGCATGAGAATTACTTGAACCCAGGAGGCAGAGTTTGCAGTGAGGCAAGATTGCACCACTGCACTCCAGCGTGTGTGACAGAGCGAGATTCTGTCTCCAAAAAAAAAAAAAAAGAAATTATAAACCCAGATACATCGCTAATGGTAGAATTTCAAGCAAGAGTAAGAAAAAGGCCAGATGTGGTGGCTCATACCTATAGTCCCAGCACTTTGGGAGGCCAAGGTGGCCTGGTTGCTTGAGCCTAGAAGTTTGAGACCAGTCTGGGCAAACCCTCATCTCTACAAAAAAATACAAAAATTAGCCGGGCATGGTGCAGCAAGCCTGTAGTCCTTGCTACTTGGGAGGCTGAGATGGGAGAATTACCTGAGCCTGGGAGGTTGAGGCTGCAGTGAGCTGTGATTGCGCCATTGCACTTCTGCCTGCATGACAGAGTGAGACCCTATCTCAAAAAAAAGAAAAAAAAAATTGGGAAGATAATTTGTTTAAGATCACCAAGTTGAAAAATGAACCTTTCCTGAAAGTCTGTTAGGTTGGTTAGCCTTTACTAAGTTCTTTTTGATCTATGTAGATTCTTCCATTTTTTTCAGGTTTTTTGTTTTTTAAATTATAACTTTTGTCAATTTTTCTGAACACAGAAGTAATAAGATATTCATTGTAGAACCTTTACAAAATATATATAAGCAAAAATTTAAAAAATTTATAATTTTCTACCCAGTGATTACTACTTAAATTTTGCTATATACGTTTTTTTCCATGCACATTCTTTTTGGTTTGTTTGTGAAATTTAAATAAACTACATAGTATTTTTTGTAATCTGGTTGTTCTGTTCTTCCACTTTATAAATCTCAACATTTTTCTTTTTGTTGCCAGTTTTTCCTTTATGTCCATAATTTTCCGCACATCTTTTTTTTTTTTTTTTTTTTTTTTGAGAGTCTTGCTCTGTAGCCCAGGCTGGAGTGCAGTGGTGCAATCTGCAACCTCCGCCTCCTGGGTTCAAGAAATTCTCATATCTCAGCCTCCCAGGTAGCTGGGATTACAGATGCGCACCACTACACCAGCTAATTTTTATATTTTTAATAGAGATGGGGTTTCGCCATATTGGCCAGACTGGTCTCGAACTCCTGGCCTCAAGTGATCTGCCTGCCTCAGCCTCACAAAGTGCTGGGATTACAGGTGTCAACCACCGTGCCTGGCCACTTTCTGTACATCTTTAATTATATCTCTAGAATAAGTTCTAAAAACTAGAATTTGGTCTACAGGTAATGCACATTTTAAGGCTTTTGGTAGTACTGCCAAATTTGCTTATAATAATGGTCATACCTGTTTTTTTACCCAGCACCAGCAGTATATGAGAGAATTTAGATTTCCCTGTGTCTCTTCAATTCTTTTTTTTTTTTTTTTTTTTGAGACAAGTTCTCACTTCTGTTGTGCCCAGGCTGAAGTGCAGTGGCTCAATCTCGGCCCACTGCAGCCTTGATTTCCTGGGCTCAGTTCAGCTTCCTGAGTACCTGGGACTACAGGCACATACCACCACTCAGGCTAATTTTTTTTTTTCTTTTTTAAGACGGAGTCTTGCTCTGTCACCCAGGCTGGAGTGCAGTGGCGCGATCTCAGCTCACTGCAACATCCGCCTCCTGGGTTCAAGCGATTCTCCTGCCTCAGCCTCCCAAATAGTTGGGAATACAGGCGCCCACCACCATGCCTGGCTAATTTTTGTAATTTTTACTACAGACGGGGTTTCACTGTGTTGTCCAGTCTGGTCTCGAAATTTTGGGTCAAGTGATCTGCCTGCTTCAGCCTCCCAAAGTGCTGGGATTACAGGTGTGAGCCACTGTGCCTGGCCCTCTTCTTTAATTCTGAACCCACAGATTTAATGAAAGTTAAGCTTTTTATTGTTGGTTTCTTTTCATCATGAGCTTCCGTTACTTGGTGAGCTGTTTTTGATTATTTTTTGACTGTTAATGTTTGGGAAGATATTTTGCCACTTGCTACCGTAAAATGTAAAACGTGTTGCTTTTACAGTATTGTGACCTTTGTATTTGTTATTTTATTTTACCTCCACCTGAGCCGTAAGAGTTACCATTACTAATTGCTATAATTTCTTGTCTGGTCCACCTACCCATAATGTATAGGTGATTTGGGGAACTGGTCAGCTCTTTCAAGCTCAGCAAGACCTACTACATCGAACAGCTCCCCTACTCTTATCTTATTACCTCATTAAATGGGGAAGTGAGTGCTTGGCAACTGATGTTCCACTTGACACACTGTGAGTTTCATTATCCCAATTATTTAAAATGTAAATTGTGAGTTTAATTATTTTTCCCCTTGTCTTAAAGGGAAAAAGTTTTAGTGTTTTGTTTTTGTTTTTGTTTTTGTTTTGAGACAGAGTCTCGCTCTCTCTCACCCAGGCCGGAGTGCAATGGCATGATCTCGGCTCACTGCAACCTCCGCCTCCCAGGTTCAAGTGATTCTTCTGCCTCAGCCTCCCAAGTAGCTGAGATTTCAGGCACCTGCCATCATGCCCAGCTAATTTTGTACTTTTGTAGAGATGGGGTTTCACCATGTTGGCCAGGCTGGTCTCAAACTCCTGACCTCAGGTGATTTGCCTGCCTTGGCCTCCCAAAGTGCTGGGATTACAGGCGTGGGCCACCACGCCAGCCGGGAAAAAGATTTTTAACAGGATGCCGTAAAATTATATGCCATTAAGATTCAGAGAGCTTTTTGGTGCCTTTATTTGTTACAGGTTGAAGGCAACTTATAAGAATGAAAATAAGTCACATGTAATCATAGACTGTATGTATGTGTACAAATAAATTATGTATTATACTTATGTACTACACGTTTGTGTGTACATATAAATTATGTTGAATATAAAATACGATGAAACCAGAAGGAAAGACCATACACAAAATGTTACGCTTGTTACTTTAGGTAGGCTGAGCTTCTTTATAGCCAAATCCAAGAATTACAAGATTCACTTTTTTTTTTTTCTTGGAGATGGAGTTTCGCTCTTGTTGCCCATGCTGGAGTGCAATGGTGCGATCTCGGCTCACTGCAACCTCCACCTCCCTGATTCAAACAATATTGCTGCCTCAGCTTCCAGAGTAGCTGAGTTTAGAGGCGCCTGCCATCACACCTGGCTAATTTTTGGTATTTTTAGTAGAGGTGGCGTTTCACCATGTTGGCCAGGCTGGTCTTGAACTCCTGACCTCAGGTGATCCACCCGCCTCAGCCTCCCATAGTGCTGGGATTACAGGCATGAGCCACCACACCCCGCCGAGATTCACATTTTCAATAAGATAAACCATCCTGTTTGCTCTGGCTCCTCATTGAAGGGTCACGAAGTGATATTATGGGCAACAATCTATATTATAATGATTTCCAATTTTTTTTGTGCTTTCAGTGGAGCTTTTATGTGCAATTTATTAATTAAATTGACAGTGTTCTTCGTAGAAGAGCTTGTAGAAGTAATGTTTAGCATAGGAGAATTTACTAAGCTGTCTTTTCCCCTTTTCTCACAGGGAGTCTAATCTCCAACACTTATCAGTACTGGAATTAACAGACTCTGGTGCTTTAATGGCAAATAGGTTTGGTAAGGAGTGGACTATGTACACATTTCATTTTAAACTGGGGATTTATTGCATATTCATTAAAGTGGTCTTTTGCCACCTTTGCCATAGAAAGGTTGGCTAGGCTCTTTGCTTTCAGAAGGCATGAGTAAGCTGTGGCCTGAGATCTCCGTTTGTGGCATGGGGTCTGTGAAACTGTAGTACCAGATCAGGCATATGTTAAGGATATGGTATATATATGTGTGTGTGTGTGTGTGTGTGTGTGTGTGTGTGTGTGTGTGTGTGTGTGTGTGTGTGTGTGTATAGCTGCTTTCCCATTCTGTTTTGATGCTCCAGTGATTAACAAAATCATTTAAAAATTTATTCGTTCATGGTAACTTTTGTAATCTTAGTCAACAGATATTTAAAAGTATCCCTCATGTTTGAAAACCATTATTCTGGAGAATTTATTTTGTATTGTTCTGGTATAAAAGTTGAAATCCTGGGGCTAATTGTATTTATCATGAAGAATTTCTAGGGAAGGCACTTAAGTCTTGTGAGATCAGTGAAAAGAAATGACTATAACTTTGATGTGAATGGTGTTTTTATTGCATTTTTATAGTGCCTCACAATTTACAGACTACTTTTATTTATATTGCCACTGGATATATACCCGTGATACATTTTCTGTTTTGAAGTGCTAAATTGTTTGTTACAAGCATAAAATGAATTGATAGACTATTTTAATTGAAAATTGATAATTACCACTACACAAAACTGTCATAACTTTTTCTTTTTAAGTATCTAGTCCTCAGACTATTGTGGAGTTATTCTTCCAAGAAGTTGCAAGAAAACACATTATATCTCACCTCTTCTCTCAGCCAAAGGCACCTCTGAGCCAAACTGGATTGAATTGGCCTGAAATGATTACTGCAATTACCAGTTATTTATTGCAGCTTTTGTATCCTTTTATTTAGAAGCCAGTGAAAAGCTCTCTTCTGGCCGGGCATGTTGGCTCACACCTGTAATCCCAGCACTTTGGGAGGTGGAGGCAGGTTTATCACTTATGGCCAGAAGTTCGAGACCAGCCTGGCCAACATGGTGAAACCCCACCTCTACTAAAAATACAAAAATTAGTCAGGCGTGGTGGCCTGCACCTGTAATCCCAGCTACTCGGAAGGCTGAGACTTGCTTGAACTTGGGAGGTGGAGGTTGCAGTGAGCCAAGCTCGCGCCACCACACTCCAGCCTAGGCGGCAGAGCAAGACTCCTTCTCAAAAAAAAAAGCAGCTCTCTTCTATCTAAATAGTCTAAGGTTCTTATTCTGCCTATGTAATGAAATACCTAGGTCTGTTTTAAGACATTATTCGGCCAGGCGCAGTGGCTCACGCCTGTAATCCCAGTACTTTGGGAGGCAGAAGCGGGCAGATCACGAGGTCAGGAGATCGAGACCATCCTGGACAACACGGTGAAACCCTGTCTCTACTAAAAATACAAAAAAAAATTAGCCAGGCATGGTGGCAGGCGCCTGTAGTCCCAGCTACTTGGAAGCTGAGGCAGGAGAATGGCATGAACCCAGGAGGCGGAGCTTGCAGTGAGCCGAGATTGCGCCACTGCACTCCAGTCTGGGCAACAGAGTGAGACTCCGTCTCAAAAAAAAAAAAAAAGACATTATTCATTTGGCTGGGTGCTGCAATGGCTCATGCCTATAATCCCAGCACTTTGGGAGGCCAAGGCGGGCAGATCACTTGAGGCCAGCAGTTCAAGACCAGCCTGACCAACATGGTGAAACCTCGCCTCTACAAAAAAATACTAAAATTAGCTGGGCTTGGTGGCATGCGTCTGTAGTCCCAGCTACTCAGGAGGCTGAGGGAGGAGAATCACTTGAACCTTGGAGGCAGAGGTTGCAGTGAGCTGAGATCATGCCCCTGCACTCCAGCCCTGGCGACAGAGTGAGACTCTGTCTCAAAAAAAAAAAAGACATTCATTCAACAAATATTTATTGAATGACTCTATATGCCAGGTACCATGTTATGTGCTGGATGTCCACTGGCACCAATACTGTGTTCTGCGGTACACCAGCTGGAATTGAAAATGAACACCCAGGAATGAAATACAGGCTTTTAAAAATTTATTTATTTTTAGAGACAGGACTCTTATGTGTTGCCCAGGCTGGTCTTGATTTCCTGGGCTCAAGCAGTCCTCCCACCTTACCCTTCCAAAGTACAGGGATTGCAGGAGTGAGCCACCGTGCCTGGTGAAATAGATGCTTTATTCCATAGTTATCTGAGTTCTAAGCACTATAACAAGTCTCCTGGTATAAAAGTAACTGTTTAACTGTATTCTAGTGATGATGAAAGAACATGTGGTTGGCCAACTTCTCTGCCTTGTTTATGTAAATTAAGCTATTTTATGGACTTTTCTGAATTTGATGCCCAATGTATATGTTTAAGATTTGCCAACAAAAATTAAGAAATATCCTTAACCAATGACTAGATGGCCTAGCAATCCTGGTTGTCTCTTTCTAGAATGTTTGATGGGAAATTGCCAATATGTACAATTGCAGGTGAGTTCCTTTGAACATTTCATGTCTACACATTCTTGTAAAGCATGGGATTGCTGAATTTTTTTCTTTGTAAATGTTAACTGCATTTTAAAGAACCACAATAATTTAAACTTGATTATGTGAAGACATACCCCAAAGAGATTGTTCTCTATTTCTATACCATCCTGAACTTGCTTGATTTTGTCTGATCTACGAAGCTAAATAGGGTTGGGCATGGTTAGTACTTGGCTGAGAGAATACCTGGTTCTAAAGGCTTTTAAAGAAAGTAATAAAATAAATTTTTAAAGAGAGAGATTTTTCTCTACTTCTCTCTGGACAGTATAATTCCTAACGTGATTTTTTCTAGAGTATCTTTTTTTTTTTTTCCTGAAACGGAGTCTCACTCTGTTGCCCAGGCTGGAGTGCAGTGGCATGATCTTGGCTCACTGCAGCCTCCACCTCCTGGGTTCAAGCAATTCTCCTGTCTCAGCCTCCCGAGTAGCTGGGATTACAGGCACGTGCCACCGCGCCCAGCTAATTTTTGTATTTTTAGTAGTGACTGGGTTTCACTATGTTGGCGAGGCTGGTCTCGAACTCCTGACCTCAGGTGATCCACCCGTCTCCCCAGAGTGCTGGGATTACAGGCATGAGCCACCGTGCCTGGCCTCTAGAGTGTCTTTTTAAGAATTTGTCTCTGCTAGGTTTTCTTCATAGTAATTCAAATGTACTATTGTTTTCATATAAATCCTTTACTGGAATCTAGTCATTGAACCAATAAATACCAAAAATTGGAAAATTGCTGAGATGTAAAGTATGTGTATGTGTGTTACTGGACTCCTGTTTGTGTAAGGAAAGGGGGAATGGATGAAGAAGGAAGGCAACAGGGGTAGGTTTTAATATCAGAATTATGTCAGGAAATAAAACATTTGTTCAAACACTGTCTTTTCATCCTCTGTGACGAATAACTTGGGAATGAGTATCTCCTTAAGTAACATTTATTTTCTAATCAGAAAGCACCTTTTATGCCTTTAAGGATTATATTCAACTGCTACATCCCTGGTGTCAAGTCAATGTTGGTTCCTGTCGATTTATGCTGGGAAGGTGTTACCTAGTTACAGGAGAAGGACAGAAGGTAAACTACATTTGAATGGCAAATAAACTTTATAAACTTTAACGCAAGGAAGTTGCTTAGCTTCCATTTGACTAGGTTTTAGGGGATGGGAGACATAGAATCCTCTACATAAAGTTAAAGAAGACTGTACTAATGCCAGTCAAAGGCATTATATACATGTAAGGACTACTTTCTTGTATTCTGCAATTTAGATAGGACTCAGGAACATAAGAAAATATTAGAACTCTCCTGCCCCTGTGTGTTTTTAGAGATTCCTTTTATTATTATTATTATTATTATTATTATTATTATTATTTTGTAAAATCAGGGTCTCACTATGTTGCACAGGCTGGACTCAAGCGATCCTCCCACCTTGGCCTCCCCCAGTGCTGGGATTACAGGCATAAGCCACCGCGTTTGGCCAGGATACATTTTTATAAATCAAACTTATTTACTTATTTTATTATTTCTTTTAGACAGGGTCTTGCTCTGTCACCCAGACTGGAGTGCAGTGGTGTAATCAACAGCTCACTGCTGCCTCAACCTCCTGGGCTCAAGTGATTCTCCTACCTCAGCCTCTCAAGTAGCTGAGGTACTTGGAGGCTACAGGCGTGAGCCACCATTCCTGGCTAATTTTTTAATTTTTTGTAGAGATGGGGTTTTCCCATGTTGCCCAGGCTGGTCACGAACTCCTGGGCTCAAGTGATCTGCCCACCTCAGCCTCCCAAAGTGTTGGGACTACAGGCATGAGCCACTGCACACAGCCCAAATTTACTTATTAATTACATTTTTTTTATTGTTTTATGCTGCTTTTTTCTCGTTATGTAGTTTAAAGTTTTAATTTTTTCCCTGATGTTCTATTACATAAATTTTCAAACAGACAGGAAAGTTTAAAGACTTTTTACAGTGAACAGTATATACCTATCACTCAAATTCTACAATTGTTAACATATTGCTACAGTTGCCTTATTATGTATGTATGTGTCAATCATCTTATTAAGGTTTACTTTCTTTTTTTTTTGGAGACAGTCTTGCTCTGTCACCCAGGCTGGAAGGCTAGACTGCAGTGGCATGATCTTAGCTCACTGCAACCTCCGCCCACCAGGTTCAGGCGATTCTGCTGCCTCAGCCTCCTGAGTAGCTGGGATTACAGGTGCACGCCACCACGCCCGGCTAATTTTTGTGTTTTTAGTAGATATGGAGTTTCACCGTGTTGGTCAGGCTGGTCTCAAACTCCTCACCTCGTGATCCACCCGCCTCAGCCTCCCGAAGTGCTGGGATTACAGGCGTGAGCCACCCCACCCGGCCAATGTTTACTTTTTAATTGGTAGCACTTAAGTGTGAGATACATTTTTAAAAATATGAATGCATCACATAGAATTCATATGTGTCAGAAACTATACATAGAGTAGACCATGTTAAGTAATCTTGTTTCTTTTTTGGCTTTCCCTTACATGTGAACCCCTGATTCATAGCACCTAGAATTTGAATGATCTGTTACAAGTCATTTTATATTTTATTTCTCCAGGCTCTGGAATGTTTTTGTCAGGCAGCATCTGAAGTAGGCAAAGAGGAATTCTTGGATCGCTTGATTCGCTCAGAGGATGGGGAGATCGTGTCTACCCCCAGGCTGCAGTATTATGACAAGGTACATCATGTCTTGGTTTGGCCTTATACCACCCTGTGTAAAAACACATCTGAAATACATTGCTTTGCTATTTTTGGAGAAAAATACTATAAAAATTCAGTTGCTCCCTGAACTTCCAAATTTAAAAAAAATGAATTTGCCTAGAGAAATTAAAGAAACATGGCCGGGCACGGTGGCTCATGACTGTAATCCCAGCACTTTGGGAGGCCAAAGCAGGCAGATCACCTGAGGTCAGGAGTTTGAGACCAGCCTGGCCAACATGCCAAAACCCTGCCTCTACTAAAAATACAAAAATTAGCCTGGCGTGGTGGCGGGTGCCTGTAATCCCACCTACTTGGGAGGCTGAGGCAGGAGAATCACTTGAACTTTGAGGTGGAGGTTGTAGTGAGCCAAGATCGTGCCACTGCACTCTAGCCTGGGTGACAGAGCGAGACTCCGTCTCCAAAAAAAAACAAAAAGAAATTAAAGAAACATATTTTAAGTTAAAATTTTTTCCCAGGATCTATAATTAGGGTTAAATGGTGAAATGTAATAAATACTTTTAACTGAAATGAAATTTTCGTCATGGTATTTTATTAGCCCAGTTGCCATTAGAATTTTATTATTTAATTTGCACTTTACTAGTCTTGCTGATATTTCTGGGAATTGACTAGTAATGCTGTATTTAGCCTTAGTTTATAATTTGGACTTGAGGGTCCTCTTGACCTGTTTCCTGCCCCTCTTTCCTCTGGTCACTCCATTGTAACAATGGTGACCTTCTTACTGTCTCATTCAAGTCAAGCGCATGCTCTATTCTCTTAGGGCCTTTCTGCCTGCTGTTCTGTCAGCCTGAAATGCCCTTCCTCACACCCTCATTCCATTCAGGTCTCTGCTTATCTGTCACCTCCTCAGATAGTGCCCTCTGCCTGGCCTGTGCAGAAAAGCTTTTTTATTCATCCTGTTGTGCACACTTCCAGATTGTATAACATTTCACCATACTTGATTTTATATTTTAGACTAGAATTTATCTGGATTTCCCACCAGAAAGTAAATGCCACAGAAGCAGTCTTCACTGTTTTGTTAATTGCTTATTAGATAAATGAATTTACACTGAAGTAGATTTGTAGCTCTTAATAACCCTTGGCCGGACGCGATGGCTCACACCTGTAATCCCAGCACTTTGGGAGGCTGAGGTGGGCGGATCACGAGGTCAGTAGTTCGAGACCAGCCTGACCAACATGGTGAAACCCATCTCTACTAAAAGTACAAAAATTAGCCGGGCGTGGTGGTGTGCGCCTGTAATCCCAGCTACTTAGGAGCCTGAGACAGGAGAATCACTTGAACCCAGGAGGCGGCGGAGGTTGCAGTGAGCTGAGATCGTGCCACTGCACTCCAGCCTGGATGACAAAACAAGACTCCACCTCAAAAAAAAAAAAGAAAAAAACCCTCTACTTTCCTACTAATGACAATTCTTTTGAATTCCAGTACAGCCTGGGTGACAGAATGAGACCCTGTCTCAAAATTAAAAAAAAGTATTATGTGCTTTATATAATCGTATATACTATACTTTTTTTTTTTTCCTTTTTTTTTTGAGACGGAGTCTGTTGCCCAGTGCAGTAGTGCGATCTGGGCTCACTGCAACCTCCGTCTACCAGGTTGAAGCGATTCTCCTGCCTCTGTGTCCCAGGTAGCTGGGATTACAGGTGTGCACCACCACACCCCACTAATTTTTGTATTTTTGGTAGGGACAGGGTTTCACCATGTTGGCCAGGCTGGTCTCGAACTCCTGGCCTCTAGTGATCCACCTGCCTCGGCCTCCCAAAGTGCTGGGATTATAGGCATGAGCCACAGTGCCTGGCCATGCTGTACTTTTTATATGACTGGCAGCACAGTAGGTTTGTTTACACCAGCATCACCACAAACACGTGAGCGATACATGCGGTGGCTATGATGTCACTAGAAGATAAGAATTTTCCAGGTCCATTATAGTGGGTGCAGTGGCTCACGCCTGTAATCCCAACACTTTGAGAGGCTAAGGCAGGAGGATCACTGGAGCCTAGGAGTTTGAGATTAGCCCAGACAACATAGGAAGACCCCATCTCTACAAAAAATTAAAAAATTACCTGGGCATGGTGGTGCATGCCTGTGGTCCCAGCTGCTCAGGTGGCTGAGATGGGATGTTCACTTGAGCCCAGGAGGTCAAGGCTACACTGAGCTATGATCATGCCACTGCACTCCAGCCTGGGCAACAGAGCAGGACCCTGTCTCAAAAAATTAATAAAAATAATTTTAAAACTTTTTATTTTATCTTCATCCTTTATAAATGCGTATTTTGGATGTATCATACATATGTATTAGAGAATTGCACGTATATGAGATAGGGAAATGTGCATGGTTAGGGTAGCGGGCAGACGTTGACAGGGTGGACAATCAAAAATGTTTGTCAGGCCGGGCACAGTGGCTCACGCCTGTAACCTTAGCACTTTGGGAAGCTGAGGCAGGCAGATCACCTGAGGTCAGGGGATCAAAACCACTCTGACCACCATGGTGAAACCCCATCTCTACTAAAAACACAAAAATTAGCTGAACGTGGTGGGGCATGCCTGTAATCCCAGCTACACAGGAGGCTGAGGCAGGAGAATCACTTGAACCCAGGAGGTAGGGGTTGCAGTGAGCCGAGATCACACCATTGTGCTCCAGTCTGATTGACAGAGACCCTGTCTCAAAAAAAAAAAGGATTATGTCAGTCATTTAGTAAATTATCTTTAGGGTTTTTATAAAACTATGGTGTTTATTTACTATTCTTTACATTCATCTGTGACTTGAACAGTTAGTAGTGAAATCGTATTTATTCTTTCATTCAACAAGCTTGCTTTTTTTTTTTTTTTTTAATAATAGAGATGGGGTCTCGCCGTGTTGGTCAGAATGACAGGTGTGAGCCACCAGACCCAGCCTCAACAAGTATTTACGGAGAGACTACTGTATACTAGGCACTGAGGATAGAGACAGGGTCGTGCTATACCACCCAGGCTGAAATGCAGTGGCAGGATTAAAGTTCACTGCAACCTTGAACTCCTGGGTTCAAGCAGTCTTTCCACCTCAGCCTCCCAAGTCGCTACAACTACAGGCGCATGCCACCACACGCAGCTAATTTTTAAAAAAATTTTTTTGTAGAGATGGGGGTCTTGCCATATTGCCCAGGCTGGCCTTGAGCAATCCTGCTGCTTCAGCCTCCCAGAGTACTGGGATTGGAGGTGTGA
Organism: Homo sapiens; assembly: GCF_000001405.40. NCBI lineage: Eukaryota > Metazoa > Chordata > Mammalia > Primates > Hominidae > Homo > Homo sapiens. The sequence continues at coordinate 47,798,571 of NC_000011.10, read as the reverse complement.
GCCACCATGCCGGCCTACTTAACCTTTCTCAATAATTTTAAACCATAATTGAGTTTGAAGTACATTACAATATTAATTTTAATGGAAATTTCTTCTATTTCTCGTTAGGTTTTACGACTACTAGATGTCATTGGTTTGCCTGAACTGGTTATTCAGTTGGCTACATCAGCCATAACTGAAGCAGGTGATGACTGGAAAAGTCAGGTAAGAATTGGCTGCAATTTGGTTGTTTTCTTTAAGGTTTGTTGTGGGTGTGGTATGTTCATTTCTATTGCTCTTTTTGATATTTGATCTACATTTGATATTTAGGCTACTCTAAGGACATGTATTTTCAAACATCATTTGGATTTGGGTCACAATAGCCAAGCATATGAAGCCTTAACCCAAATTCCTGATTCCAGCAGGTAATTTCATGGCCTTTTTTAGAGAAGACAATTTACCAACTCTGTTTAACCTACTAAGATAGTTTGCCCTCATATTCCTTTCTTTCCTTCTAGGCAATTAGATTGTTTACGGCAGTTGGTGGTAGTTCTTTGTGAACGCTCACAGCTACAGGATCTTGTAGAGTTTCCCTATGTGAATCTGCATAATGAGGTAATTTTACTTATCCAGTGATGGCTTTCAACAAGTATGGTGGTTGCCATGATTGCTACTGACTTAGTTATCTGATTGCTTCCCCTTCCCTAGGTTGTGGGAATAATTGAGTCACGTGCTAGAGCTGTGGACCTTATGACTCACAATTACTATGAACTTCTGTATGCCTTTCACATCTATCGCCACAATTACCGCAAGGGTGAGCAATGTAACCAGACAGTATCTTGCAGACAGCCTTATTAGTTTAATCATGTTTTACCAAAATATTGTGTGTTGGACTTAGGTAATTTTTAATATGTGTTTAAGTACAAGATTAGCTTAAACCTTGTGAAGATTACCTTGAAGATAGGCCCTTGCTTCCATTCTAGAACTTTCTCAAGGCGTTGCCACTAAAATGGCATTCTGTGTGCATCTTCTGTACAATTATAAAGGAAATTAGCACTGGGCGCAGTGGCTTACACCTGTAATCCTAGCACTTTGGGAGGCCAAGGCAGGTGGATCACCTGAGGTCAGGAGTTCGAGACCAGCCTGGCCAACATGGCGAAACCCCTTCTCTACTAAAAATACAAAAATTAGCCATATGTGGTGGTGGGCACCTGTAATCCCAGCTACTCAGGAGGCTGAGGCAGGAGAATTGCTTGAACAGGGTGGGGCGGGGGGCGGAGGTTACAGTGAGCCAAGATCACGCCACTTCACTCCATCCTGGGCGAAAAGCAAAACTCCGTCTCATAAATAAATAAAGGAAATTAGCTTTTTCACTAGAGACAGCATGAATTTTTGAGACTGGGTTTGAGTTCCTGTGCTATTTCACCATTAGCCTTCTCCCTTTCCACATTTCAGTTCTTAGAGCAAAATTCTGACTGCTTAAATGTGCTTAGGTTATGAGTATAATAGATGATATTCCGCATTAGCTGTGGTTAGATTGTCCCACATCCCCTCAATTAAATGCAAAGTCCTTAAAGAGGGGACTAAAATTTACATTTAGGGTTGGGCGCGGTGGCCCACGCCTGTAATCCCAGTACTTGAGGAGGCTGAGGCAGGTGGATCGCTTAATGTCAGGAGTTCGAGACCAGCCTGGCCGACATGGTGAAATCCCCTCTCTACTGAAAATACAAAAAATAGCCGGGCATGGTGGCGGATGCCTGTAATCTCAGCTACTCTTGAACCCAGAAGGTGGAGGTTGCAGTGAGCCAAAATCATGTCACTGCACTCCAGCCTAGGTGACAGAGCGAGACCCTGTCTCAAAAAAAATTACATTTAGAAGTTATCAAATGATATCCTGGTGAATTCTTTTTTCTTCATTCAACTTTTTAATGTAAAATTTGTCAAGTCTACAGAAAAGTTAAAACATTAACGCAGTGAATATCACCCTATATACCTTTCATCCAAATTCCCCAACTGTTAATATTTTACATCATTTTCTTATCTCCTCTTCCCTCCTTTCCTTTCTTCCCCCTTCCTTCCTCTCTCTCTCAATATCTATTTATTTATTTACTTACTTGTTTGTTTTTGCTGGTCCTTCTGGGAGGAAGTTAAAGACATCATGATTTTTTTAATGTCATCAGTTATTTAATTAGGTTCTTCTTAAGACATTTAGAACAGCAATTTGTAAGGATAAATTCCATTTGTCAGGGCAAACACAGATCACAGGTAGCCCTGGAGCTAAGGAATAGCTTTGATTTTTGGTAAAATTTGTGAGTCCACAGCTTTCTGATTGATCCTACTGTGCTCTGTAATCTCGTATTTCTCTTTTTCTGTGTGGAAGATCTCACCTTCCTGGTGTCTGGGCTTCCGCAGCTGCTCCTTTTTTTTTTTTTTTTTTTTTAGATGAAGTCTCACTCCGTTGCCCAGGGTAGAGTGCAGTGGCACCGTGTCTGCTCACTGCAACCTCCACCTCCCAGGTTCAAATTATTCTCCTGCCCCAGCCTCCCGAGTAGCTGGGATTACAGGTGCCTACCACCACGCCCGGTTAATTTTTTTATATTTTTAGTAGAGACGGGGTTTCACCATGTTGGTCAGGCTGGTCTTGAACTCCTGACCTCAGGTGATCCACCCACCTCCATTTCCCAAAGTGCTGGAATTACAGCCGTGAGCCACTGCGCCTGGCCAATAATGTTTTTTATAGCGCATCCCTCACATACTGCCCTCACCCTGGATCTAGAATACACACTGCATTTAGTTGTGCGATGTCTTTAGGCTCCTTTAATCTGGAGCCTCACTTTGCCTTTGATGACATTGATATTTTTGAAGCATGTAGGTCAGTCATTTTTGTAGAATGTATCTTAATTTGGACTTACATTATCAATGAATTATTTATCAGAACAGCTAAAATGAACGGAATGTGAGCGGAATGTGAGATTGTTTTAAGATTATATTTTACAATATAATCACTGTGGAATGTCTAACATTTTTGTACCATTTTTACTTAGAATTTTCTTTGGTTTCTTGCTGATTTTCATTGGAAAAAAGTAGATGGGGTTTATTCATAGGCAGGTTCTTAACATTCCTAATAGTAAAACATATTTGCATATTCTTTATTTTCTTGAATCATATAGGAAGGGAAATAAAAATTATTAAAGATCTCTCAGTATCTGCTTTCACAATAACATTATATCAACCTGCTTAGTACCAGTTTAGCAAGATTAATGTTCAGGTTTTTCTAGAGCAAGGCTGTTCTTCTGAAAGCGCCTTACATATTGCAGGTATTCAAAAATATTTGTTGAAATGAAAAATAGCTTTATTTGAAAACTAAAAGAATTTTTAATGATATTTTAATTTCTGGAGTCCCATGCTGTTCCAGAACAATGGACTTTTCAGAATCTTATTGAATATGTGCAACTAAAGTATTATAAAAATGAGAATCTATGTTCTTTTTTTTTTGAGACAGTCTCACTCTATCGATCAGCCTGGAGTGCAGTGTCTCGATCTCGGCTCACAGCAACCTCCACTTCCAGGTTCAAGCAATTCTCCTGCCTCAGCCTCTCAAGTAGCTGGGATTACAGGCACCTACCACCATGCCCAGCTAGTTTTTGTTTTGTTTTGTTTTTGTTTGTTTGTTTGTTTTCGAGACAGAGTCCCGCTCTGTCGTCTAGGCTGGAGTTCAGTGGCATAATCTCGGCTCACTGCAACCTCCGCCTTCCCAGGTTCAAGCGATTCTCCTGCCTCAGACTCCTGAGTAGCTGGGACTGCAGGCATGCACCACCACGCTCGACAATTTTTTTTGCATTTTTAGTAGAGAGAGGGTTTCACCATGTGTTGGTCAGGCTGGTCTTGAACTCCTGACCTCAAAATGATCCACCCGCCTCAGCTTCCCAAAGTGCTGGGATTACAGGCATGAGTCACCACACCCAGCCCCTAATTTTTGTATTTTTAGTAGAGACGACGTTTCACCACGTTGGTCAGGCTGGTCTTGAATTTCTGGACTTGGGTGATCTGCCCACCTCTGCCTCCCAAAGTGCTGGGATTACAGGCGTGAGCCACTGTGCCCAACTGTTTTTGTTTTTGAGACGGAGTCTCGCTCTGTCGCCCAGGCTGGAGTGCAGTGGCGCAATCTCGGCTCACTGCAAACTCCACCTCCCGGGTTCACGCCATTCTCCTGCCTCAGCCTCCTGAGGCTGCCACCATGCCTGGCTATTTTTTTGTATTTTTAGTAGAGACGGGGTTTCACCCTGTTGGCCAGGATGGTCTCGATCTCCTGACCTCATGATCCGCCCGTCTTGGCCTCCCAGAGTGCTGGAATCACAGGCATGAGCCACCGCGCCCGCTATCTTGACCATTTTTAAGTGTACAGTTTGGGAGTGTTAAGTGCATTCACAATATTGTGTAACCAATCTCCAGAACACTTTTCATCTTGCAAAACTGAAGCTATATACCCATTAAACAACTACTTGTTCCTCCCAACCCCGATTCCCTGGCAACCACCATTTTACCACCCATCTCTATGAATTTGGCTGCTTGAATCATATAGTATGTGTCTTTTTGTGACTGTCTTATTTCACCTAGCATAATGTCTTCAAGGTTCATCCTTGTAGTGGCGTCAGAATTTTCTTCTTTAAAAATGTCTTTAAAAATTAGCCAGGTGTGGTGGTGGGCGCCTGTAATCCTGGCTACTTGTGGGGCTGAGGCAGGAGAATCGCTTGAACCCAGGAAGCAGAGATTGCAATGAGCTGAGACCGCACCATTGCATGCCACCTTTGGCAACAAGAACAAAACTCCGTCTCAAAAAAAAAAAAAAAAAAAAAAAAAAAAAAAAAAACAGATATCTTACAGATAATTAAATGATTTTCTGTTGTATTTATATGTCAAATTTTGTTCATCCATCAATGGACACTTGGATTGCTTTCACCTTTGGCTATTGTGGATAATGCTGCTATGAACATGGGTGTAGAAATATCTCTTTGAGACCCCTCTTTTCATTCTTTGGGGTATATACCCAAAAGTGGAATTACTGAATGACATGATAATTTCACTTTTAATTTTTTGAGGAACTGCCATACTGTTTTCCATAGCAGCTGCACCATTTGACATTCCCAGCAACAGTACAAAAGGGTTCCAGTTTTTCCACATCCTCACCAACATGTGATTTTGGGGAGGGGGGGCAGGGGTTACATCAAACCCAATTTTGTTTTAAATTTTAACATTTGATTAGGGATAGCATTCTCCCTGCGTATCTCTAGAGAAACAAATTTTGGAAGGCTGGGTGTGGTGGCTCACACCTGTAATCCCAGCACTTTGGGAGGCTGAGGTGGGCGGATCACGAGGCCACAAATTCGAGACCAACATGGTGAAACTCTCTACTAAACTCTCTACCAAAAATACAAAAATTAGCCGGGCGTGGTGGTCGTGTGCCTATAATCCCAGCTACTCAGGAGGCTGAGGCAGGAGAATCGCTTGAACCAGGGAGGCGGAGGTTGCAGTGAGCTGAGATCAAGCCATTGCACTCCAGCCTGGGCGACAGAGCAAGACTCTGTCTCCAAAAAAAAGAAAAAAAAATTTGGAAGTTCTAAAGTCTAATTTATTATCTCCTCATAGCTGGCACAGTGATGTTTGAGTATGGAATGCGGCTTGGCAGAGAAGTTCGAACTCTCCGGGGACTTGAGAAACAAGGCAACTGTTATCTGGCTGCTCTCAATTGTTTACGACTTATTCGTCCAGAATATGCGTGGATTGTGCAGCCAGTGTCTGGTGCAGTGGTATGAAAACATTTCATCCTGGAATTTGGGGGTTCATCCTGGAACAAGTAAATCTACTTGTTTTGGTCCTTTCAAAACTATTGTGTCATTTTGCTTCTTTTGATTTACAATTTCTACTGAGATATTTGTGAAAAAAATCTATGTTTACAATTCAATTGTTGTATATTACTACCCCTTTAGTTTTCAAGTTCAGAATTATTGTAGGAAGAAATATTGCAGAGTGGTTTTGGAGTTAGACCTGACCCAATTCAGACAAGTTACTTAATCTTTTGTCATTCTCTGGCATAAAATACGGATAATATCTACTTTATAGGATTGTTTGGGTATTAATGAGATAATTCAAGTCGATTGCTTAGAACAGTAACAGTGCCTGGCCCACAAACTGTGCTCAGTAAATGGTAGCTGCTTTTATTTCTATTGTGTTTGTTAATGCAGTCTACAGTTACTGTTTTAAAGGACACACACTTTGAGTTTTTCCTATCATACTGATGGGTCAGATACATGCAGCTGTTTCTGTTATATATAACTCTGGAGCCGAGAAAAATTAGTTGATTTACATGGAGATCAAATCCCTGTCCTTGGACTCAGTAATATGTTATGGTTAAGTTAACAACTTGGCAAAGAACTTCTTTCTTTGTCTCATAGTTACAGTACCTCTGTAAGAAGAGCTCTGCTGGTCGAAACAAAAATAATTTCCATTGAGAAAATTTAAGCATAAAAGCTATGAATCACCGTTAATGATATCAGAATAAAATACTGATTTTCACAGTTAAATTGCTTGTTTTGTTTTATCAGTATGATCGCCCTGGAGCATCCCCTAAGAGGAATCATGATGGAGAATGCACAGCTGCCCCCAGTGAGTCAGGAGTCTCACACTGGTTCTTTGCTAGACAGTAGTAATGTTGTTATTGTTAGTTGTATTATGATAGAAATATGTAGTTAAATAAGCTACATATAATAGTAATATATAAATGTTATAGTAGTAACAGTTGCCCTTGTAAAACACAAGTTTTAACTGCAGGCACCTATTATACACAGATTTTTGTTTTCAATAAGTATATTGGATTCTTTTTCTGGAGATTGTCACAATTTGAAAAAACTCCCAGTTGAACCACATAGCCTAGAAATATTGAAAAAGTTAAGGAAGCCGGGTGTGGTGGCTCACACCTGTAATCCCAGCACCTTGGGAGGCCGAGGCAGGTGGATCACCTGAGGTCAGGTGTTCAAGACCAGCCTGGTCAGTGTGGCGAAACCCCATCTCTACTAAAAATACAAAAATTAGCTGGGCAGTAGTGGCCCTCACCTGTAATCCCAGCTACTCAGGAGGCTGAGGCAGGAGAATTGCTTGAATCCAGGAAGCAGAGGTTGCCGTGAGCACACATCGTGCCACTGCACTCCAGCCTGGGCAACAGAGTAAGACTCCGCCTCAAAAAAAATAATGTTTAGTGGGACCCATACGAAGTGTCACTAGTGACGCTGGAAGTGCTCCCAAAGAGCAGAAAAAAGTCATAACATGACAAGAAAGAGTTGAACTGCTTGATGTCTACTGTAGATTGAGGCCGGCAGCTGAGGTTGCCTGCCATTTCAAGAAAAATGAATCCAGTGTAAGGAACATTGTAAAAAAAAAGAAGAGAAAATTTGTGAAGCTGTTGCTTCAGCTTCGCCAGTAGGTACAAAAACCTTGTGCTTTTTGCAAAATATATTTTTATCTCATATTGAAAATCCAGCTTTTATGTGGGTACAGTATTGCTATAAAAAAAGGCATATCTATAGACTCTAACATGATTTGCAAAACAAAGGTTATTATACAACAACTTAAAGCAAAAGGAAGGTAAAAGATCTAAAGCTGGAGAATTTAATGCCAGCAAAGGATGGTTTGACAATTTAAGAAAGAGATATGGCTTTTAAAATGTCAAGATACAGGAGAAGCAGCTTCTGCTGACCAAGGAGCAGCAGAAGAGTTCCCAGACACCATTAAGGAAAATCACTGAGGGGAAAGGACACTTGCCTAAACCTGTTTGTTTTTGTTTTTGAAACAGGGTCTCACTGTGTTGCCTAGGCTGCAATGCAGTGGCACAATCATGGCTCACTGCAGCCTCAAACTCCTGGACTCAAGCAATCCTCCTACCTCGGACTCCCACAGTGCTGGGACTACAGGGATGAGCCACTGTGCCTGCCTTCCCTATGATTTTCTTAATAACATTTTCTTTTAAGAGTACAGTATAGGCCAGGTGCGGTGGCTCATGCCTGTAATCCCTGTACTTTGGGAGGCTGAGGCGGGTGGATCACCTCAGGTCAGGAGTTCAAGACCAGCCTGGCCAACATGATGAAACCCCGTCTCTAGTAAAACTACAAAAAATCAGCTGGGTGTGGTGGCGGGTGGCTGTAATCCCAGCTACTCAGGTGGCTGAGGCAGGAGAATTGCTTGAACTCGGGAGGCTGAGGTTGCAGTGGGCTGAGATCGCGCCACTGCACTCCAGCCTGGGCAACAAGAGCAAGACTCCGTCTCAAAACAACCACAACCAAGAGTACAGTATATAGGCCAGGCACAGTGACTCACGCCTGTAATCCCAGCACATTGGGAGGCCAAGGCAGACAGATCACCTGAGGTTGGGAGTTTTGAGACCAGCCTGACCAACATGGAGAAACCCTGTCTCTACTAAAAATAAAAAATTAGCTGGGCGTGGTGGCGCATTCCTGTAATCCTAGCTACTTGGGAGGCTGAGGCAGAAACATCACTTGTACCCAGGAGGGAGAGGTTGCAGTGAGCCGAGATCGCGCCATTGCACTCCAGTCTGGGCAATAAGGGCGAAACTCTGTCTCAAAAAAAAAAAAAAAAAAGTACAGTATATAAAATACAAAATATGTGTGAATTGACTGTTTAGGTTGTCAGTAAGGCTTCTGGTCAGTAGTAGGCTATTAGTAGCTAAGTTTTTGGGTAATGAAATGTTATATGCAGAGTTTCAACTGCTCAGGAGCCAGCATCCCTAAACCCTGCATTGTTCAAGGGTCAACTATACATGCAATTTAGACAGTAGTTATATTGTAACATATACAGTTACATTGTTATATACTATACATAGTAGTAACGTTATATACTATATATTATATATAATAATTACATTGCTGTAAAAATATTGTAAAGTTCCTTCTTTTTAGTTTATTTTCAGCATTCTAATCTGCTAAAGGTTGTCTGGTAGCACTTCGAAAATGTTGTACAACAGTAAGAGAAATGAAAATGCTTAAATAAGAATGTGGTTTTTTTCTTGAATGTTGTATTTAAATCAGCTTAGTTCCAAGCTTTTTTTTTATCAAGTTCTTTTGCTATTTCCACAGAGGCATGATATCCTTCCATAAAGAGCCGAGGCTCTAGATTTGGACACACCTGGTTTTATTTCTGCCTCTCACAGTTTGGTCATATTTCTTTCTTATTGATAGAGATGACAGACAGTATTTCACAATTATAATAGTTAAATGAGGCCAGGTGCAGTGGCTCATGCCTTGTAATCCCAGCATTTTGGGAGGCCAAGGCAGGAGGGTCATTTGAGCTCAGGAGTTCAAGACCAGCCTGGGCAACATAGCAAGACCCTGTAGAAAAAAAATTTTTTAGGCTGGGCACAGTGGCTGATGCCTGTAATCCCAGCACGTTGGGAGGCTGAGGTGGCTGGATCACCTGAGGTCAGGAGTTTAAGAACAGCCTGGCCAACATGGTAAAACCCCGTGTCTACTAAAAATACAAAAATTAGCTGGGCATGGTGGTGCACGCCTGTAATCCCAGCTACTCGGAAGGCTGAGGCAGGAGAATCACATGAACCCAAGAGGCGGAGGTTGCAGTGAGCCGAGATCATGCCACTGCACTCCAGCCTGGGTGACAGATTGAGATTTGTTTCCTTAAAAAAAAAAAAAAAAGTTTAAAGAGTTAAATGAAATTACATGTAGTACCTTGTAAGCACCTCCTCAACTGCAGTCGGTTAAAATACTTTGATTTGACATGGGATATTGCATAATTTGTTTAAGTTAGCATTTATTTAGTGCCCTATTTTCTCCTTCCTTCATGCATTTGGAAATTAGATTGAATGTTACTTAATGTTCAGTGGAAATTGACAGGTTGCGTTAATCTGATGGATACTTCTTTGTATTTTGGGAGTTCAAAATATTTTTCTTTGATGTATAGCAAATCGACAAATTGAAATCCTGGAACTGGAAGATCTGGAGAAAGAGTGTTCCTTGGCTCGCATCCGCCTCACTTTGGCTCAGCATGATCCATCAGCGGTTGCAGTTGCTGGTAGGAATTCAAGAGTTTAAAGCCTCTGACTTGTCAGCACCACGAGCACATTTTAGGTCCAGGCAGTGTATGTAGCATGGTAGATGGGTATAAAGCCTGGGTTATTACTCAGAGATACTCATCAACAAAACAAAATCTTTGGTTTCATTTGTGTATACCTTGGCTACACGAAATAATCTTTTTCCATTTTCACAGGAAGTTCATCAGCAGAGGAAATGGTCACTCTCTTGGTTCAGGCGGGCCTCTTTGACACTGCCATATCACTCTGTCAGACTTTTAAGCTTCCCTTAACGCCAGTCTTTGAAGGGCTTGCCTTCAAGTATGTATAAAATTATTTTTTTATAGTCTTTTCTAATGCAAATATATTATCCTCTTGCTCAGTGTGAAACAGTCGTCATAAGCCAAGTAGCCCATATATCATTTATGATTTGAAGAAGTGTTTTGTTTAATCCATCCAAGCATTCTTAAAAAGAATTTCAGGCTGAGCGCAGTGGCTCACGCCTGTAATCCCAGCACTTTGGGAGGCCGAGGCGGGCGGATCACGAGGCCAGGAGATCAAGACCATCCTGGCTAACAAGGTGAAACCCCGTCTCTACTAAAAATAATACAAAAAAAATTAGTCGGGCGTGGTGGCGGGCGCCTGTAGTCCCAGCTACTCGGGAGGCTGAGGCAGGAGAATGGCGTGAACCTGGGAGGCAGAGCTTGCAATGAGCCGAGATCGCGCCACTGCACTCCAGCCTGGGCGACAGAGCGAGACTCTGTCTCAAAAAAAAGAAGAAGAATTTCTTGGCCAGGCACAGTGGCTCACATCTGTAATCCTACTAATACTTTGGGAGGCTGTGGCGGGTGGATCGCTTGGGACCAGCCTGGCCAACATGGTGAAACCCTGTCTCTACTAAAAATACAAAAATGAGGGTGTGGCACACAACAGTAATTTCAGCCTCTCAGGAGGCTTAGGCACAAGAATCTCTTGAACTTGGGAGGCAGAGGTTGCAGTGAGCTGAGATCGCGCCTCTGCACTCGAGCCTGGGCAACAAAGCAAGACTCTGTTTCAAAAAAAAAAAAAAAAAAAGTTTGTGAATTAGAAATAATTTTGAACTTTCAGAATTTTTCAGCCAGGTGCAGTGGCTTACGCCTGTAATGCCATCACGTTGGGAGGCCAAGGTGGGCAGATCACTTGAGGTCAGGAGTTCAAGACCTGCCCGGCCAACATGACGAAACCCCATCTCTACTAAAAATACAAAAGTTAGCCAGGAGAGGTGGCGTGTGCCTGTAATCCCAGCTACTTGGGTGGCTAAGGCAGGAGAATCGCTTGAGCCTGGGAGACGGAGGTTACAATGAGTTGAGATTGCGCCACTGCACTCCAGCCTGGGCAACAGAGCGAGACTCCATCTTAATTTAAAAAAAAAAAGAGGCCAGGTGCGGTGGCTCATACCTGTTATCCCAGGACTTTGGGAGACCTAGGCGGGCGGATCATGAGGTCAGGAGATCAAGACCATCCTGGCTAACACAGTGAAACCCCGTCTCTACTAAATATACAAAAAATTAGCCAGGCATGGTGGCATGGGCCTGTAGTCCCAGCTACTCAGGAGGCTGAGACAGGAGAATCACTTGAACCTGGGAGGCAGAGGTTGCAGTGAGCTGAGATTGCACCACTGCACTGCAGCCTGGGTGACAGAGCAAGACTCCATCTCAAAAAAAAAGAAAAGAAAAAAGAATTTTTCATCATTAATTTTATCTTGGAAGTAAATTGTCTCTTAATGCTTACTCATGTTCTTGTAGGTATCCAGTTGTGTAACTTGAGGAAGAGATGAGCCAATATTCCAGTAGTGAATTCAGCAAAAGACTAGAGATGAAGTTGTCATCTATCTCTCTAGTTTTAGTATCAAATTAAAGTGGTACGTTTCAGCGTTCAGTTTTCAAGTGTGGAACCATTTTCATTCCAGATGCATCAAATTGCAATTTGGAGGAGAGGCAGCACAAGCAGAAGCCTGGGCCTGGCTAGCAGCCAATCAGCTCTCATCTGTCATCACTACTAAGGAGTCTAGGTACAACCCTGGTGTTCAACCCTGGGTAGTTTTGCCTTTCTAAAAGCTGTAACTGTCTTTCTCTGACTAAATTGTCCTACATAGATCATTTCACTTTTTTCTTTCTTTTTGGCTAAGTTTTTATAGGGGCTGGAAAGTTTATAATTAAGGTGACATCATGTCATTTATTGTCCAAACTAGGATGTCTTTGCCTATGAAATGTCTCCTTCTCCATATCCCCCTCCTCAAAGACTTACTGTTTCATATCAGGAAAGGGTACTCTTACAGGCAAAAATCTGTATTTACTTGTTTCGGAGTGTTATCCTCCTTTTTTCCCCCATTTCTTCCACTGAGCAGTCACTGCATGGTTTCATCACAGTGTCCTCTTATATCTTGTCTCCAGCTGCTGTTCAGCAGTCTGTCACCCATCAGCCCCCATCATCCACTATACCTTCTTCAGATCTCCTCTGGTTCGTATACTTCCCCAGTGCACCCACTTTGTGTCCACGTAAATATACTTCAGCTTCTTCAGAAACCTTCTCTAACATTCCTAACCCTCAGTAAACTTCCCTTTCTGAACTGCATTTGCACTTGGTATTATACAGCTTAGCACTTTAGAGTGATAGCACTTTAGAATTTGGAAGTTCTCTGACATTAGTTTTCAACCCCTAAATTAGCACATCAGAATAACTTATTAAAATACAGATTATGAGAAATCACCCTAGTCTTCTAAGTTAGAACTTCTGCATGATTCTAATGCTTGATCAGGTTTGAGAACCAGTGTTCTGAACCAGTTTCTTGTTTTAGAAATGCAGAAACAAAGGAGTTAAATGAATTATGCATTAATAGCCAAACAAATAACGTTCATTTACTAAATATGTTTGTTTACTAAATACTAAATACGTTAGTGGGAGAGGAATATACGAACCCAAGACATCTAGTTTCTAGTGCTATCCCCATAAGTCACATTAGCCCAAATAATATTTGTTCCCATTTAGCTATATTATTGATTCAGTTGTTAATTTCTAAAGTTTTCCTTGTAAGGCTGGGCATGGTGACTCCTGCCTGTAATCCCAACACTTAGGGAGGACAAGGTCAGAGGATCACTTTAGCTCTGGAGTTTAATACCAGCGTGGACAACATAGCAAGTCCTTGTCTCTACAAAACATAAACAAAATTAGCTGGGCATAGTGGTGCATGCCTGTATTCCCAGCTATTTAGGAAGCTGAAATGGGAGAATCTGGGGCTGAGGCTGCAGTGAGCTGAGATCACACCACTCCACTCTAGCCTGGGTGACAGAGCAAGACCCTGTCTGAAAAAAAAGTTTTCCTTGTAAATACATGCTTTGAATGGTACTCTAAATAGCTATTAAGAATCTGAAACTCATTAGTCATTTTTGTTTTTTTCAAGTGCTACAGATGAAGCATGGCGACTATTATCCACTTACCTGGAGAGGTACAAAGTCCAGAATAACTTGTATCACCACTGTGTAATCAACAAGCTCTTGTCTCATGGAGTGCCTCTGCCTAATTGGCTTATAAACAGTTACAAGGTAAACGGATTATAACTTGTACAGAGTAAGAACCCACTCTTTATCATTCTGGATAACTTCATGAGATGATTAAAAATATGGACTGATTGCAGTGGCTCATACCTGTCATGCCCGCACATTGGTAGGCCAACAGGGGAGGATGGCTTGAGCCCAGGAGTTTGAGACCAGCTTGGGCAACACAGGGAGACCCCATCTCTATTTAAATTTAAAAATATATAAAGAAAAAGAAAAAGATGGGGTGATAACTTATGGGAACATATTGACTTACGTACTTTGGGAAGCTTTTCATCATAGCTAAAACCATAAGAACAATTCAAATTCATTTCCACAGTACTACTGTGTATTTAGATTTGAAGTTTCATAGGTTAGTAATTAGGTTAATGACTCCTATTATATTCACTGAACAATGAGTTTATATTTAGAACAATGAGCATATGCATGACACAGGATTTACTCTTCATACCTCAAAAAAGTCACAGGAGTCGGTGGAGTACTTTTCAAATAATATAACACTATGGCTGGTCTGAGTGCCGTGTTGTTTACAACTAATTGAGCACAACCAGTTTCCGATTGGTTCCTTCTCCACTCCCACTGTTTCACCTATTAAAAATCAAAAACGGGTTCTTAGACTGTCTGCATCAGAATTATTCAGATGGCAGTCTTCTTCAAAATACAGATTCCTCATCCTAGACTTACAGAATCAGATTATCTCAGGCTAGGAGCCAGAAATCTACATTTTAAGAAGCTCCTAATTTGATTTTGATGCATGCTAAAGTTTGAGAACTTCTGCATCTGAACCACCGTTAGTAGGATAAGGAAAGAGAAAATCTAAAGCTTAAAATCAGGAAAGTTTTTTTTGGTTTTTTTTGTTTTGTTTTGTTTTGTTTTTTTTGTTTTTGTTTTTGTTTTTTTTTTAAGGTAGAAAGGAGGCCGGGCACGGTGACTCACGCCTGTAAACCCAGCGCTTTGGGAGGCCAAGGCAGGCAGATCACCTGAGGTCAGGAATTCGAGACCAGCCTGGCCAACATGGTGAAACCCCATCTCCACTAAAAATACAAAAATTATCTGGATGTGATGGTGCGTGCCTGTAATCTCAGCTACTCTGGAGGCAGAGGTTACAGTGATCTGAGGTTGCACCACTGCCCCCAAGCCTGGGCGACAGAGCAAGACTCTGTCTCAAAAAAAATAAATAAATAGGAAAGTAGGGAAGCCAGCTAAGATGGTAAAGGTAAGATTGTGATCAAATGGGAATATAGAAAGCATGCTTAATTAATAGAGCTCTTCCAAATAGAGACTTCAGATTTAAAGCTGGTGATTCTTTGAACTTCTTTTGCATTTGTCATTCATATATTTCTTATTATGTGAATATATTGTCACTTTAGTGTTCAGGAAAAGTTTGTTGACTTTACAACTGTGGAAACTGAAGTGGAGAGAAGTTAAAATATGTCTTAGGTCATAAAACAGGGGAAGAAGGCTATTTAACAGATAAGGGCCTCCCAAACTGCCTAGAGGTAACGGCTCTTAGGGATTTAACTTTTTTTTTTTCCTAACTCCCCAGATTTGTTATCAGCTCTTATCCTAAGATACAGATGAGTAAACCAAGCCACTGGTTTAATTATATTGAGAAATACAAATGTTAGGGAATCAGCCACTCAACATTCTTTGGTCAGTACTCAAGTAGGAGGGAAATAGGTACATATTCTTAATCACTGACTTTTCACAGAAGGTTGATGCTGCTGAATTGCTTCGTTTATACTTAAACTATGACCTTTTAGAAGAAGCTGTGGATTTGGTGTCAGAATATGTGGATGCTGTATTGGGAAAAGGACATCAATACTTCGGAATTGAGGTAGGCATATACAAATGGTCCCCAATTTACAATGGTTTGACTTACGATTTTTCAACTTTACAGTGGTTTGAAAGTGATGAACATTTATGAGAAACCATACTTTAAAATACTGATGGCCGGGCACAGTGACTCATGCCTATAATCCCAGCACTTTGGGAGGCCGAGGCAGACAGATCACCTGAGGTCAGGAGTTCGAAACCAGTTTGGCCAACATGGCAAAGCCCCGTCTCTACTAAAAATACAGAAATTAGCCAGATGCAGTGGCACGTACCTGTAATCCCAGCTACTCAGGAGGCTGAGGCAGGAGAATCGCTTGAACCTGGGAGGCAGAGGTTGCAGTGAGCCGAGATCATGCCACTGCACTCCAGCCTGGGCAACAGAGCGAGACTCCATCTCAAAAATAAATAAATAAATAAATAATAAATAAATAAAATACTCATACAACCGTTCAGTTTTTCAGTTGCAGTACAGTATTCAATAAATTACACAAGATATTCAACAGTGTATTATAAAGTAGGCTTTCTGTTAGATGATTTTGCCCAACTTTATAGGTTAACGTTAAGTGTCCTGAGCATGGTTAAGTAGGCTAGGCTAAGCCGTGATGTTCATTAGGTTAGATGTATTATATGTATTTTCAACCTATGATATTTTCAACTGATAGTGGGTTTATTGGAAAACAAACCCACCATAAGTTGAGGAACATCGGTATAGGCGCATATATATATATATATATATATATATATATATATATATATATATATATATATATTTTTTTTTTTTTTTAACTGAGTTTTGCTCTGTTGCCCAAGCTGGAGTGCAGTGATGCAGCCTCCACTTACTCCCTCACTGCAGCCTCCGCCTCCCGGGTTCAAGTGATTCTCCTGCCTCAGCCTCCTGAGTAGCTGGGATTACAGGCACCTGCCACCACATCCAGCTAATTTTTTAATATTTTTGGTAGAGATGGGGCTTCACCATGTTGGCCAGGCTGGTCTCGGAACTCCTAACCTCAAGTGATCCACCCACCTCGGCCTCCCAAAGTGCTGGGATTACCCATGTGAGCCACCATGCCCGGCCTAGGCATTTCTTTTTATTATCATGCTATGTAAGGTGAGAATCTGAGAGTAAATTGAACTATATGTTAGTGTATTTAACCTTTACTATCTGTAGTTATACAACTAAATATTGACACTCTAGGAATCTCTAGTCTCCTGTTTATAAAATAGGAATTTCATCTTTCTCTATCAAAATAATATGGCATTAGTTAGGATTCAGTGGAGAGAGATAAACAAAATGGTATTGTGTGTGTGCCGGGACTGTGTTAAGTCTCTACAAGCATTTTTTTATTTAATCCTTATAGCAGCCTTATGAAGGAATGTTTTAATTTTCTATTTTTTAACCCATGAGGGAACAGGCTCAGAGGTTATCACAGGCTCATACAGATGGCAAATATAATAGAAGAGCCAGGTCTAAATAGGTGTAGTTAACTACAGCTTCAACCCTCATGAAATCAGCCAGGTGCAATAGCTCACACCTGTAATCCTAGCACTTTCGGAGGTCAAGGTGTGAGGATCGTTTAAACCCAGAGGTTAAGACCAGCCTTGGCAACATAGTGAGAACCTTTATCTACAAAAAATAGAAAAAAATTAGCTGGTCATGGTGGTGCGTGCCTATAGTCCCAGCTATGTGGGAAGCTGAGG
Source organism: Homo sapiens (assembly GCF_000001405.40). Lineage (NCBI taxonomy): Eukaryota > Metazoa > Chordata > Mammalia > Primates > Hominidae > Homo > Homo sapiens. The sequence goes on along the minus strand of NC_000011.10, from coordinate 47,781,375 downwards.
TGGGAGGATCACATGAGCCCTGGAGGTTGAGGGTACAGTGAGCTATGATCATGCCACTACACTCCAGCCTGAGTGACAGAGTGAGACCCTGTCTGAAAAAAAAAAGAAAGTTGACATGAAATTATTTTTTATTTTTATTTTTTTATTTTTTCCAAGACGGAGTCTCGCTCTGTCGCCCAGGCTTGAGTGCAGTGGCATGATCTCGGCTCACTGTAACCTCCGCCTCCCGGGTTCAAGCAATTCTTCAGCCTCAGCCTCCCGAGCAGCTGGGACTACATCTGTGCCACCACACCTGGCTAATTTTTGTATTTTTAGTAGAGACGGGGTTTCACCATATTGGCCAGGCTGGTCTCGAACTCCTGACCTTGTGATCCGCCCACCTCGGCCTCCCAAAACGTTGGAATTACAGGCCCAGCCGACATGAATTTTTAAATATATTTAACCGAAAAAAATGACAAGTTTCCCAGTTGGAGAAAAGAGGGTTCCCATTGTGTGCATGCACATGTATACACACAGTTTCTTGTGGTTGGGGGAAAAAATGCATTTTATTTTGCCGGGCACAGTGGCTCACTTTCGGAGGCCAAGGCAGGTGGATCACTTGAGGCCAGGAGTTTGAGACCAGCCTGTCCAACATGGTGAAACCCCATCTCTACTAAAAATAAACATAAAAAAATTAGCTAGGCATGGTGGTGCACATCTGTAGTCCAGCTACTCAAGAGGCTGAGGCACAAGAATTGCTTGAGCCCAGGAGGCGGAGGTTGCAGTGAGCTGAGATTGTGCCACTGCACTCAGCCTGGGCGACAGAACAAGACCATCTCAAAAAAAAAAAAAAAAAGGGTATTTTATTCTACAGAGTCCTATGAAAGCAACTACCCAGAAGAAATGGTACACTTTGCAGACTGTTTTCAAATAAACATTTTCCTTTTAGTTTCCACTGTCCGCAACAGCCCCAATGGTGTGGCTTCCATACTCCTCTATTGATCAGCTTCTCCAAGCTCTGGGAGAGAACAGTGCCAACAGTCACAACATCGCAGTAAGTCAGCCCTTTCATGAGACGTCTTGTGTAAGCCCCTGCACTAGCAGTTACACCTTACAGCTTGATCTTCAGTTCTCCGGGATTAGAAAGGGAAGACAAAAGCCTATTTTTGGCCCTTAACAAACTGCCCAGTCCCTTTATAGATAAGGCAGAGGATCTAAGTAACAGGATCAAGAAAACATAATGAGGAACTGTGTAAGTGTTAATTATACAGAGACAAATGGCAAGCAGTCGGTCCATCCTTTAAAGCTTTTAATTTGGTAGGGCAGACCCTACAAGGTAAACAGGTACTTGAAATACAGCAATGATAGGCCGGGCGCAGTGGCTCACGCCTATAATCCCAGCACTTTGGAAGGCTGAGACGGGCAGATTACCTGAGAGGTCAGGAGTTCGAGATCAGCTTTGCCAACATGGTGAAATTCCATCTCTACTAAATATACCAAAACTAGCCAGGCATGGTGGCGGGCACCTGTAATCCCAGCTACTCGGGAGGCTGAGGCAGGAGAATCGCTTGAACCCAGGAGGCGGAGGTTCCAGTGAGCCAAGATTGCACCACCGCACTCCATCCTAGACAGCAGAGTGAGACTCCATTCCCCCACCCTGAAAAAGAAAGAAATACAGTGTGATAAATTATCACTGTCCTGAGGGAAGTTGGCATATATAACAACATTTCTCAGGAGTCATATATTCACCCTGCTTGCCTTAACATAAAAAACAATAGTGTTTCCTTGAGTCATTATAGTGATGGCTTATTTTGTTTACCAGTGAGATAGAGTGCCTCCTGAGCCTATCTAAAATATTAGTTCTATATTTCACTTGGCAGCTAATAACTAGTTATATCAGATGCAGCATTTCTGGTTCTGAGAAAAGAGTTAGTGATCCTTTTATTAGAAATACTGGTACGATTTCCATACTTAGAAAATTCATTCAGAAAATGAGACTGAAATGTTGTATATAACAGAGAGGCCTAGTTTTATCAGTAGAGTCACAGAGGAGACTCCTATAACAAATGGTGATTTTATGAAGCAGAGTGGCTAACATCTTTATAAGGTGGAATCTACTTGGTGAAGTCAAAGTTATTAATAACTTCAATATTTTTCCATTGTTGAGCTGTTATGTAATGTTTTCCTTCTTTTCTCTTATAGCTGTCCCAGAAAATACTTGACAAATTGGAGGACTACCAGCAAAAAGTTGATAAGGCAACACGGGATTTATTATATCGTCGGACCTTGTGATTTGGATTGTCACCTAGCCTTTGTAACCGCTTGGTGCCTCTTAGGACTTAAGACTACCCTACAGGAACCCTGTACTCAAGGCCGATTTTTGTAACTGTAAATGATGTGTACAACATTCAAGTCTGCATTCTGCACAAGATAGGAGGGCGGAAGAGTCAGAGGACCCTGTGCTTGCTGGTGGTGCTAACACAATTTCTGGTGTTCAACCTTGGTCTCAAATAGCTGCTTTTGTATATGATTCACGAGCTTTTTTAGAGTTTATATTTTTTTAAACTACCGAAGACATTCATTATCTGCAAATTAAGACTCACCTTCACTTTCCAAAATAGCTGAGGGTTGTTGGCTTGTTGTAGCTGACCACCAAAAGCAGTCACTGCAAATCTTTTAATTCTTCCCTATCACCTTTTGTATTTTAATGCAATTATTTTGGTCCAGAACTGACCTGTATTTTCTGTATTGTACACAAAAGCTAATAATTTTGTGTACTTTTTATTTATTTTGGAGGTTTTATATGATCTTCAATTGAGTATTAAATAATTTGCCTAGATTAAGCCTAAAATGATGACCAGCTAATTAAAGAAGATATTTTGAATCTGGTTCTGAGCTAAAGTTGAGTAAATTCTTAGCTAAGAAAAAATTGGAAATCCATCATCTATATTAGCAACAGATTCTCAGAGTAAATTGTTAACTTCTATGATTTATGATAATCAAGCTGGACTTGATCATACAAGTTAGTCTCATAATGTATTGGACCAAAATGTAAACTTCATTGGTCAGATTTAGAAGCATTCATGCTCACAAGTTTTGGGAAAGTGAAAAATAATAAAATCATCTTGGATTTTATTCTGTATATTAAAATTTATCTTTTAAGGAAACAATCTGTATACTACTTGCTTGTATAGCCTTTTGACCCTTCTTGAGTTTTTCAGAAGCCTTTAATTTTTATACTTTCAATACCATATTTACATTATATACTTTAATTAACAATGTGAGTTTCTCTGTGGTACTGTTGTTGATAGATACTGAGGTGTGTGTTTCTTTTTTTTTTTTTTTTTTTTTTTTCATTTTAGCTCTACTATGATTAATACGAGGCATTTGGTGCAATTAGGGACTGGGAGAGCCCCTGTCCTCCCAGCTCTCTAAACCTGTGGCTTTCAACGACAGTAAGAAAGACATTTTGACCTACATACACATATATAACCAAAAGAAAAGTTTCACAAAATTTGTATCCTCACCTACAGTGTATCCTGATGTTTTCATGAGTGACTAATGGATCATAACCCATAGTATGAAAACATCAAGGGCCAGGCGTGGTGGCTAACTCCTATAATCTCAGCACTTTGGGAAGCTGAGGCAGGCGGATCACTTGAGATCAGGAGTTCAAGACCAACGTGGCAAAACCACATCTTTCAAAAAAAAAAAAAAATTAGCTGGTCGCAGTGGTGCGTACCTGTAGTCCCAGCTACTAGAGGGGCTGAGGCGGAAAGATGGCTTGAATCTGGGAGGTAGAGGTTGCAGTGAGCCTTGAGCATGCCACTGCACTCCAGCCTGGGCGACAATGAGACCAAACCCTATTGTAGCCATCTCTGGAGGGCAAGAAGTAGTGAGAGACTAGCCCTATTCCAGAAACCCCCACTCCCCCCATTTGTGTTGCTGATCAATGCAGTGGTTTCCATGGTGGCAGTTCACAAGATGCTGACCAACTTTTCCTGTGCTTGTTTAGGTTCAAGGCCTAGAACCCATGCTCAACCCAGCCCAGCTCTTCTGTCCATTGTATTCTACGCTCCTCATTTTGAGTCCCGACCAGAACAGAGCATGCCCCCATACTTCCACGTCACTTTTCTCACAGCTTTGAGTCTGCTTTTTTTTTTTTTTCAGACGGAGTTTCACTCTTGTTACCCATTCTGGAGTGCAGTGGCGTGATCTCCACTCACTGCACCTTCCGCCTCCCGGGTTCAAGTGATTCTCTGCCTCAGCCTCCCGAGGAGCTGGGATTACAAGCATGCGCCACCACGCCCGGCTAATTTTGTATTTTTAGTAGAGACAAGGTTTTTCCATGTTGGGCAGACTGGTCTTGAACTCCCAACCTCACGTGATCTGCCCACCTCAGTCTCCCAAAGTGCTGGGATTATAGGGGAATTGCAACAGAGAAAGTAATTCATGGCCGGGCGCAGTGGCTCACGCCTGTAATCCCAGCACTTTGGGAGGCCGAGGCGGGCAGATCACGAGGTCAGGAGTTTGAGACTAGCTTGACCAACATGGTGAAATCCCATCTTTACTAAAAAAAAAAAAAATGCAAAAATTAGCCAGGTGTGATGGCGTGCACCTGTAATCCCAGCTACTCAGGAGGCTGAGGCAGAAGAATCGCTTGAACATGGGAGGCAGAGGTTGCAGTGAGCCGAGATCGCACCATTGCACTCCAGCATGGAACAACAGTGAAATTCTGTCTCAAAAAAAAAAAAGAGAAAGTAATTCACGCAGAGCCAGCTGTGCGGGAGACTGGAGTTTTATTATTACTCAAATCAGTTTCCCTGAAAACTCAGGGATCAGAGTTTTTAAGGATAATTTGGTGGGTAGGGGGCCAGTGAATCAGGAGTGCTGATTGGTTGGCTTGGGGATGAACTCATAGGGAGTCGAAGCTGTTGTCTAATGCTGAGTCAATTCCTGGGTGGGGGCACAGAACTGGTTGGCAGGTCCAGGTGGCGCCGTCTGGTTGTGAGAAATGAAAAACCTGAAAAGTCATCTCAAAAGGCCCATCTTAGGTTGACAATAGTGATGTTACCTTCAAGAATAATTAGGAAAGTTGCAAATCTTATGACCTCCAGAATAATGGCTGGTAATATTTAGAAATCTAGCCCCTCTCATCTTGACTTCATGGCTGGTGGCCTTTCATTTGTTTTACAAGAACAGTTTAGCTTTTTGGGAAGGACTGTTACATAAACTATACACTAAATTCCTTCCCAAAGGTAGTTTGGCCTATGCCTAGGAATGAACAAGGACAGTTTAGAGGTTAGAAGCACGATAGGGTCAGTTAGTTCTGACACCTTTCACTGTCATAATTTTCTGAGTTAATGATTTTTACAAAGACAGTTTCATAACCAGTCTAGCCTGAAAATGCATTTTATTTCATTTTTTCTCTTTTTTCCCTAGTTTCAATATGTAACCTTGAAGCTTACTGCAGAAATCTTTTTTTCTTCTCCTTAGTCTTAAAATATTAGCCTTGAAATGTACTTTCTTTGAAATATCATGTTCCTCCCTTTCTCACCATACACTCCATTATACCATGCACATTTATCTAACTTTGCATGCTTGTATCTAATTATGTGCTTACCCAGGGGCTAATCTCGAGACAGACGGAGTATGGAGACCCAGCTGCAAAACTCCAGAGATTACCTCGAGGTAGTTAGTCCACAATACCACCCGGCCATTGTTGAGATGACACCAGTGCCTGCACTCCAGGTGACAGACCCAAGATAGCCACCAAAACGAGACACATGGACCTTGTACTCAGCACAGCTCCTGCATGCCACCAATATCGTTTCCCTTTTTAAACCCTTGCCTTCTCCCCAGAAATTTGAAGTGGTTGCTTTGGATGTGAATCTAGCCACTTCCCCATTGCTAGTTTTGGTAAATTTCTTTCCACCATACCTTGCTCTTGTTTCGGGGCTCTCCAAGTGGCGAGCCACCAGACCTGCACTCACTTACATAAGTATGGTTACTACAGTTAATCATACTGTATTGTACACTTGAAATTTGCTAAGATAATATATTTTAAGGCTCCTCACCATACACAAACAAAAAGGTAACATATGAGGTGCTGGATATGTTAATTGACTTTGTCAAAAGACAAATTGCAACAAATTTAGTTTAAAGATTTTTTTTTTCTTTTTTTCTACATGGAGTCTTGCTTTGTCACCCAGGCTGGATGGGAGTGGCGTGACCTTGGCTCACTGCAACCTCCGCCTCCTGGGTTTAAGCAATTCTCCTGCCTCAGCCTCCCAGGTAGCTGGGACTACAGGTGCGTACCACCATGCTCGGCTAATTTCTGTATTCTTAGTAGAGACGGGGTTTCATCATGTTGGCCAAGCTGGTCTTGAACTCTTGACCTCATGATCCGCCCACCTCAGCCTCCCGAAGCGCTGGGACTACAGGCATGAGCCACTGTGCCCAGCCTAAAGATCTTAATTAGCTTTTATTTATCACTTGTGTGAATTGGGCAACACTTCCTTCCATAAAATAGAATGAGTGTTCCAACAAGCTAAACAGAGGACAGAGACAGGCTAAGGAAAGCAGAAAACAACAAAACACAGCTTGGTGGCTTCCTTTTTTTATTTAGACAGGGTCTTGTTCTCACACCCCAGGTGGACTGCAGTGGCACAATCATGGCTCACTACAGGCTGGACCTCCAGGGCTTAGTTGATTCTCCTGCCTCAGCCTTCAGAGTAGCTGGGACTACAGGCAAATTTTTATTATTTTGGCTGGGCGCAGTGGCTCACGCCTGTAATCCCAGCACTTTGGGAGGCCGAGGCGGGTGGATCACAAGGTCAGGAGATGGAGACCTTCCTGGCTAACACAGTGAAACCCCGTCTCTACTAAAAATACAAAAATTAGCCAGGTGCGGTGGCGGGCACCTGTAGTCCCAGCTACTCGGGAGGCTGAGGCAGGAGAATGGCGTGAACCCGGGAGGTGGAGCTTGCAGTGAGCCAAGATTGCGCCACTGCACCCCAGTCTGGGAGACAAAGCAAGACTCCATCTCAAAAAAAAAAAAAATTATTTTTTGTAGAGATGGAGTTTTGCAATGTTGCCCAGGCTGGAGATGGTTTCAAAGTTACTTTCCTTGTAAAGGTTAAAACAGAGGGGATTTCCTTATCATGCTGACTAAAGCTGGCCTGTTTGGGGACTTGGCTATTATCTCTGTCTCCTGATTTCCCAGATGGTGACATAAACAACTTCATTTCTTTTTTTTAATAGAGATGGGGTCTTGCTATGTTGCCCAGGCTGGTCTTGAAATCCTGGACTCAAGTGATCCTCCAACCTCAGCCTCCCAAAGTTCTGGGATTACAGGCATGAGCCATCGTGTCGTGTCCAGCCAAACAACTTCTTTAATGATATGGAACTCTAGCATGAGTAACTCCATTTGGGTATGGCCTGTTGAGGCCTGGTACAGGAACTCAGTCCAAAATAATGGTCTCCTATACTTTTTTTTTTTTTTTTGAGACGGAGTTTTGCTCTTGTCACCCAGGCTGGAGTGCAATGACACGATCTGAGTTCACTGTGATCTCCACCCGCCAGGTTCAAGCGAGTCTCCTGCCTCAACTTCCTGAGTACCTGAGATTACAGCCACATGCCAACACACCCGGCTACTTTTTGTATTTTTAGTAGAGATGGGGTTTCACCATGTTGGTCAGGCTGGTCTTGAACTCTGGACCTCAGGTGATCCACCTGCCTCAGCCTCCCGAAGTGCTGGGATTACAGGCATGAGCCACCGTGCCCAGCCTTGCCTCCTATAAATTTCTTTCTTTCTTTTTTTTTTTTTTTTTAAGACAGAGTCTCGCTCTGTTACCAGGCTGGAGTGCAATGGTGCCATCTCGGCTCACTGCAACCTCCGCCTCCTGGGTTCAAGTGATTCTCCTGCCTCAGCCTCCGGAGAGTAGCTGGGACTACAGGCACATGCCACCACGCCCAACTAATTTTTGTATTTTTAGTAGAGACGAGGGTTTCACCACGTTGGCCAGGATGGTCTCGATCTCTTGACCTTGTGATCTGCCCGCCTCGGCGTCCCAAAGTGCTGGAATTACAGGCATGAGCCACCGCGCCCATCCAACCTCCTATAAATTTCATTGAACGACTGATGGTGGTAATCATTTCATTATGTATATGTACATCAGATCATCACATTATATACCTTAAATATATACAATTTTTATCAATTATGCCTCAATAAAGCTAGGGAAAAAAGCCAATGGTTATCAACTCTGGCTAAGCATTAGAATAAGTAGCTTTTTAAAAAAGCAAGCTGGTTGCAGTTCATCACAACTATAATCCCAGCACTTTGGTAGGCTAAGGTGGACGGCTTGAGGCCAAGAGTTTGAGTCTATCCTGGGAAACAAAACAAGACCCTATCTTTACTTAAAAATAAACTGGCAGCCGGGCACGGTAGCTCGCAGCTGTAATCCCAGCACTTTGGGGAGGCCGAGGCAGGTGGATCACCTGAGGTTCAGGAGTTTGAGACCAGCCATGGCCAACATGGTGAAACCCCATCTCTACTAAAAATACAAAAATTAGCCAGGCGTTATGGCACACACCTGTAATCCCAGCTACTTGGGAGGCTGAGGCAGGAGAATCACTTGAGCCCAGGAGGGAGGCAGAGGTTGCAGTGAGCTGAGATGGCATCATTGCACTCCAGCCTGGGCGACAAGAACAAAACTCCATCTCAAAATAAATAAATACATAAACTGGCAAAGTGCAATGGCTCATGCTTGTGATCCCAATGCTTTGGGAGACTGAGATGGGCAGACAGCTTGAACCCAGGAGTTCCAGACCAGCACAGACAACATGGCAAAACCCTATCTCTACCAAAAATTTAAAAACTAGCTGGGATTGGTGGCATGCACCTGTAGTCTCAGCTACTTGGGAGGCTGAGGTGGGATGATCCCTTAAGCCTCAAGAGGAAAAGGCTGCAGTGAGCCATGATCATGCCATTGTACTCCAGCCTGGGCAACAGAGCAAGACCCTGTTTCAAAAATAAATAGTTACATTAAAATAAAGCACATTGAAATAGGTCCTGCACTCCCACCCCACTCCAACTGATTCAGATTTTTATATCGCTTTAATGCCCTCCAGATGGTTGAGAACTCTTGGTATAAGCATAAACAACCATCACCTCCAGAAATGTATGTTTCCCCCAAGGAAAACAGCCTTTCACATTTCTATACACTTTTGGTTTAGCTCATAATCTCAACTTAGTTCCAGCCAGTTTTATAATATTACCTGTACTTTTGTATAGACAAAAGGATCATTAATAGTAATAATAGCTGCTCTCAGGTAACAACTAATTGGGGCCAGTGTTGCAGGCAGTAAAGGAACTTACCAAGACAGTCATAGGTAAACAAAGGCAGGTAGTATAAACATACATTGCAAGGATGCAACAGGCAGGCACTAAGAGAGGAGCTGACTACAAGGAGACAAATGCTTGCTGGGGATTTTACAGAATGGTGCTTATGCTGGAGAGGGCTACACGCAGTATTGATAATGCCAAGGTTGCTGTGAGCTAACTTGCATTGTTCTATCAGCCAAGGTTCTGGTGATAAGTTGAGCATAGGAAGATTGTGAGTTACTTACACAGAAGGACTGTATGTCCTGGATCATGAAGAAAGGCAGACTTAGAGCTTATCTACTTTTTCTTTTTGTTCTCCCCTACTCCTGCCAGCCTGACTCCTTTTCCCTTATTAGGACTCCACAGGTACCAGCGTTTATTTTTTTCCAGGTGCAATGCAAAGGTCTTAAAACTATGATACAGGCTGGGCATGATGGCTTACGCCTGTAATCCCAGCACTTTGGGAGGCCAAGGCGGGTGGATCACCTGAGGTCAGGAGTTTGAGACCAACCTGGCCAACATGGTGAAACCCCATCTCTACTAAACATACAAAAATTAGCCGGACGTGGTGGCACGCACCTGTAGTCCCAGCTACTCAGGAGGCTAAGGCAGGAGAATCACTTGAACCTGGGAGGTGGAGGTTGCAGTGGGTGGAGATCACGCCACTGCACTCCAGCCTGGCAACAGAGCAAGACTCAAAAAAACTATGATACAATTTAAATTTCACAACAACCCTATGGGTCTATGGATACCGGTACTAATGTATTTTGTGGTTGCAAAAACAAGTTTAGGGATGTTAAGAAACTTGTCTAAGCCTTCATATCTGGAAGGTACTGAAGAAAAGTTTTCAATCCAGATGTTGGCCTCAAAGTTCCTATACAAAACTCCTTATTTTACTGTCTTTCCTCATTAAATAAATTAGAAAATTGCTAACAGCTTTTTTTTTTTTGAGACGGAGTCTCGCTCTACTGCCCAGGCTGGAGTGCAGTGGTGCGATCTTGGTTCACTGCAAACTCTGCCTCCCGGGTTCACGCCATTCTCCTGCCTCAGCCTCCCCAGTAGCTGGGACTACAGGCGCCCGCCACCGTGCCCGGCTAATTTTTTGTATTTTTTTTAGTAGAGACGGGGTTTCACCGTGTTGGCCAGGATGATCTCGATCTCCTGACCTTGTGATCCGCCCACGTCGGCCTCCCAAAGTGCTGGCATTACAGGCATGAGCCACTGCGCCCAGCCTGCTAACAGCTTTAAAACAGCAAATTCTTGGCCTGGCGCAGTGGCTCAGGCCTGTAATCGCAGCACTTTGGGAGACCAAGGCAGGTGGATCACGAGATCAGGAGATCGAGACCATCCTGGCCAACACGGTGAAACCCCGTCTCTACTAAAAATACAAAAAAATTAGCGGGGCGTGGTGGTTGGTGCCTGTAGTCCCAGCTACTGGGGAGGCTGAGGCAGGAGAATGGCGTGAACCCGGGAGGCAGAGCTTGCAGTGAGCCAAGATTGCACCACTGCACTCTAGCCTGGGTGACAGAGCGAGACTCCGTCTCAAAACATAATAACAAACAAACAAAAAAACCCAGCAAATTCTTCGGGCCAGGCACGGTGGCTCAGGCCTGTAATCCTAGCACTCTTGGAAGCCAAGGCGGGTGGATCACCTGAGGTCAGGAGTTTGAGACCAGCCTGGCCAACATGGCGAAACCCCGTCTACTAAAAATGCAAAAAATTAGTAGGGGGTGGTGGCGGGTGCCTGTAATTCCAGCTACTCGGGAGGCTGAGGGAGGAGAATCGCTTGAACCCAGGAGGCGGAAGTTGCAGTGAGCTGAGATCATGCCATTGCACTCCAGCCTGGGTGACAAGAGCAAAACTCCCTCTAAAAAAAAAAAAAAAATTAGGCCAGGCACCGTGGCTCACGTCTGTAATCCCTACACTTTGGGAGGCTAAGGCAGGCAGATCACTTGAGGTCAGGAGTTCAAGACCAGCCTGGCCAACATGGTGAAACGTCTCTACTAAAAATACAAAAATTAGTGGGGGTGATGGCATGCGCCTGTAGTCCCAGCTACTCCAGAGGCTGAGATGGGAGAATTGCTTGAACCCACGAGGTGGAGGTTGCAGTGAGCCTGTAGCAGGACGAGCCGCAGACAAAACTCCTCAGACACCGAGTTAAAGAAGGAAGGGGTTTATTCAGCCAGAGGCATCGGCAAGACTCCTGTCTCAAGAGCCGAGCTGCCCGAGTGAGCAATTCCTGTCCCTTTTAAGGGCTCACAGCTCTAAGGTGGTGCGCATGAGAGGGTTCGTGATCGACTGAGCAAGCAGGAGGTAAGTGACTGGGGGCTGCATGCACCGGTAATTAGATCGGAACAAAACAGGATAGGGATTTTCACAGTGCTTTTCTATACGATGTCTTTAATCTATAGATAACATAACCGATTAGGTCAGGGGTCAATCTTTAACTACCAGGCCCAGGGTGTGGTGCCGGGCTGTCTGCCTGTGGATTTCATTTCTGCCTTTTAGTTTTTACTTTTTCTTTCTTTGGAGGCAGAAACTGGGCATAAGACAATATGAGGGGTGGTCTCCTCCCTTAAGCCAAAATCGCACCACTGCCTTCCAACCTGGGCGACTCTGTATACAAAAAAAAATCTGTAATCTCAGCACTTTGGGAGGCCAAGGCAGACAGATCATGAGGTCAGGAGATCTAGACCAGCCTGGCCAATATGGTGAAACCACATCTCTACTAAGATACAAAAAATTAGACAGGCAAGGTGCTGCGCGCCTGTAGTACCAGCTACTCAGGAGGCTGAGGCAGGGGAATCGCTTGAACCTGGAAGGCAGAGATTGCAGTGAGCCAAGATCGTGCCACCGCACTCCAGCCTGGCGACAGAGAGAAGCTCTCTCAAAAATAAATTAATTAAAATTAAAATTAAAAAATTAGGCCAGGCACGCTGGCTCACACCTGTAATCCCAGCACTTTGGGAGGCCGAGGCGGGTGGATCACCTGAGGTCAGGAGTTCAAGACCAGCCTGACCAACATGGCAAAACCCTGTCTCAACTAAAAATACAAAAATTAGCCAGGCGTGGTGGTGGGCGCCTATTATCTCAGCTACTGGGGAGGCTGAGGCAGGAGAGTTGCTTGGACCCGGAGGGCAGAGGCTGCAGTGAGTCGAGATTGCGCCATTGCACTCCAGCCTGGGCAACAGAGCGAGACACCGTCTCAAAAAAAAAATGGCTTTAGCCCAGGAGTTTGAGGATGCAGTGGGCTATAATCATGCCACGTTACTCCAACCTGGATGACAGAGCAAGACACGTTTAAAAATAAAATTAGAAATAATCATTTTAAAAGATCAAATGCAATTCTACGTGTAAAGTGCTTGGTGACTGACACATAGAGCTCAGTAAGTATTAGATATTTTTAGTGGGAACTGAGCTGCTGCGGATATAAAAATAAATACCACTCGCATTCCTTAGTTTAGAGGGGAGACGGATGTCAACAGGATGTCAAGTGCCAGGGAGAGGCTGGGCAGGAGAGGTCACGCCTGCACTGCGTCTGCATTGCGCCCTGATGAAACAATAAAAGACTTTCATCATGTGATGCAGTAATTATTCCAGTCAGTGCAAAGGAAAAGTGAGGGAGGTGATGCTCCAAGTGGCGGGCTCCAGAGGCAGGAGACGGGAGAGGGGGCAGTGTTAAAGCAAGGGTAAATTAAAGCATGTTGACGATAGTAGTACAAAACTGGTAAGGTTCCTGTATGCCATCCCAACAATTTTAGGCTTTTTCCTTGTAGGTAGTGGAGTATCTCGTGATTTTTCCCAGCTAATAAGCGAGAAAATATGAGACATCTATTTGTGTGCTGCAGGAAATTACAAAAGCGTAAAAGACCCACTGTCCCATTTAATGTTCAATGCTATACCCAAAGTAAGCCACAATAATCCGGGCGAAACGTGGGGAAGGGCTCAGAAAACAGCACACCTTTCTTTTTTTTCTTGAGACAGTCTCACTCTGTCACCCAGGGTGGGGTGCAGTGGCGCGATCTCGGCTCACTGTAACCTTTGCCGCCGGGTTCATGCGATTCGCCTGCCTCAGTCTCCCGACTAGCTAGGATTACAGGCGCCTGCCACCGCGCCCGACTAAATCTTTTGTATTTTTAGTAGAGACGGGGTTTCACCATCTTGGACAAGCTGGTCTTGAACTCCTGACCTCGTGATCCACCCGCCTCGGCCTCCCAAAGTGTTGAGATTACAGGCGTGAGTGAGCTGGGCCCAGCAGCACACCTTTCTAGAAGACAGACAACATGAAACTCTAGGCCGAGAATAGCCACAAGATGGAGGACAAGTAGGCAAAGAAAAGGCTTGGGGAAAGCGCATGGGTGGAACCCGACGGAAGTGGGGAAGTCGTTCTAATTCAGGCCCTACCGCACTATTGGCTGGACTCTCACCCTTTTTCCTTTTCCATTGGCCACCGGTCCCTTCTCTGGGTCAAAACAGCCAATCGCCTAGCGCAGTTGGTAATCCCGCCCTTTCTCCTGGTGAGGAGGAGCCAGAAGAGCCGAAGGGTCCGAGGCGCTTGCGCAAGCGCGTGCTCCGCTGGTTGAAAGCGGATCCGGGCTGGAGGCGGTGTCACGGTGTATGAATATTGATTACGCGTCGCAGCGCCCAGGGCCCAGCGCCCAGCCTCCAGTGCCCGCCCCTCTCGGCCGCCCGACGCTCTCTGCTCGCGCTTGGGCTCGCGATGGGGAAGAAGTCCCGGGCGGTACCCGGCCGTAGGCCCATCCTGCAACTCTCTCCGCCGGGTCCTCGGGGCAGCACGCCGGGCCGGGACCCGGAGCCGGAACCCGACACTGAGCCGGACTCAACCGCGGCGGTCCCCAGCCAGCCCGCCCCGTCGGCGGCGACGACCACCACCACCGCGGTGACTGCCGCCGCGGCCTCGGACGACTCGCCTTCAGAAGGCAAGGGTGCGCGGGGGGACCTGAACTCGAGCTCAGGGCTTGCGGCCTAGGCTCCTCACGGCGCCTGGCCAGACCCGGCGAGGGAGGCGGGCGAGGTCGGCTTCCGAGGCCTGCCTGCTGCGGGCCTGCAGGCGGGGCGGCCCTGGGCTCCGGGCCGCAGAAGGGCCAGGCCGAGTTCTGCGCCCTCGGCCCGGGCCAAGCCCGAGGCGCCATCTGTGGTGCAGGGCTTGCCCCGGGAACGTTTGAAATATGACCGAAGTTCGGGCATCCTGAGTCTCCCAAACGCCCCGGGTCGGTTTTGGGTAACGCAGAGGGTGGATGTGAGGATGAGTTTCCGCGTGCGCGGCCTGTGACTGTGGGCCAGGCCTTTCCACACGTCATCTGCCTCCTTTCGGTTTTGTCGAAACGGGGATAGAGACGTTTAGAAAAAGCTCTTAATATTCCAGCTAGTAAGCATCCCCACACTAGCAGAACTGCTGGAGAAATGGAGCTGGTAGGTTCCTAAGTATTTGTGTGGTTCTCACTGGAGTGGTGCTTAGATTAAAAGTGACTCCAGGACTAGGCGCCGGAGAAGCCGCGACCGTTTCACATGTTCAGAGATCACGCTGGTTCGTTAATTGGAAAAAATCCGCAATAGCAGTGTTTGGTGTGTCTTGTAAAGGTCCTATCATAGCCTGGAGAATACTTACTGTTTTTGTATGTATTTGTAAGTATTGCAGATGTAACTTTTTAAGAGTTTTGTTTTGTTTTTTTCGAGACAATGTCTCAATCTGTCGCCCAGGCTGGAGTGCAGTGGCGCGATCTTGGGCTCACTGCAACCTCCACCTCCCGGGTTCAAGCGATCCTCCCGCCTTAGCCTCCTGGGTAGCTGGGACTACAGGACCCTGCCACCATGCCCGGCTAATTTTTGTATTTTCAGTAGAGACGGAGTTCATGTTTCCCGGGCTGGTCTCGAACTCCAGGGCTCAAGCGATCATTACAGGCGAGAGCCATCGCGCCCGGCCATGCAGATGTATTAATAATTTTTATTTACCATGGTAAGAGTCTTCCCTTGATGTTGAAGTTTGTAAGCAGATGAAAGACTCCAGGGCACGGTGACTCATGCCTGTAATCCCAGCACTTTGGGAGGCCGAGGTAGGCGGATTACTCGAGGTCAGGAGTTTGACCAGCCTGGGCGACAAGAGCGAAACTCCGTCTCAAAAAAAAAAAAAAAAAAAGATTCCAGCTCTGTGTTTATTATCTCCCAATTATTTGGGTCAATGAAATGTCCTTTCTTTTTTTTGAGATGGAGTCTTCCTCTGTGGCCCAGGCTGCAGTAACCTCTGCCTCCTGGGTTCAAGCGATCCTTCTGCCTCAGCCTCCCGAGTAGTTGGGATTACAAGCGAGTGCCATCATGCCTAGCAATTTTTTTATTTTTTGTATTTTTAGTAGAGATGGAGTTTCACCATGGTGGCCAGGCTGGTCTTGAACCCCTGACCTCAAGTGGCCCCCCCCCCCCCCCGTCTTGGCCTCCCAAAGTGCTGGGATTACAGGTGCGAACCCATCCGAAATGCACTTTTTAAAAAATTGATGGAATCTAGAGCTGAAATGTTAAATCAAAGGTTGGTTTGTCACCTCTAGTGTTTTCTCTGGTCTGGAATCTGACTGCAGTTTTCTTTTCTTTTCTTTTCTTTTCTTTTCTTTTCTTTTCTTTTTTTTTAATCCAGATGAACAGGAAGCGGTGCAGGAGGTTCCTAGAGTTGTTCAGAATCCTCCAAAACCAGTCATGACCACTAGACCCACAGCTGTTAAAGCAACAGGTATGCTTTTGTTTTGTTTTTTACATTTTTTCTCCCACGTCTTTCATTAAAGTCAAGTTGGGTTTGTACATAGAATGTTTTGCTGAATGCTTTAGTGTTGCTAACATTATTTCTCCCAAAAATATGATTTAAGATTATTTTTGTTTGTGAGAGAATGTTGATGTATATACACTTTGACCAGTGCAAAATTTGTTGTTTTTCTTTACCCAAAACGTTTTTTACTGTTTTTTTTTCCTGATGCTATTTTATAACTAGTTTTCTGGTCCTCCCACTAGCTTGGTGTTCATTAGGCATGCCAACTCCTATTCCTTTTCTAACACTCTGGCTTGATTGGTTACCTAACAAACATTGGTGGACCTGGAAATTGATCTTATTAAATATTTTCAAGTACAAAGGAATGCCATAGTTGCAACAGTGGTTTTGTAGACAAACCTGGGTTCAATTCATCACTCTGGCATTCACACTTAGACTTTGGCGCAATTACTAATTGGGTTGAACCTCATTAATCTGTAAAATGGATCTTTTATCTCTGAGATATTTCCAGATGTGACATAGTAAGTGCCAGGAATGTTAATTTTCTCTACTCTGTGTATCTTGGAAGAGTAAAATGTGTTTTAATATTAAATATTCTATAATTGGTAGTAATTTCTTTTCAGTTCAGAATACTTTTTGTACTATTTGATGCTTAAAATGATAGATGCTTATTCCTCTCTCCTCACCATTTGCCACCTAAAAAAAAAAAAACAAACAAAACACCCCAGTGTGGGTTAGAAAGCTAAAATTTGAATGTGAGAGAAATTTCAGAACTACATTATACCATTTTGTATTTGCCAACTGCATATGTTATTTCATTTGAGACTTAACACTCATTTAAAATATGTAGAATTTAGCCAGGAGCAGTGGCTCACGCCTGTAATCCCAGCACTTTGGTAGTCTGAGGCAGGCGGATCACCTGAGTTCAGGAGTTCGAGACCAGCCTGGCCAACATGGTGAAACCCCATCTCTACTAAAAACATAAAAATTAGCTGGGCATGGTGGCGCACACCTATAATCGCAGCTACTCAGGAGGTGGAGGTTGCAGTGAACTGAGGTTTTGCCACTGCACTCCAGCCTGGGCGACCGTAAGAACCTGTCTCAAATAAATACATAAAATAAAATATAAATTTAAATGTTTCTAGGAGAAACTTCCTTGATTACTCCTGTGGTTTGAATGTCCTCTCGTGATGTCAACATCTTCCATTAGGCCCCTACCTCCCAACACTGTTGCACTGGGGATTTAATTTCCAAAACATCCTTTTTAGGGGCACATTCAAGCCATAAGAGGTATATACCTAAGAAATAATTTACTGCCTGATATAGGTAGCTGATATACAAATTGTGTAGCACCATCCCTCAAAGGTAAGTAAGAATGTTGAGGTTTGAGGGGTCAACACCTTTCTCAAAAAAAGACTGCTAAAAACTATGGCTCTGGGCCAGGCACAGTGGCTCACGCTTGTAATCCCAGCATTTTGGGAGGCCGAGGCAGGTGGATAATGACGTCAGGAGATCGAGACCATCCTGGCTAACACGGTGAAACCCCATCTCTATTAAAAATACAGAAAATTAGCTGGGCGTGGTGGCGGGCGCCTGTAGTCCCAGCTACTCGGGAGGCTGAGGCAGGAGAATGGCGTGAACCCGGGAGGCGGAGCTTGCAGTGAGCCGAGATCACGCCACTGCACTCCAGCCTGGGCGACAGAGCAAGACTCCGTCTCAAAACAAAACAAAACAAAACAAAACACTATGGCTCTGAAGAATGACCATGCTTTCTCAGGCTTTAAGTAGCAACAAATCTTTTTTTTTTTTTTTTTTTGAGTTCAAGTGCAGTGGTGTGATCTTGGCTCACTGCAACCTCTGCCTCCCGGGTTGAAGTGATTTCTCCTACCTCACCCTCCTGAGCAGCTGGGATTACCGGCTAATTTTTGTATTTTTAGTAGAGACGGGGTTTTGCCATGTTGGCCAGACTGGTCTTGAACTCCTGACTTCAAGTGATCCACCCGCCTTGGACTCCCAAAGTGCGGTGATCACAGGTCTGAGCCACCACGCCCAGCCTGCAACACATCTTCATCTTAACAGTAGTCAAGGACTTGTTCTTACAACTCTAGGGTTTAAGTGATCTTCCTGCCTTGGCCTCCCAAAGTGCTGGGATTACAGGCATGAGCCACTGTGCCCAGCCCAGGAGCTTAGTTTTTAACGCCCCTGAAAATGGGTGGCTCATGCCTGTAATCCTAGTGCTTTGGGAGGCTGAGGTGGGAGGATCACTTGAATCCTAGAGTTCAAGAGCAGCCTAGGCAGCAGAGAGACTCTTTTTTTTTTTTTTTTTTTTTGGAATCAGAGTCTCTGTTGCCCAGGCTGGAGTGCAGTGGCGTGATCTTGGCTCACTGCAGTCTCTGTGTCCTGGGCTCCGGCGATTCTCCTTCCTCAGCCTTCCAAGTAGCTGGGATTACGGGCCCACGCCACCATGCCCAGCTAATTTTTGTATTTTCAGTAGAGACGGTTCACCATGTTGGCCAGGCTGGTCTGGAACTCCTGACTTCAAGTAATCCACCTGCCTCAGCCTCCCAAAGTGCTGGGATTAAACGCATGAGCCATCACACTTGGCCGAGACCCCCACCTCTACAAAAAAGTTTAAAATTAGCTAGACGTGCTGATGAGCACCTGTGGGCCTAGCTACTTGGGAGACTGAGGCAGGAGGATCGCTTGAGCCCAGGAGTTCAAGGCTGCAGTCAGCTATATATGATCATGCCACTGCAACCCAGTCTAGGTGACAGAATGAGACCCTGTGTCAAAAATAATTTAAAAAAATAGGCGGGGCACGGTGGTTCACGCGTGTAATTCCAGCACTTTGGGAGGCCAAGGCGGGCGGATGACAAGGTCGGGAGTTCAAGACCATCCTGGCCAACATAGTGAAACCCCATCGCTACTAAAAATACAATTAGCTGGGTATGGTGGCACGCACCTGTAGTCCCAGCTACTCGTGAGGCTGAGGTGGGAGAATCGCTTGAACCCGGGAGGCGGAGGTTGCAATGAGCTAGACCACACCATTGCACTCCAGCCTGGGTGACAGAGTAAGACTCCATCTCAAAAAAAAAAAACAGCCAGACGCTGTGCCTCACGCCTCTAATCCCAGCACTTTGGGAGGCTGAAGCTGGCGGATCATCTGAGGTCTGGAGTTCGAGACCAGCCTGACCAGCACGGAGAAACCCCGTCTCTACTAAAAATACAAAACTAGCTGGGCATGGTGGCGCATGCCTGTAATTCCAGCTACTTAGGAGGCTGAGGCAGGAAAATCGCTTGAACCCAGGAGGCAGAGGTTGCGGTGAGCCAAGATCACGCCATTGCACTCCAGCCTGGGCAACAAGAGCGAAACTCTGTCTCAAAAAAAAAAAAGAAATTAAATTCTTGGAGTTCTTTAGTACCTGCTTATAGGTCAGTGACACCTGGCCAGCTTTGTTGTTGTTTTTAATAAAATTTTTTTTCTTTCTGTAGACATGGTCTCACTTTATTGCCCAGGCTGTTCTCAAGGAGGCTCAAGTGATCCTCCTTCCTTGGCCTCCCAAAATGCTAGGATTATAGATGTGAGCCACCGTGACCATCCTGTTGATTTTGTTTCTAAGATTTTTCTCTTTTTTTTTTTGCTTTGAGATGGAGTCTTGTTCTGTCGCCCAGGCTGGAGTGCAGTGGTGTGATCTTGGCTCACTGCAACCTCCGTCGCCTGAGTTAAAGTGATTCTCCTGCTGCAGCCTCCCTAGTAGCTGGGATTACTGGCTCATGCCACCATCCCCAGCTAATTTTATATTTTTAGTAGAGACAGGGTTTCAGCATCTTGGCCAGGCTGGTCTTGAACTCCTGACCTTGTAATCCACTCGTCTCAGCCTCCCAAAGTGCTGGGATTAGAGCGGTGAGCGACCATGCCCAGCCTCTGAGATTTTTCTAAGATAAAGCAATTTTACCTGATAATGTGAACGTTTATTTTCAGTGTTACTCTAACTTCATTCCTGTTAACAGTATATACACTGTATTTTCTGAGATTTAATTAAATTTTGTATGTATTTTATGACTTGCTTTTATTCCTTTAGCATTACTTTTAATCCCTTTAGTAATATTTCATGTGATTCTATAATAGTCTGATTTATCACAAAATGGTAATAAATCAGGTATGTCCTATGATTTGCTTTGCCAGTCCACTGTTTGAGAGCATTTGAGTGTTTACAGATTTTAGTTGTTTCAAGCAAGCCACCAGAAGCTTTGAGCAAAGTTTTTTTGGAGTTATGTCTTGGTATTATAGTCTCAAAGATGAAACTATATAAAATAAACTTGAGTTTTGTAGCTCTTGGTACCTGTTGCCAAATTTCACTTAAGATATATGGAATCTAGGCGGTCACTGTGGCTGCCGCCTCCCAACACTATGGGAGGCCAAGGCAGGTGGATCACCTGACGTCAAGAGTTCGAGACCAGCCTGGCAACATGGTGAAAACCTGTCTCTACGAAAATAGAAAAGACCAGGCTGGGTGGCTCACGCCTGTGATCCCAGCACTTTGGGAGCCTGAAGCGGGTGAATCACCTGAGGTCGGGAGTTCTAGATCAGCCTGGCCAACATGGTGAAATCCCATCTCTACTAGAAATACAAAAAAATTACCTGTGGTTGGTGGTGCACTCCTCTAATTCCAGCTGCTCGGGAGGCTGAGGCAGGAAAATCGCTTGAACACGGGAGGCAGAGGTTGCAGTGAGCCAAGGTTGTGCTGCTGCGCTCCAGCCTGGGTGACAGTGAGACTCCATCTCCAAAAAAAAAAAAAACAAAAAAATACAAAAATTACATTGGCACGCACTTGTAATCCCAACTACTTGGTAGGCTGAGGCAGGAGAGTCGCTTGAACCCAGGAAACAGAGGCTGCAGTGAGCCGAGATCATGTGATTACATTTCACCCTGGGTGACAGAGCAAGACTCTGTCTCAAAAAAAAAAAAAAAAAAAATGTTTGATCAATTTATGATGTCTCTCTGAATTTCTCACAAACACTAGGCTTAATAAGTTTCATTTTCTTGGCTAATTTATTATGTTTTTAGGAGTTTAGAAGAAGTTTGTCCATAGGTGAAAAGCTCTTAGGTGAAGAAAGGGAATAGGCAGAGCCGATTTTGCCTGTGGACCTGGGGAACTACCTCTTGTTGGGAAATTTTGTAATGAAAATACCATGCAGCTTACCTGATTGAAACTTTTTACTGAAAGTGATTATATCTATGATTGTCATTAGAAGTATTTTTATTTTTAATTAATTTATTTTGAGTTAGAGTTTTGTTCTTGTTCCCCAGGTTGGAGTGCAATGGCACAGCCTCGGCTCACTGTAACCACCTCCTCCTGGGTTCAAGTGATTCTCCTGCCTCAGCCTCCCAAGTAGCTGGGATTGCAGGTGCCTGCCACCACGCCCAGCTCCTTTTCTTGAATTTTTAGTAGAGATGAGTTTCACCATGTTGGCCAGCCAATCTTGAACTCCTGACCTCAGGTGATCCACCCGCCTTGGCCTCCCAAAGTGCTGGGATTACAGGCATGAGCCACCGTGCCCGGCCAGTATTTTTATTTAAAAATAAAATTTCCCACTCTCCTTTCCAGAATCCATCAGTACTGTATACAAAAGTGTGGCGTTATTTCATACAGAAGTTTCTCCTTTGGTAGTTCTGCTCTTATAAAGCTGAATACATTTTGTTCAGAATATCAAGAAAATTGGGCCGGGCGCCATGGTTCACGCCTGTAATCTCAGCACTTTCGGAGGCCAAGGCAGGCAGATCACTTGAGGTCAGGAGTGCGAGAGCAGCCTGGCCAACATGGTGAAACCCCATCTCTACTAAAAATACAAAAAAATTAGCCAGGCGTGGTGGTGCACGCCTATAATCCCAGCTACTTGGGAGACCGAGGCTGGAGAATCACTTGAACCTGGGAGGCAGAGGTTGCAGTGAGTCAAGACTGCACCATTGCACTCCAGCCTGGGCAAGAAGAGCGAAACTCCATACCAAAAAAAAAAAGCCAGGCGCAGGTCTCACACCTGTAATCCCAGCACTTTGGGAGGCCAAAAAGGGCAGATCACTTGAGGTCAGGAGTTCGAGACCAGCGTGGCCAACATGGTGAAACCCCGTCTCTACTAAAAGTACGAAAATTAGCAGGTCGTGGTGGCGTGCGCCTGTTAATCCTAGCTACTCGGGAGGCTGAGGCAAGAGAATCACCTGAACCCGGGAGGCGGAGGTTGCACTGAGCTGAGATTGTGCCACTGCACTCCAGCCTGGGTGACAGTGTGAGACTCTATCTCAAAAAAAAAAAAAAAATTAGAGACACTATCTAAGAAACGTCCTTGCAAATTTCTCTCTCTTTTCCCCCCCGCTTTTTTTTAGACGGAGTCTCGCCCTGTCACCAGGCTGGAATACAGTGACGTGATCTCAGCTCACTGCAATGTCCACCTTCCGGGTTCAAGCAATTCTCATGCCTCAGCCTCCTGAGTAGCTGGGATTACAGGCGCGCACCACCACAGCCAGCTAATTTTTTGTTTTTAGTAGAGGTGGGATTTCACCATGTTGGCCAGGATAGTCTTGATCTGACCTCGTGATCCACCTGCCTCAGCCTCCCAAAGTGCTGGCATTACAGGCATGAGCCACCATGCCTGTCCACAAACGTCCATGTAAATATCTTTCTTACCAGTTTAAAATACTATTGTGATCAGGTGAGGTGGCTCACACCTATATTTTGTGGTCAGACGAGGTGGCTCACACCTGTAATGTCAGCACTTTGGGAGGCTCAGGCAGGGGATTGCTTGAGCTCAGGAATTCAAGACCAAACTGAGCAACAGATTGAAACCTTTTGTGTGCTTAAAAAATGCCAAGTGTGGTGGCGTAGGCCTGTAGTCCTAGCTACATGGGAGACTGAGGCAGGAGGATGGCTTGTGACCAGGAGTTCGAGATGAGCCTAGGCAACATGGCAAAACCCCGTCTCTACCAAAGTTAGCCAGGCGCAGTGGTGCGCATCTCTAGTCCCAGCTACACAGGAGCCTGATTGAGGTGGGAAGATTGGTTGAGCTCAGGAGGTCAAGGCTGCAGTGAGCTGTGATCGCACCAGTTCACTTGTGCCAGAGTGAGACCCTGTCTCAAAAAAAAGAAATGAAAAATTTTGCCTAACATTTTGGGAAGTCAAGGCAGGAAGATCACATGAGGACAGGATGAGACCAGCCTAGGCAACATAGGAGATTCCATCTCTGCATAAAATAAAAAATAAAATAAATTAGCCAGGCATGGTGGGTTGTGACTCTAGTCATCCACTCAGGATGCTGAGGCAAGAGAATCATTTGAGGCCAGGAGTTTGAGGATGTAGTGATCCACTGCTTCTGCCTTGGCAATAGAGCAAGACCGTATCTCTTACATATATACATAAACAAATCAAACTTTAGAAATTGATGTTTAGAGGCTATGTGTGGTGGCTCATGCCTGTAGTCCCAGCACTTTGGGAGGCCGAGGTGGGCAGATCACTTGAGGTCAGGAGTCCAAGAGCAGCTAGGCCAACATAGCGAAACCCCATCTCTACTAAAAATGCAAACATTACCCAGGTGTGGTGGTGCACACCTGTAATCCCAGCTACTCGGGAGGCTGAGGCAGGAGAATCGCATGAACCCTGGAGGTGGAGGTTGCAATGAGCCAAGATTGCGCCACTGCACTTCAGCCTGGGCAACAGAGCAAGACTCCGTCTCAGCCGGGTGCGGTGGCTCACGCCTATAATCCCAGCACTTTGGGAGGCCGAGGTGGGCGGGTCACGAGGTCAGGAGATCAAGACCATCCTGGCTAACACGGTGAAACCCCATCTCTACTAAAAATACAAAAAAATTAGCCGGGCGTGGCGGGCGCCTGTAGTCCCAGCTACTCAGGAGGCTGAGGCAGGAGAATGGCGTGAACCTGAGAGGCAGAGCTTGTAGTGAGCGGAGCCACTGCACTCCAGCCTGGGGGACAGAGCGAGACTCCATCTCAAAATAAAATTGCTATTTAAGAACTTACCTACATATGCTGGAAAGGATGTGGAGAAATAGGAACGCTTTTATGCTGTTAGTGGGAGTGTAAACTAGTTCAACCATTGTGGAAGACAGTGTGGTGATTCCTCAAGGATCTAGAACTAGAAATACCATTTGACCCAGCGATCCCATTACTGGGTATATACCCAAAGGATTATAAATCATGCTGCTATAAAGACACATGCACACGTTATGTTTACTGCAGCACTATTCACAATAGCAAAGACTTGGAACCAACCCGAATGTCCATCAATGATAGACTGGATTAAGAAAATGTGGCACATATACACCATAGAATACTATGCAGCCATAAAAAAGGATGAGTTCATGTCCTTTGTAGGGACATGGATGAAGCTGGAAACCATCATTCTGAGCAAACTATCGCAAGGACAGAAAACCAAACACCACATATTCTCACTCATAGGTAGGAATTGAACAATGAGAACATTTGGACACAGGGTGGGGAACATCACACACCGGGGCCTGTCATGGGGTCGGGGGTGGGGGAGGGATAGCATTAAGAGAAATACCTAATGTTAATGATGAGTTAATGGGTGCAGCACACCAACATAGTACATGTATACATATGTAATAAACCTGCACCATTGTGCACATGTACCTTAGAACTTAAAGTATAACAACAACAACAAAAAACTTAACCTACATACAGAAAGAAAAAAATGAAGGCAGGAATTACGATACTAAGGCACTGAATATGAACTCCTACATGATTAATGGAACAATTTATGTTTACTTTTAGGTGACCTTTGAGTTTATGTATGGGATGTATGACACACAAAACTAGATTTAACTTTCGATAAATCTGTTCATTTACCAACTTTTTAGTGAGCGTAGAATGTGTCAGCGCTGTGAAATTTAATATAAGTAATAGCTGGAAAAGTCTAGCTAGAATTTAACATTTTATGTGTTTATAATACATATAATAATACTCTATGTATTATATTGTTAATTGTAATCTTGGAGTAGCCACAGATGATCCAAAAGGAAATGGCATAGCAGCATTACAGAGGCCATACCTGATACCACTTAAATTTGAGGAAGACATTGATCATTGGTTTTAGCCATGTTGAGCCCCATTTTTAATTCCTGTCACTTCATGTTTTTAATTTCTGTCACTTCCTATTTGAGGAATAATCATTGATTAAAAGCTTCGTTTTTAACTTTGAAAGTCTTTATTTCTTTAGTTTTTGAAAGTCTTTGTTTCAGCTGCTACACTGTAATTGGCTCAGTTTGAAGTAAACACTTTAATCACCAAATTCTAAAATCAAGATATACTATCTATGAACAATTTGGAAAGAGAGTGAGATTGAATAATTGATTGAAATAACTATGCAGATTAATTTTCTTGTTCTCGATTTTTTTTGTTTTTGTTTTTTTTTTGGAGACATGGTCAGTCTCACTTTGTCACCCTGGCTGGAGTACAGTGGAGATGTTTCGGCTTAATGCAGCCTCAACCTCCTGGGCTCAAGCTATCCTTGCACCTCAGCCGTATGCTCGGCTAAATTTTTATTCTTTTTCCTTTTCCCTTTTTTTTTTTTTTGTTTTTGTTTTTATGGGATAGACAAGGTCTCACTATGTTTTCGAGGCTGGTCTCAGATTCTGGGCTCAAATGATCTTCCTGCCTCAGATCCTCCCGAAGAAGTTGGGTCTGTAGACATAAGCTGTGTTGCCTGGCTCATAGATCAACATGTTTTTTTATTTTTTATTTTATTTATTTATTTATTTTGAGACGGATTTTCACTGTTGTTGCCCAGGCTGGAGTGCAGTGGCGTGATCTCAGCTCACCGCAACCTCCGCCTCCCGAGTTCAAGCAATTTTTCTGCTTCAGCCTCCTGAGTAGCTGGGATTACAGGCATGTGCCACCACACCTGGATAATTTTGTATTTTTAGTAGAGACAGGGTTTCTCCATGTTGGTCAGGCTGGTCTTGAACTCCTGACTTCAGGTGATCTGCCCGCCTCAGCCTCCCAAAGTGCTGGGATTACAGGTGTGAGCCACCATGCCCAGCCCAGATCAATTTTTTTTTTTTTTTTTTAACCCCCGGAGACAGAGTCTTACTCTTTTGCCCAGGGTGGAGTGCAGTGGCGTGATCTTGGCTCACTGCAACCTCTGCCTCCCAGGTTCAAGCACTTCTCCTGCCTCACTAGCTGGGACTACAGGCACGTGCTACCAGGCCTGGCTAATTTTTTGTATTTTTAATAGAGATGGGGTTTCACCATGTTGCCCAGGCTGGTCTCAAAACGCCTGACCTCATGATCCACCCACCTCGGCCTCCCAAAGTGCTGGGATTACAGGCGTTGAGCCACTGCACCAGGCCTATAGATCAATTTTTATTAGCTTTAACCATACGATGTAATTTATTCTTCTGTGGTAGTTCAGTGATTATTAGTTTTGCGGTTATGTTCTAATCTGTAAGTAAGTTTAAAAAAAACATGTTATACTTCCGCTTTAGATGCTTCTTAGGACATATTGACATTGTTGTTACAAATACTGTTTACCTTTTTGTTTCTAGGCGGTCTATGCTTGCTTGGTGCTTATGCTGACAGTGATGACGATGACAATGATGTTTCCGAAAAACTAGCACAATCCAAAGAGACAAATGGAAACCAGTCAACTGATATTGATAGTACATTGGCCAACTTCCTAGCGGTTAGTGGTGCTTTCGTTTGGAGTTTTAGTTACTGAAGCTACTTTGGGACCTGGATCTTAAGTGGTCAGCGTACTTGTCAGTTCAATGTCTTCCTCCTCCTTTCTCCCTCTCCCTCCAACACTCTCTTGTATTTCTCCCGATCTCTATCTCTCTTTTTGTTTTGTTTTGTTTAACTTTAAGAGATGGGGTCTCACTGTGTTGCTCAGGCTGGTCTTGAACTCTTGGGCTGAAGCGATCCTCCCACCTCGGCCTTCCAAAGTGCTGGGATTATAGGTGTGAGCCATCACACCTGGCTGTCTCTCCTTTTTTTTTTTTTTCTTGAGATAGAATCTCACTCTGTTGCCCAGTCTCGAGTGCAGCGGTACGATCTCGCCTCACCGCAACCTGTCTCCTGGGTTCAAGTAGCTGAGGCTACAGGTATGTGCACCCGAGTAGCTGGGGCTACAGGTATGTGCCACCACACCCAGCTGATTTTTGTATTTTTGGTAGAGACGGGGTTTCACCATGTTGGCCAGGCTGGTCTCAAACTCCTGACCTCAGGTGATCAACCCACCTCGGCCTTCCAAAGTGTTGGGATTACAAGCGTGAGCCACCACCTCCCTTTTCTTTTTGTAAAGCTTTCAAAGAGAAGAAAGGCAAATTAGAAGAGACTGGGGAGCTTGTATAATTGGAAGATGAGGGTTTTGATTTGAGAAGCTTAGAATGAGTATCTAGAATTTTTTTTTTCTCCCTCGAGACTGGGTCTTACTGTCACCCAGGCTGAAATGTGGTGGCGTGATGTTGGCCCACTGCAACCTCTGCCACCCAGGTTCAAGTAATTCTCCCACCTCAGCCTCTTGAGTAGCTGGGATTACAGGCATGTGCCACCACGCCCGATAATAATTGTATTCTTTTTTTTTTGTTTTTTGTTTTTTTTGAGACAGAGTCTTGCTCTTTCACCCAGGTTGGAATGCAGTAGCGTGATCTCGGCTCACTGCAATCCCCGCCTCCCAGATTCAAGCAATTCTAGTGCCTCAGCCTCCCAAGTAGCTGAGATTACAGGTGCCCACCACCACATCCAGCTAATTTTTGTATTTTTAGTAGAGACAAGTTTTCACCATATTGGCCAGGCTGGTTTTGAACTTCTGACCTCAGGTGATCCGCCCGCCTTGGCCGCCCAGAATGCTGGGATTACAGGCGTGAGCCACCGTGCCCAGCCTAATTTTTTTTATTTTTAGTAGAGGGAGATTTCACCATGTTGGCCAGCCTGGTCTCGAATTCCTGACCTCAAGTGATCCACCTGTCTCAGCCTCCCAAAGTGCTGGAACTGTAGGTGTGAGCCACTGTGCCCGGCTCATGTAGAATTTTTAAAAAGTGATTGCCATTTCCTTAAGTTTCTTGTTTTTGATATAATTACTGCATTTGTTACTCTTTTCATACTGAAGGAGATCGATGCCATAACAGCTCCTCAGCCTGCAGCTCCTGTAGGAGCTTCTGCTCCACCTCCAACTCCACCTCGACCAGAGCCAAAGGAAGCAGCAACATCTACCCTTTCTTCTTCTACTTCAAATGGAACAGACTCCACCCAAACATCTGGTTGGCAATATGATACTCAGTGTTCACTGGCAGGAGGTAAACTTGATCCTTTGATTTTTAAAGAAAAGTAAAATCCTTAAAGGGATTCTAGGCATTCACTTTTCTGGTTTTTTGTTTGTTTGTTTGTTTGTTTGTTTTGAGATGGAATCTCGCTCTGTCGCCCAGGCTGGAGTGCACTGGCGCGATCTTGGCTCGCTCCAACCTCCACCTCCTGGGTTCAGACAGTTCTCCTCCCTCAGCCTCCTGAGTAACTGGGACTACAGGCGCACACTGCCATGCCTGGCTAATTTCTCTTTTGTATTTTAGTAGAGACGTGGTTTCACTGTGTTGCCCAAGGCTGGTCTCGAACTCCTGAGCTTAGGAAATCAGCCTGCCTTGGCCTCCCACAGTGCTAGGATTACAGGTGTGAGCCATCGCTCCCGGCTGGCATTCAGTTTTCTAAAGATGAAAGCCCAGAGACTTTAACCTTAGACTTTAGGATTCTGTCTTTTTATTTTTATTTATTTAATTGTTTTTTTTTTTTTTTGAGACTGAGTTTCACCCTTGTTGCCCAGGCTGGAGTGCAGTGATGCGATCTCGGCTCACTGCAACCTCCGCCTCCCAGGTTCAACCAATTCTTCTGCCTCAGTCTCCTGAGCAGCTGGGATTACAGGCACCCACCACCACGCCCAGCAAATTTTTTGTATTTTTAGTAGAGATGGGGTTTCACGATGTTGGCAAAGCTGGTCTCGAACTCCTGACCTCGGGGGATCCACCTGCCTCGGCCTCCCAAGGTGCTGTGATTACAGGTTTGAGCCACCGCGCCCAACCTCTGTCTTTTTAAATAAAGCATGTTGAAGATGGTAGGTAGGATAGTCGGCTCAGAAAACTAGTAGGATGTAATTTTTATCTTTTAAAAAGTAATTGCTTGTCCTTGCCAGTTGAATAAGAAAAGCCATGATATTCAAAGTATTTTAGGTACATTTTTGGACCAGCAAACTGCTTTTTTCTATTTACTAATTTAGAGGTGGAGTTTTGCTCATGTTGCCCAGGCTGGAGTGCAATGGTGCAATCTTGGCTCATCGCAGCCTTTGCCTCCCGAGTTCAAGCAATTCTCCTGCCTCAGCCTCCCGAGTAGCTGGGATTACAGGCACGCACCACCACGCCCAATTTTTGTATTTTTAGTAGAGACAGGGTTTCTGCATGTTGATCAGGCTGGTCTCAAACTCCCGACCTTAGGTGATCTGCCCACCTTGGCCTCCCAAATGCTGGGATTACAGGCATGAGCCACTGTAGCCGGCCAAACTGTTTTTTTTTAAAAAATGTGTTCAAAGGTGACTCTAAATGTTAGATATTGAGAAAATAATTCTTGGTGTTAGGCCAGTGGTTCTCAACCAGTGTTGGGGGGTGCCCCTAGGGGATATTTGACAATGTCTGTCAAATATTTTTTATTGTCACAATGTAGGAGGCAGGGTGGATGGGAGTGCTACTGTATCTAGTGGGCAGAGGCCAGGGGTGCTGCTAAAACCTCCACATAGGATTGCCCCTCCACAACAAAGACCTGTGTGCCCAAAAGTTAACAGTGCTGTTTTGAGAAACTGTTAGGTGATTTTGGCTTTTGAGCTTATATGTAAGCCAGAATTGTAGAGGGATTTGTGCTTAAAATTTGTTTTATCTTCTAGTCGGAATTGAGATGGGCGATTGGCAGGAAGTCTGGGATGAGAACACGGGATGTTATTATTATTGGAATACACAAACAAATGAAGTGACTTGGGAGTTACCCCAATATCTTGCCACACAGGTACAGGGATTACAGCATTACCAGCCCAGGTAAGAATAAATTTAAAAGTGAAATTGCCTAGAAGGAAATTGAAGCCTTATCTTTTGCTGATAGTATTTGTCTTATATTTCTCTTGCTAAGTATATATTTTTTTAGTTCTGTGCCAGGTGCTGAAACTAGTTTTGTGGTAAATACAGACATATATTCTAAGGAGAAAACGATTTCTGTTTCCAGTAGTAAAAGTGGACCAGTCATAGCCAAGCGAGAAGTTAAAAAGGTCAGTGTCGAAACTTACCTCATTTGTTTATTTTCAGATCTAATAAGCGTTACTCTGAGCACAGGAGTGGAAGCCTTCTCTTAATATTTTATGTCATACATGTGAAATAGGATAAGTTTCATAACTTTCACTTTGTTTCTGTGTATTATGTAGCCTTTATAGCGGTTACTCACTTGACTTTTTCTTTTTTCTTTTTTCTTTTTTTTTTTTTTTTTTTTTTTTTTTTTGAGACAGAGTCTCGCCCCGTCACCCAGGCTGGAGTACAGTGGTGCGATCTCAGCTGACTGCAAGCTCCACCTCCCGGGTTCACACCATTCTCCTGCCTCAGCCTCCTGAGTCGCTGGGATTACAAGCACCCGCTACCACACCTGGCTTATTTTTTGTATTTTTAGTGGAGACGGTGTTTCACTGTGTTAGCCAGGATGGTCTCGATCTCCTGACCTCATGATCCGCCTGCCTTGGCCTCCCAGAGTGCTGGGATTACAAGCGTGAGCCACCACATCTGGCCTTTTTTTTTTTTTTTTTTTTTTTTTTGATATGGAGTCTCGCTCTGTTGCCCAGGCTGGAGCGCAGTGGTGCTGTCTCAGCTCACTGCAACCTCTGCCTCCCAGGCTCAAGAAGTGATTCTCCTGCCTCAGCCTTCTGAGTAGCTGGCATTACAGGCACCTGCCACCATGCCTGGCTAATTTTTGTATTTTTATTAGAGGCAGGGTTTCACCATGTTGGTCAGGCTGGTCTCAAACTCCTGACCTCAGGTGATCTACCTGCCTCAGCCTCCCAACGTGCTGAGATTACAGGCATGAGCCACTGCAGCTGGCCCACTTCACTTTTTCTTTGAGAGCTTTAGGGTATCACAGAGGCCTCTTGGATCATTGCAAAGGACGTGGGAGCAGCAGTCCAGACAGGGCTCCACTTCACATAGAATCATTCTATTATTTTTCGGATTCCATATATAAGACATTTTAAAAATATAAAGGTAACTACTTTAAAAACTACTGCAGGTTGAGTATTTCTTAATTGAAATGCCTGGGATCGGAGATAATTTAGATTTTGAATTTTTTTGAATTCTGAAATATTTGCGTTATACTTAGCAGTTGAGTATTCTTAATCTGAAAATGTGAAATCTGAGATGCTCCAGTGAGCATTTCCTTTGATCATCATGTCAGTGCTCAAACGGTTTCAGATTTTGGATTTTTCAATAACGGATACTATGTTAGTGAAACCTGAGCATTTCTATAGCCTAATTAGTAAGAAAAGTAAGTTGTATTCCTTAGGGAGTGTATATTGAATTCCAATTTATCTTCAATTTTAAAGACTTTTTTGCATCAAAATATATTTTAATTTTAATTTTTTTCTTTTTGAGACAGAGTCTTGCTTGGTTACCCAGGCTGGAAGGGAGTGGCGCGATTTCAGCTCATTGCATCCTCCGCCTCCCAGTTTCAAGCAATTCTGCCTCAACTTCCCGAGTAGCTTGGATTACAGGCACAACGCCTGACTAATTTTTCTATTTTTTTTTAGTAGAGACGAGGTTTCACCAGTTGGTCAAGCTGGTCTTGAACTCCTGACCTCAAGTGATCCACCTGCCTCAGACGCTGGGATTACAGGCACAAGCCACCGCACCTTTCCTTTTTATTTACTTATTTTTGAGACAGGATCTGACTCTGTCACCCAGGCTAGAGTACAGTGGCACGACCATGGCTCACTGCAGATTTACTCTCCTGAGCTCAAGCAGTCCTGCCTCAGACTGCTTAGTAGCTGGGACTACAGGTGTGCACCACCATGCCAGGTTTTGTTTGTTTGTTTGTTTGTTTGTTTGTTTTTTGAGAGACGTGGTCTCACCATGTTTGCCAGACAGGTCTCAAACTCTGAGCTCAAGTGATGCTTCTGCCTCGGCCTCCCAAATTGCTTACATTATAGGTGTGAGCTACTGCATGTAGCCCAAAAAAAATACTTTAAAATAATATAATTGAGCTTGGCGCAGTGGCTCACACCTGTAATCCCAGCACTTCGAGAGGTCAAGGCAGGCGGATCACTTGAGGTTAGGAGTTCAAGACCAGCCTGGCCAACATGGTAAAACCCCGTCTATTAAAAATACTAAAATAACTGGGTGTAGTGGCACATGCTTGTAGTCCCAGCTACTTGGGGGTCTGAGGCAGGAGAATCGCTTGAATCTGGGAGGCAGAGGTTGCAATGAGCTGAGACCGCACCACTGCACTCCAGCCTGGGTGACAGAGTGAGACTCCATCTCAAAAAAAAATTTAATAATAATAATAAAATAATAATTTAATCAGGGCAGGAAGATGGCTTGAGTGCAGGAGTTCTAAACCAGCCTGGAAAACATAACAAGATCAACCCCATCTCTACAAAAGAAAAATTACCCAGGCAAGGTAGCACACACCTGTAGTCCCAGCTACTCAGGAGGCAGAGGCAAGAGGATAGCTTGAGCCCAGGAGTTCAAAATTATCATTGTGCCAGTGTGTTCCAGCCTGGACAGAGTGAGACCATCCAGAAATAATAATAATAACTTAAATTTACAGTTACAGAAAGGAGGATAGGACAAGTGTTACCCCAATGGGAGAAGCAGATACTTTAATCACAAATTTCATTTCAGGAATAGTTCATTTTATTTTATTTTATTTTATTTTTATTTTTTATTTTTATTATTTTTTTTTTCTTTGAGACCTAGCCTAGCTCTGTCACCCAGGCTGGAGTGCAGTGGCGCGATCTCTGCTCACTGCAACCTCCACCCCCCGGGTTCAAGCGATTCTCCTGCCTCAGCCTCCCGAGTAGCTGGGAGTACAGGCGCCTGTCCCACGCCCGGCTAATTTTTGTAGTTTAGTAGAGACGGGGTTTCACCATATTGGCCAGGCTGATCTCGAACTCCTGACCATGTGATCCTCCCACCTTGGCCTCCCAAAGTGCTGGGATTACGGGCATGAGCCACCACGCCCAGCTATTTTATTTTTTTGAGACAGTCTCTCACACTGTCATCCGAGCTGGAGTACAGTGGCATGATCTCAGTTCACTGCAACCTCTGCCTCCCAGGTTCAAGCGATTCTTCTGCCTCAGCCTCCCGAATAGCTGGGATTACAGGCGCACGCCGCCATGCCGGGCTAATTTCTGTATTTTTAGCAGAGATGGGGTTTCACTATGTTGGCCAGGCTGGTCTCAAACTCCTGACCTTGTGATCCGCCTGCCTTGGCCTCCCAAAGTGCTGGAATTACAGGCATGAGCCACTGCGCCCGGCCTAGGAATAGTTCACTTTAGTCTAAATCACCTTCATGGCATACTTACTAAATTTTCTTATCAGGCCCAGCATGGTGGCTCACGCCTGTAATCCCAGCACTTTCGGAGGCTGAGGTGGGCAGATCACCTGAGGTCAGGAGTTCAAGATCAACTTGGCCAACCTGGTAAAACCCTGTCTCTACTAAAAATACAAAAATTGGGCCTGTTGCCAAGGTGGGCGGATCACCTGAGGTCAGGAGTTCGAGACCAGCCTGGCCAACGTGGTGAAACCCTGTGTCTACTAAAAGTACAAAAAAAATTAGCCAGGCTTGGTGGCTCTCGCCTATAATCCCAGCTGCTCAGGAGGCTGAGGCAGGGAAATTGCTTGAACCCGGGAGGCAGACGTTGCAGTGAGCCGACATCACACTTTGCACTCCAGCCTGGGCAAGAAGAGCGAGAGTTCGTCTCAAAAACAGAAACAAAAATGAGCTGGGTGTAGTGGTGCATCCCTGTAATCCCAGCTACTTGGGAGGCTAAGGCTGTGAGGCTGGGAATCGCTGGAACCTGGGAGGCAGAGGTTGCAGTGACTTGAGATCACGCAATTGCACTCCTGGGCAACAGAGTGAGACTCTCTCAAAAAAAAAAATTTCTCATCATACAGAAGAAGGTAAAGATTTATCCAGTCATGTTATGAGCTGACAAAATACTGATCTTAAATCTATCTCTGTTTACTACTAGTCTGCCTTTTGACATCCTGAGAATAGCAGGGAGGATATATTTGAATCCTACCTAGAACTAGGCTCTCATTCAGTCAGTGTCTGTCTAAAGTAATAATGTAATGGTATAAATATATACTCACCTGTTGGGAGTAAGTGGTTTTGGCCGGGCACGGTGGCTCACACCTGTAATCCCAGCACTTTGGGAGGCTGAGGTGGGCAAATCACAAGGTCAGTAGTTTGAGACCAGCCTGGCCAACGTGGTGAAAGGCCTCTACTAAAAATACAAAAAATTAGCTGGGCATGGTGGCGGGCGCCTGTAATCCCAGCTACTTGGGAGGCTGAGACAGGAGAATAGCTTGAACCTGGGAGGCAGAGGTTGCAGTGAGCCAAGATTGTGCCACTGCACTCCAGCCTGGGTGACAGTGCGAGACTCCATCTCAAAAAAAAAAAAAGTCGTTTTTACCTTGAGTATTCAGCTACTGAAAACAGTTAATATGAATGTGTGTGCAATTGAATGTATGTGCAGGTGAGATTTGTTTCAGAATTAAATGAGACTAAATTATTTTGTTCTTTATAGGAAGTAAATGAAGGAATTCAGGCTCTCTCAAATAGTGAGGAGGAGAAGAAAGGGGTGGCAGCATCGCTGCTTGCTCCTTTATTGCCTGAGGGAATAAAAGAAGAAGAAGAGAGATGGAGAAGAAAAGTAATTTGTAAAGAGGAGCCAGTTTCAGAAGTAAAAGAAACAAGTACAACAGTAGAAGAAGCAACAACAATAGTAAAGCCACAGGAAATTATGTTGGACAATATAGAAGACCCTTCTCAGGAGGATCTTTGCAGTGTTGTCCAATCTGGAGAAAGTGAGGAGGAAGAGGAACAAGATACCCTTGAACTGGAGCTAGTTTTGGAAAGGAAAAAAGTAAGCTTTTGAAAGTTACTTGTAGAATGTTTTTTCCTCAGTACTACTCTACAGGGATCATTGTGCTTGACTTACAACCATTATTGGGATTTTGTTTTTCTTATCCCATCATCTAGGTATGTTGAAGCTTATGCAGCAAAAACTTTAAACTACAGAGGTGTAGGTTTTTTGGTCCTTGATGATACTTTTGGTAGTTATCGGGGGAACTCACCCCCAATATTTCAACCTAGGTTCTTTCTATTTTCCATAAGTGTCGGCCAGCTGAGAAATAGAAAGAGTATAATGAGAGGAATTTTACAGCTGGGCCGCCGGGGGTGACATCACATATCGGTAGGACTATGATGCCCACCCGAGCCTCAAACCAGCAAGTTTTTTATTAAGGGTTTCAAAAGGGGAGGAGGTGTAAGAACAGGGAGTAGATCATGTGCTTCAAAGGGCAAAAAGGTACTGATAAGGGTCTATGTTCAGCGGTGCACATGTTGTCTTGATAAACATCTTAAACAACAGAAAACAGGGTTCAAGAGCAGAGAATCAGTCTGACCACAGACTTACCAGGGCCGGGTTTTTCCCCACCCTAATAAGCCTGAGGGTACTTCAGGAGACCAGGGCGTATCTCAGTCCTTATCTCAACCGCATAGGACAGACATTCCCAGAGCGGCAGTTTATAGACCTACCCCCAGGAATGCATTCCTTCCCCAGGATATTAATATTAATATTCCTTGCTAGGAAAAGAATTTAGCGATATCTTCCCTACTTGCATGTCCATTTATGGGCTCTATGCAAGAAGAAAAATATGGCTCTTTTTGCCTGACCCTGCAGGCAGTGAGACCTTATGGTTTTCTTCCCTTGTTCCCTAAAAATCACTGTTACTCTGTTCTTTTTCAAGGTGCACTGATTTCATACTGTTCAAACACGTTTTACAATCAATTTGTACAGTTAACACAATTATCACAGTGGTCCTGAGGTGATGTACATCCTCAGCTTACTAAGATAACAGGATTAAGAGATTAAAGTAAGAAAGGCATAAGAAATTGTAAAAGTGTTATTTGGGAATTGATAAATGTCCATATTAAAATGAAATCTTCACAATTTATGTTCCTCTGCCATGGCTTCAGCTGGTCCTTCCATTCAGGATCCCTGACTTCCCACAACAGGTAGTTGATAATCAATAAAGAGACTTGACATTACTCAGACTTATACAAATGGGTACCAGAAAAAAACCAGAAAGAATGAATAAGACCTACTATTTGATAGCACAGTAGGGTGACTAGTCAATAATAACTGTATATTATAAAATAACTTTAAAGAATGAAGTTGGATTATTTGTAACTCAAAGGATAAATGCTTGAGGGGATGGTTATCCCATTCTCCATGATGTGCTTATTTCACATTGCATACCTGTGTCAAAACATCTCATGTATCCCATAAATATATACACTTACTATGTACCCACAAAAAAATGGGCAAAATTAAAAAATAAAAATAGAGTGAGTAGGCCGAGTGCAGTGGCTCATGCCTGTAATCCCAGGACTTTGGGAGGCTGAGCAGGAGATCACTTGAGCCCAGAAGTTGAGACCAATGTGAGCAACATACCCAGATATCATCTCTTACTAGAAAAAAAAAGTATGATGACATGTGCCTGTAGTTCCAGCTACTTGGAAGGGTGAGGTGGGAGGATTGCTTGAGCTCAGAAGGTTGTAGCTACAGCGAGCCATGATCATGCCACTGCACTCCAACCTGGGCAACAGAGGGAGAGCCTGTCTCCAAAAAAAAAAAAGTGCTTTCTGTTCTCAAAGAATTTAAATTTCAACAACATAGTCTTGTTTATTATTCTGATTATACATATTAATAAGCAGTTAATGACACTAACTTAATTGTCATGTTCTTTGTAGGCAGAGTTGCGAGCCTTGGAGGAAGGAGATGGTAGTGTGTCAGGGTCTAGTCCACGTTCTGATATCAGCCAGCCAGCATCTCAAGATGGAATGCGTAGGCTTATGTCTAAAAGAGGAAAATGGAAGATGTTTGTTCGAGCTACCAGTCCAGAATCTACCAGTAGGAGTTCTAGTAAAACTGGACGAGATACTCCAGAAAATGGAGAAACTGGTAATTTGTGCTTCACATTAAACTTCAGAGTTGAAAGATATAGAGGGGAAGGAAACTCTTGTCTTTTTTTGTTTCCTCTTCAACAAAACAGGAGATTGTACTTTTACTCTTTGGGAGAAGTGCTGGGAAGGAAGCTTCCAT
The DNA here is from genome assembly GCF_000001405.40 of Homo sapiens. Taxonomy (NCBI): domain Eukaryota; kingdom Metazoa; phylum Chordata; class Mammalia; order Primates; family Hominidae; genus Homo; species Homo sapiens. The sequence goes on along the minus strand of NC_000011.10, from coordinate 47,743,811 downwards.
CCACCTCTCTACCTTTTCCAGATCTTTTTCTAGTAGAGGAGTAAGAGCCTGAGAGGCTGACACCCACTGGATGGTGGTGTATTCAGAGTCCAGTCCCATTTCTTCTCTCTGTCTACGTTGCCCAGCCTCTGTGTGGGTGGGTAGAGAGTTTGATTGTGTCATGAGGACCCAAGTTGTCTTCATTCAGGTAATAAGGACCTTATCATTCATTCATGGTAAGGTCGAAGAGCTCCTGCTGCATTTTTTAATCTATTTTCAGAGATCCCTGGATGAAGCTAATATTTTAATCTCCATTTGGCCCTAATTATTTTTTTTTCTTTTCCTTTTTGAGACGGAGGTCTCACTCTGTCACCCAGGCTGGAGTACAAAGGCATGATCTTGGCTCACTGCAACCTCCGCCTCCCAGATTCAAGCAATTCTCTTACCTCAGCCTCCCGAGTAGCTGGGATTATAGGTGCCTGCCACCGCGCCTGGCTATTTTTTGTATTTTTAGTAGAGACGGAGTTTCGCCATGTTGGCCAGGCTGATCTCGAACTCCTGATCTCAGTTGATCCGCCCGCCTCCCAAAGTGCTGGGATTACAGGCGTGAGCCACCGCTTTCAGCTGTGGCCCTAATTCTGTAGTGGAAAGTCAGCAGTAAGATAAGGACGCCAAACCTTAGTTGAGTACACCTAGAAGAAAATACTTTTATGGATCGTGGTTCAAAAACAGCCCAGTGCTGCTTCACAGGAAACTGAGGCAGAAGGATCCCTGGACCCTAGGAGTTCCAGGCTAGCTGGGCAACATAGCAAGACCCTTGTTTCTTGATAAAAGAAAAAAAAGAAACAAAGAACCAAACAAAAAAAAAACAACAATACAGGTGTTAAATAAAGAAAGACATCCTTGTTTGAATTTTTTCTTTTCTTTTTATTTATATTTTTTGAGACGGAGTTTCACTCTTGTTGCCCAGGCTGGAGTGCAATGGTGCAGTCTTGGCTCACTGCAACCTGTGCCTCCTGGGTTCAAGTGATTCTGCTGCCTCAGCCTCCTGAGTAGCTGGGATTACAGGCGCCCGTCACCACGCCCAGCTAATTTTTTGTATTTTTCAGTAGAGATGGGGTTTCACCATGTTGGCAAGGCTGGTCTCGAACTCCTGACCTCAGGTGACCTGCCCACCTTAGCCTTGCAAGGTGCTGGGATTACAGGCATGAGCCAGCACCCCTAGCCTGAATTTTTTCTTTTCAGTTGGCAGTTCGAAATAACATAAAGGAAAATTCTGTAAATCCTCTTTATCTTTTCATTATTCTCATTCCCTACCCCGTGGTCCTTTTTTTTTTTTTTTTTTTTTTTTTTTTGAGACGGAGTCTTGCTCTGTCCCCCAGCCTGGAGTGCAGTGGTACGATCTCTGCTCACTGGAACCTCCACCTCCCGGGGTCAAGCAATTCTCTGCCTCAGCCTCCTGAGTAGCTGGGATTACAGGCGCCTGCTACCATGCCCAGCTAGTTTTTGTGTTGTTAGTGGAAATGGGATTTCACCATGTTGGCCAGGCTGGTCTCAAACATCTGATCTTAGGTGATCTGCCCACCTTGGCCTCCCAAAGCAGTGGGAGTACAGGCATGTAATCCCAGCTGTGCCCAGCTATTTTCTCTGTCCTTTATAAACATATATCCTTCCAGACCATGTTCTTTATATACGTTTACAGTTAGGTATGTATGAGTGTGTTTATGTGTATATATGTAAATTTTACCATATATGAGAGCATATAGATTATTAGGCAACATACAGTTTTCACTTAACAACGTGCCTTAAAAATTATTGTTCATTGGTTAAAACTGAGTGGTGTAGATGTGCGTATTTAACTCTGCCCACTGTTGATGGACATTTAAATTGTGTCCATGTTTCACTAAAAAAAATTGCTGCATTTGTGCTATGAAAAAAAACCCTATAGAGCACTCAAATGTCCATTAGAGGTATCATAGATAAATTGTGGTGCATTCTTTATTTTTTTATTTTTTTTTGAGACGGAGTCTTACTCTGTCGCCCAGGCTGGAGTGCAGTGGATGATCTTAGCTCACTGCAACCTCCACCCTCCGAGTTCAAGCGATTCCCCGGCCTCAGCCGCCCGAGTAGCTGGGATTACAGGCGCCTGCCACTGCGCCTGACTAATTTTTGTATTTTTAGTAGAGATGGGGTTTCACCATCTTGGCCAGGCTGTTCTTGAACTCCTGACCTTGTGATCCACCCGCCTCAGCCTCCCAAAGTGCTGGGATTACAGGCGTGAGCCACTGCGACCAGCCCTGTGGTATATTCTTAGAAAGGAATACTAAGCAGCAGTGACAAAGTGAACATACCATAGTTATGTGCATCAATGTGGCTTAATCATAGAAACAATAATATTTACTTTCGGAGGGCAAAGCGGAAAGATCATTTGAGGCCAGGAGTCAAGACCAGCCTGGACAATATAGCAAGACACTGTCTCTAAAATGTTTTTTAAAAATTAGCCAGTGTGGTGGCACACGGATATAATCCCAGCTACTCAGGATGTTGAGGGAGGAAGATAGCTTGAGCCCAGGAGTTCGAGGCTGCAGTGAGCTATGATTACACCACTACAGTCCATCCTGAGTGACAGAGCAAGACCCTGCCTCAAAAGAAAAAGAAAAACAGACTGGCGCACGGTGGCTCACGCCTGTAATCCCAGCACTTTGGGAGGCCATGGTGGGTGGATCACCTGAGGTCAGGAGTTCGAGACCAGCCTGGCCAACATGGTGAGACCCCGTCTCTACCAAAACTGCAAAATAGGCTGGGCGTGGCGGCTACTTGGGAGACTGAGGTAGGAGAATCTCTTGAACTGGGGAGGTGGAGGTTGTGGTGAGCTGAGATGGCACCACTGCACTCCAGCCTGGGCAATAGAATGAGACTCCATCACACACACAAAAAAAATGTGGCTGGGTGCAGTGGCTCATGCCTGTAATCCCAGCACTTTGGGAGGCCGTGGCAGGTGGATCACGAGGTCAGGAGATCGAGACCATCTTGGCCAACATGGTGAAACCCCGTCTCTACTAAAAATACAAAATTATCTGCACCTGGTGGTGCTCGCCTGTAATCCCAGCTACTTGGGAGACTGAGGCAGGAAATCACCTGAACCCAGGAGGCGGAAGTTGGAGTGAGCCGAGTTTGTGCCACTGCACTTCAGCCTAAGCGACAGAGTGAGACTGTCTCGGGGAAAAAAAAAACAAATACATATGTATGTTGTGCTTAAAGATCTGTCCATGAGGAAGCTAAAGGAACATAATGACTGGCACCATGAGGGTAGAGGTCATATCTGGTGTGGCTGTGATGGCAGAGAAACCTGGGAAGACTCAATATTAACATGTTAATATTTTGATATTTTAATAAGCCATGTTATATTTACTTTTTTTTTGAGACGGGGTCTCACTCTGTCACCCAGGCTGGACTGCAGTGTCACGATCGTGGCTCACTGCAACTTCCACCTCCCGGGTACAAGCAGTTCTATCTCAGCCTCCCGAGTAGCTGGGATTACAGGCGCACGCCACCTTGCGCAGCTAATTTTTGTATTTTTAGTACAGACAGGGTTTTATCATGTTGGCCAGGCTAATCTCGAACTCCCGACCTCAGGTGATCCGCCCGTCTCTGCCTCCCAAAGTGCTTGGATTACAGGCGTGAGACACTGCGCCTGACCAATTTACTTGAATTTTTGTTTCTTTTAAGAGAGAGGATGTTGGCCTGGCTCACGCCTATAATCCAAGCACTTTGGGAGACCGAGACAGACGGATCACCCGAGATTGAGAGTTCGAGACCAGCCTGACCAACGTGGAGAAACCCTGTCTCTACTAAACAAACAAACAAACAAACAAAAATACATAAAACTAGCCGGGCGTGGTGGCGCATGCCTGTAATCCCAGCTACTCGGGAGGCTGAGGCAGGAGAATCGCTTGAACCTGGGAGATGGAGGTTGTGGTGAGCCAACATCGCACCATTGCACTCCAGGCTGGGCAACAAGAGCAAAACTCCCATCTCAAAAGAAAAAGGAGACAGATTTTACTCTGTCATCCAGGCCGAATATAGTTGACATAATCATAATGCAGCTTTGAATTCATGGGCTCAATTGATGCTCCTGCCTCGCTCCCCCAAAGTGCTGGAATTATAGGCTTGTGCCACCTCACTGAGCTAATTTTATTCTTTATATTATATGCATTTGTTAACCTGTTTCACAATAAATAATACTGTGGTAACATCCTGATGAATATATTTTATGTACATTCTAGTTTCACAGCAGTAAAGATTCCTAGTGGTATATTGCCAGGTCAAAGGGGTGTGTGCATTCTAATTTAATAGAGCCTGTGTACTTGCCCTCCAAAACATTCTAGTCTTTAACTCTAGCCATCCTTAAAATTGTTAAATTCTTGGACCTGCCACCAGATAGAAGACTTTTAATATATAATGGCATTAAAAATTAATAAATGGGATTAGTGGGAAGATTTTGTTTCAGACAATTTGATAATAAAGAGGGAATATTAACGATCAGGTAAAAGGAGAGCCAGGCTATTATATTATAAGGTTAAGGACTTAATAAAAAGTTTTAGGCCGGATGCAATAGCTCAGCTTTAATCCCAGCATTCTGGGAGGCTGAGGCATGGGGATTACTTGAGTTCAGGAGTTCGAGACCAAACTGGGCAACATAGTGAGACTTTGTCTCTACTAAAAAACAAAAAATGAGGCTGGAGGAGGTCAAGACTGCAATAAGCTGTGATCATACCACTATACTCCCACCTGGGCAACAGAGTAAGACCGTGCCTCAAAAAAAAAAAGCCAGGCGCCGTGCCTCACATCTGTAATCCCAGCGGTTTGGGAGGCTGAGGTGGACAAATCACTTGAGGCCAGGAGTTTGAAACCAGCCAGGCCAACATGGCAAAACCCTGTCTCTACTAAAAAAAAAAAAAAAAAAAAAAAAAAAAAAAAAAAAATTACCTGGGCATGGTGGCAAACACCTGAAGCCCCAGCTACTTGGAAGGCTGAGGCAGGAGAATTGCTTGAACCCAGGAGGTTGAGATTGCAATGAGCCGAGATAGCTCCACTGTTCTCCAGCCTGGGCGACAAAGATTCCATCTCAAAAAAAAAAGTTTAAAATATTAAAAGCTATTTAAAGTTACATTTTTACTTTTAATCCTGAAGATGAAGGATTACCCAAAGTCACGGTTTTCACATTTGAGGTATTTTTGGCTTTTTAAAAAATTATGATGATTTTTTAGACGGAGTTTTGCTCTTGTTGCCCAGACTGGACTGCAATGGTGCAATCTCGGCTCACTGCAACCTCCACCTCCCAGGTTCAAGCGATTCTCCTGCCTCGGCCCCCTGAGTAGCTGGGATTACAGGCGCCCAGCACCACACCCAGCTAATTTTTTGTATTTTTAGTAGAGGCAGGGTTTCACCGTGTTGGCCAGGCTGGTCTTGAACTGACCTCAGGTGATCCACCTTCCTCGGCCTCCCAAAGTGCTGGGATTACAGGCGTGAGGCACCATGCCCGGCCATTTTTGGCTTTTTAACTGGCAGTCATTCAGACTGTGTGAATTAGTTTGAGTATGCAGGTGTTGGAAAGCAAAGATAAAAGAGTTCATATTGTGTGCTCCGTTTTAAGTTGGTAGACCTCTTCTCTTTTGGAGATTCCCATTACCAATAGCACCAACTAAGTAGGTGGATTCAATATAGATGTCTGTAGGTCTTCACCAGTTCAGGAAGGAAGTTACCAGATGGTTTGAAAATAATGATGCATGCCGGGCGTGGTGGCTAACGCCTGTAATGCCAGCACTTTGAGAGGCCTAGCCGGGCGGATCACCAGTCAGGAGTTCGAGACTAGCCTGATTAACATGGTGAAACCCCATCTCTACTAAAAATACAAAAGTAGCCAGGCTTGGTGGCACATGCCTGTAATCCCAGTTACTTGGGAGGCTGAGGTAGGAGAATCACTTGAACCTGGGAGGTAAAGGTTGCAATGAGCTAAGATCACGCCACTGTACTCCAGCCTGGGCAACAAGAGCGAAACTCCATCTCAGAAAAAAAAAAAATTATGATGCAGCCTGGGTGCAGTGGCTTACACCTATAATCCCAGCACATTGGGAGGCTGAGGCAGGCAGATTGCGTGAGTCCAGGAGTTTGAGACCAGCCTGGGCAACATGGTGAAACCCCATCTCTACTAAAAATACAAAAACTAGCTGAACACGGTGGCACCTGCCTGTAGTCCCAGCTACTTGGGAGGCTGAGGTGGGAGGATCCGTTGAGCCTAGGAGGTTGAGGCTGCAGTGAGCCGAGATCATGCCACTGCACTCCAGCCTGGGCGACAGAATGAGACCCTGTCTCTAAAAAATAATAATGCTAATAATGTTGCTCTTTTGAGCACCTTCCCCTGCAACTTGTTAAAGAATTCTTACATACTCAGGTTTGCTGTCTAGCTATTATAAGTAATTGAAGCAGTGGTATTCTGGAAGAGAAGATTAGAAAAGATGTTAAGGAGAAGGGGAAAGCAGAAACTTAAGGGTAATTTGATAGGCTAAAGTAAATTTTACTTATAGATGTATTTTAAGAAAGTTGATTATAAAGGATTTTTATTTTATTTATTTATTTTTTGAGATGGAGTCTCACTCTGTCACCCAGGCTGGAGTACAGTGGCGCAATCTCGGCTCACTGCAACCTCCGCCTCTCGGGTTCAAGCATATCTCCTGCCTCAGTTGGGACTACAGGCACATGCCACCATGCGTGGCTAATTTTTTGTATTTTTAGTAGAGACGGTTCTACTGTGTTAGCCAAGATGGTCTCGATCTCCTGACCTCGTGATCTTTTCACCTCCAAATGCCAAAGTGGTGGGATTACAGGCATGAGCCACTGTGCCCGGCCCTGAATTGTTTTTGGGTTATATAGACAGTAGGCTGACATGTTTGAAGAGTTTTAACAAGTAAGTAAAACAGGCAAGAGAGAAAGAACTAATAATCTTTTGCAGATATCTGCTATGGGGGAAAAGGTATATAGTGTTCTATAAGTATTGGTACTTTGGTTTAATTTTACATGTTTTTTTTACAGCAATTGGTGCTGAAAATTCAGAAAAAATAGATGAGAATTCAGATAAAGAGATGGAAGTAGAAGAATCTCCAGAGAAAATAAAAGTACAGACAACACCAAAAGTAGAAGAAGAACAGGATTTGAAAGTATGTATATTACTTAATGCAACTTGACAAATTTTTATTATTATTATCATTATTTTGAGACGGAGTCTTGCTCTGTCACCCAGGCTGGAGTGCAGTGGCACGATCTCAGCTCACTGCAACCTCTGCCTGCCTCCTGGGTTCAAGCCATTCTCCTGCTTCAGCCTCCCCAGTAGCTGGGATTACAGGCACGCACCTCAACTCCCAGCTAATTTTTGTATTTTTAGTAGAAACGGGGTTTCACCATGTTGGCCAGGCCGGTCTCGAACTCCTGGCGTTCATGATTCCCCCACCTTGGCCTCCCAAAGTGCTGGGATTACAGGCGTCAGCCACTGCGCCCGGCCCGCCAAATTTTTTTTTTTTTTCTTTTTTTTTCCCAAGAGAGAGTGTTGCTCTGCCATCCAGGCTGGAGTGCCGTGGCCCGATCTTGGCTCACTGCAACCTCTGCCTCCCACGTTCAAGCACTTCTCCTGCCTCAGCCTCCCAAGTAGCTGAGATTACAGGCACCCACCACTACGCCTGGCAAGTGTTTTTTTTTTGTGAGTCGGAGTCTCGCTCTGTTTCCCAGGCTGGAGTGCAGTGGCATGATCTCGGCTCACTGCAAGCTCCGCCTCCTGGGTTCACACCATTCTCCTGCCTCAGCCTCCCGAGTAGCTGGGACTACAGGTGCCCGCCACCACGCCTGGCTAATTTTTTTATTTTTAGTAGAGATGGGGTTTCACCGTGTTAACCAGGATGGTCTCGATCTCCTGACCTCGTGATACACCTGCCTCGGCCTCCCAAAGTGCTGGGATTACAGGCATGAGCCACCGCACCGGGCCCCATTTTTTTTTAATGCCATTTATTAAACTGCTTTCTGTTAACAAGTAGTAAAAATAATCTTTACTGTTTCCAAACCTAAATTGTTTACTTGGTTAGGTGAAAAGATCATATTTAAGTCTGAAATAATTAAGGCTGACTTGATACTGAGAAATTATCTAAAATTCTAACTGCTCAATTGCTTTCTTCAAATTAAGCCTCTTGTTTGAGAAGCAGTAGCTTATAGGCTTCTCTAGTTTGGGAGAAAAGTCACAGATTTAATTCCTGTGTGAAATACTTGTCTTTACACAAAGGCAAATTTAGTTTGAATTGCATTTCTAACCTAATCTCATGGGAGAGTTAGACCAAATAAGTATTAGCTATTTAAGGGTGGTCTGTTGGAAAAACCACTTAACATATTCTTTTGACTTGAAAGAGTATCCAGTTACTAGTTAGGGAACAACCAAGTAGAAGGGACTGGAATAATTAATTTTGTTTCAGGCTTCAGCAGGTGGCTAATATAAGCAATTAATGGATAAATGGCAATTTGACAATATTGGTATTTATATCATTCAGGATCTATTTTTTCCAGCTTTGTTGAGCTGTAGTTGACTATACATATATCTTGCATGTACTATGTCATAATTTGTTATATGTATATATTATGATATGATTATCACAAACCAGGTAAAGTAACTTACATATCACGTTACCTTGGAGAGTTGTCTTGTGTTTGTATGTGGGGATGATACATCAGATCTATACTCTTAACAAATTTCAGGTATTGTTAACTGTAGTCACCATGCTGTGCTTTAGATTTCCTTTTTTTTTGGGGGGGGGGGTGTTGGGGTGATGGAGTCTTGCTCTGTCACCAGGCTGGATTGCAGTGGCACAATCTTGGCTCACTGCAACCTCCACCTCCCAGGTTCAAGCAATTCTTCTGCCTCAGCCTCCCGAGTAGCTGGGACTACAGGTGTGCACCACCATCCTCACCTAATTTTTGTATTTTTAGTAGAGGTGGGGTTTCACGATGTTGGCGAGGATGGTCTCTATCTATTGACCTTGTGATCCACCTGCCTCAGCCTCCCAAAGTGCTGGGATTACAGGTGTGAGCCACCACACCCAGCCCCAAAATTTATTTTATAACTGAAAGTTTGTATTCTTTGACCAACATCTCCCCATATTCCCCTGTCTCCAGCCCCTAGCAACCACCATTCTAATTCTACTCTTTGAGTTTAGCTTTTCAATATTGGGATCCATTTGCAACTATTGAATTCCATGTTGTATTAGAATGCATTATGATGGGCTGGGCACAGTGGCTCACATCTGTAATCTCAGCACTTTGGGAGACTAAGGCAGGAGGCTGACTTGAGACCAGGAGTTCAGGAGCATCCTGGGCAATAGCAAGACCTTTGTCTGAAACAAAATAATTGTTTTGAATAATTTTTAAAATGCATTGTGATTATGTAGATATGCATTTGATTCCTGTCATTATTTGTCACTTTGTTATGTGTATTATGTTACTATAAATTAGAATTTTATATTCTGGATAACTAAATACAGCTGTTTGGGGAAGGCTGTTTATAGGCAGACCCATATTTCTAATATCTATAAGAATAAATGAAGGATTGTACATAATACAGAAAATGTTACGGATTCTAGTTTTACTTTTTTTCTTTTTTGCATTGTAGTTTCAGATTGGAGAACTGGCAAATACCCTGACAAGTAAATTCGAGTTTCTAGGCATTAATAGACAATCCATCTCCAACTTTCATGTGCTGCTCTTACAGACTGAGGTAAGTCTTTTTTTTTTTTTTTTTGGCATAAACAGTTAAGTGTTTGAATGAAATGCTGTATGTGTTAACGATTCTGTCTTGCTTACATTTTAAGCCTAAATTTAAATTTTTAACCTTGAAGAATATTTGAGCCGACAATCCAGGAAATAAAACTGTGTTAACCAAAGCACAGTAAATAGACTTTTTTCTCACAAATTAAAATTATATTATCATGGTCAGATGAGGCCATGTAATGTTGAAGGTACTTTGTAAGTGTTAAAGCATTATAAGTCTGTTTAAAGAGAAAAGTTGAGTCCTATTTGTAACCTGCATACTTTACAAAATGGCAGGGCAGGATTAGGTAAGGAGCTCCTGTAGGAAGCTGACTGATTTTCTTAAGAACTGAACCCTTGGCCAGGCACGGTGGCTCACACCTGTAATCCCAGCACTTTGGGAGGCCGGGGCAGGTAGATCACCAAGGTCAGGAGTTCGAGACCAGCCTGACCAACATGGTGAAACTCCATCTCTACTAAAAATACAAAATTAGCCGGGCGTGGTGGCACATGCCTGTAATCCCAGCTACTCGGGAAGCTGAGGCAGGAGAATCGCTTGAACCCAGGAGGTGAAGGTTGCGAGCAGAGATTGCTCCACTGTACTCTAGCCTGGGCAACAGAGCCAGAGTCCGAGTCCGTCTCTAAAAAAAAAAAAGAACTGAATCCTTAACTGTGATTACTAACAGTACTGGAATAAGTGAACTATCTCCCAAAAAAAGTAAAACTACTGGGGAAACCAATCTTAATAAGTCCAAAAGGGAAGACAAAACTACTACTACTCATTTTCACACATATTGGAGAGTTGGTAGTGTTAAAATATACTGGAGCCCAATTTCATTTTTCAGAACTCTGCTGCGTACTTGGGATGTTTTTTGAGACGGAGTTTCACTCTTGTCGCCCAGGCTGGAGTGCAATGGCATGATCTCGGCTCACCACAACCTCCGCCTCCCGGGTTCAGTTGATTCTCCTGCCTCAGCCTCTCGAGTAGCTGGGATTACAGGCGCCTGCCACCAAGCCCAGCTAATTTTTGTATTTTTAGTACAGACAGGGTCTCACCTTGTTGGCCAGGCTGGTCTTGAACTCCTGACCTCAGGTGATCCACCCGCCTCAGCCTCCCAAAGTGCTGGGATTACAGGCGTGAGCCACCATGCCCGGCCTTAAGATTATTTTATGAGATGAAGATGGGGTTTATTTTCCTCTCTGGTCTACTGTCCTGCCAGAGCACAGGGATATAGTCTTGGAGCAGAAGGTTTATATCCCCTTTGCCTGTGTCTCCTGACATGTAATAATAAGTCTTTAACTTATTTGTCTGTTTATTCTAGACTCGAATTGCAGACTGGCGGGAAGGGGCTCTTAATGGAAACTACCTTAAACGAAAACTTCAGGATGCAGCAGAACAACTAAAACAGTATGAAATAAACGCCACTCCTAAAGGCTGGTCCTGCCACTGGGACAGGTACGCACTCTTCTCCCCTTTTCACCTTTCACCTTTGACATCTCAGACATGATTTGTGATCACCACCATCTGACGACATGACAGCCTGTCTGGAGACTGAGAGCAGCTGCAGTTAGCGGTGCTGGGCAGGCAAAGCACCGCAAGCACAAAGTTTGGCCAGCCACACATTGGAGAAACAAAAGCAATGTTTAAAGTGTTCCATGTAACGGATTTTTTCCCAAGATATGGACAAAGCTGGTTTTTACTCTCCAGAGTGTTGCACGGAGTAGGGCGGGCTTGGGGGTTAAGCGCATGCGAGAGCTCTGTGCGCTTTACAGGACCTCTGGAAGCAACTACTCCTGATTAACCTCGGTGAAGTTAAGGAAAACTTCGTGGCTGAAGATGTGAATGAAGAACAAGATTACTATCCTCTGCCAGCAGGTCAGATGAAAACATTTCTTTATATATTTGGCTTTTCTTGATTTTTTTTTCGTTATTTGAAATCTTTGCTCTTTTATTTTTCAGCTCCCAGATCCTCTCCCTCTCTTTAGCTTTCACTGTGTTTGATATCAAGAATATGAAATGTGAATTCCACGGTCCAAGAGGGGAAGAGTCACCTTTCACAAACTTCGTTGTTCTCTTCTTTGGAAGGGAAATTAGTGTTCTAGGCGATTGAGTCCCTTCATTAATGAAACTTGAAACCCTGTTATGCATTGGCAAATCACAAAAAAAGAGAAAAGTGTTTTCTAAGTCTCATCTGTTGGAGTGAGAGGGTTCAGGGCTGTATTCACAGAGTTGCTGGCAGTGCAAATAGCTTTGAATTATCCTTGGTTCTCCATTCTCAATTGTCAAAGCTCTTTGTTGCCTTTGTGAATAGCAGTCCATTAAGAGGTTCGTCCCTGTGAAAGCAGACTGCTGTCCTGGGACAGGACCAAATGGAAGTGTCTTTGTAGGAGAACGGGTTTTAAAACATGTGTTTTCTTTCTTGTAATTTAGGGATCATAGACGGTATTTCTATGTAAACGAACAGTCGGGCGAGTCTCAGTGGGAGTTTCCAGATGGTGAAGAGGAAGAAGAAGAAAGCCAAGCACAAGAAAATAGAGATGAGACTCTTGCCAAACAGACCTTGAAAGACAAAACTGGCACTGATTCAAATTCAACAGAATCCTCTGAAACTTCCACAGGTGAGACAATTTACCTTGTACTAATTCAGCCAAAATGACTTTAGAGGAAAAATCTTATTAATTTACATTATTAAAAGATTTTATGTCATAATAATATAAGCTTCTGATTGAGAATAGTGGTGTGAACTAAAACAAGGAATGCATGAGTTATTATGGTTGGAAATCAGCATACTATTGTTATCACGTGTAAAACTGTGCCCCAAAGTGAAAAGATAGGCTAACAGATTTTGATTTTAAAAAATTGTTTTATAACCATTCTATCATGCCACTGACTAAGCTGTGGGTCTCCAAAAATAGGAATGCTTGTGCTGAGGAACTAGATAGTTGAACTGTCAATATATGTGGCATGCTGAGATTTGTTATACATTTCTATACAACACTTAGTCTGTTCATATTGCAACCTCATTTCTCACCTCCACTAATCTTACAAAAAGCGTGGTTGGTACAAATCAAAATGATATGAAGAAATGCCATTAGTACTTGTTTCAGAGAAGCAAAATAATTGATCATGAAAAATCACCAGCAATCTTCTGGTCTAAAACAATTGGCAATAGGATGTCTCATTCCATTTTTAAGGTACTCTTGGAAGAATTTAGTTTAGTTACATACATTTTTTAAAAGATAGGCTTTCATGCTCCTCAGTTCCTTTAGTTTTTAAAAAGTTTCCAATGTGTAAAGAAACTTCCACCTGTTAATCTTAAGAATTGGTAGCTATTTGTTAAACTGATGGCATATGAAGGCAAGAGTCTATGAGTCGTTTCTAAAGTAATAGATCTTTGAAAATTTTAAAAAGTGAAATTTGTCAATAACAGAGTTAAGAGCTGAATTCTTTTGTCTAAAACTTATCGAAATTGATGCTTGTACTCTACTGGCTCCCTGATGATAGTAGAAAAGCACTAGTAATGTACCAAATGAAACTGGTTGTGTACCAGATGATTTTGTTAACTTCTTAAATAGCCTAGAAATCGTCAGCAGGTCACATACAACTGCAGTGATAATTTCAGAACATAGCAAAAGGCTGATTTTATTCTACTTCACATTTTAGAAGTGCATTTTCTCAAGTTACAGGGCATTTCACTTCCCTTTTACATGAAGAGATTTTCTTTTGAATATTTTTCCTCTCTTTTGGTAGCAGTGATAGACATGACTAATAATATATTGGTTCTTTTTGTTTGCTTTTTAGCAGTTAATGAACTGAAGAGGCTTGATCGTAGTTCTGGATAGGTGGCTCCACTCCTGACCACTGTCAACATCCCTTATATGTTCCAAAGTTGAAAATTCCACTGTTACCAATTCTGAATGTTCTGTGAACACTTTAGATGAGTATTAAGCTGTTTTCTCCCTTTATGACACACATAGTTGATACTGTCTGGTAAAAGGAGGCTCTTGAGCCATTCCTATTTAATTAAAACAGAACTAGTTGTAGTGTAGGAAAAAGCCACTGATAAAACAGGTTATATTCTTAAGCCTCTCTTTATTGAGAACCCCTAGAATTGCAGGATAAACTTGATCGAAGTAAAATCCAAATCTTAAACTAAGTTCTGTGAGATTTAAGAGCAATAATCAACAGTTCTAAGCCTAATAAAGAGAGCTCTTAATCAGCTCAGTGGTGGTTAAAACCAGCTATCTTTTAAAGAAGAGAAAAAACAAAACACAGCAATGCCCTGTCTCTTCAGAAAATTGTTTTAAAAAGTTAGCCAGGCATAGTTAGTGGCCCACGCCTGTAGTCCGAGCTGTTTGGGAGGTTGAGGTGGGAAGATTGGTTGAGCCCAAGATTTTGAGGCTGCAGTAAGCCATAATTGTACCACTGCACTCCAGCCTGAGCGACAGAGAACAAGACCCTGTCTCAAAAATAAAGTGGGGGAAGGGGTGCAAAATTACACTGTGAGAAGCCAAGAAGTTTCAAAGTTCTATTTATTTTTCTAAGTCATTTTTAATCATTATTTGTTGTTTCAGTGTTTGAATTTAACATTATGTTTTTAAAGATGGAGTGGATTCTAAAGATGAGTTGGGTTCAAGATATCCAACATATCTTTTATATTGGGCTTATGTCACTTAGGTGAAGTTGAGCTCCTTTTTCTTTTTAATCTCCATGGAACAATTTGTATAATTTCTTGATTTAAATTGCTAAACTGAGCTCTTCATTCAAAATACTAAACAATAATTTCTCTTTGGGGGGAAAATTAAGGAAGGCTTTCTATACATAGAAATAAAGATGCCTAGGCCGGGTGCAGTGGCTCATGCCTGTAATCCCAATACTTTGGGGGGCTGAGGCGGGTGGATCACCTGAGGTCAAGAGTTCAAGACCAGCCTGGGCAACATGGTGAAACCCTGCCTCTACTAAAAGTACAAAAATTAGCTGGGCGTGGTGGCAGCTGCCTGTAATCCCAGCTACTCGGAGGCTGAGGCACGAGAATCACTTGAACCTGGGAGGCGAAGGTTGCAGTGAACCAAGATCATGCCATTGCACTCCAGCCTGGGCGACAGAGCAAAACTCTTTATCTAAAAAAAAAAAAAAAAAAAAAGACGCCTACAGAAGCAAGGTTCTTAGGTGCAGTGACTCATGCCTGTAATTCCAGCACTTTGGGAGTTTGAGGCAAGAGGATCACTTGAGCTCAGGAATTCAAAACCAGCCTGGGCAATATGGCAAGACCCCATCTTTGCAGAATATTAGCCTAGCTTGGTAGCACGAGTATGTGGTCCTAGCTACTTGGAAGGCTGAGGTGGGAAGGATCACTTGAGCCTGGTAGGTTGAAGCTGCAGTGAGCTATATTCACACCATTGCACTCTAGCTTGAACAACAAAGTGAGATCCTGTCTCAAAAAGAAAAAGGAAAAATTACAGCTCACGGCTGTAATCCCAGCACTTTGGGAGGCCAAGGCGCGCAGATCACTTGAGGTCAGGAGTTTGAGACCAGCCAACATGGTATCACCCTGTCTCTACTAAAAATACAAAAATTAGCCAGGTGTCGTGGCGGGTGCCTGTAATCCCAGCTACTCGGGAGGCTGAGGCAGGAGAATCGCTTGAACCCAGGAGGCAGAGATTACAGTGAACCAAGATGACACCTCTGCACTCCAGCCTGGGCAACAGGCTTAAAGACTCCGTCTTAAAAAAAAATTAAGAATTTGTATTCTCATAACATATTCAGTTTTAAGCTTGTAGCTTTTAAATCTTTGAGCACGTAATAAAAGCTGCGTAGGCCAAGTGTGGTGGCTCATGCTTGTAATCCCAGCACTTTGGGAGGCTGAGGCAGGAGGATCACCTGAGGTCGGGAGTTCAAGAGCAGCTTACCCAATATGTAGAAACCCCGCCTCTACTAAAAATACAAAATTAGCCAGGCGTGGTCGCATGCCTGTAATCCTAGCTACTCGGGAGGCTGAGGCAGGAGAATCATTGAACCCAGGAGGCGGAGGTTGTGGTGGGCCAATATCACACCATTGCACTCCAACCTGGGCAACAAGAGCAAGAGTCCATCTAAAAAAAGAGCTGTATATACCACTTTAATCTGTCCTTGGGCTTCAGACTTAAATATTCTCTTAAACAGCAAAAATACTAACTAAGTTAAATTTAAAAGCAAGGAGAAGCATCATTGTAATACGACATCCATGTGTATTCAAACTAGAATTTTCTGATGGTCTTCGTAAGATAAAGGAGATAATTGTCATTTCTATGACACAGCTTTTATAATTTGAATAAACTTAGTTGGAGATTGGAGTATTTTTATTATTTATTTTCATGTGAGATGGGTAATGTGCTGACCTCATAACAAAGTTTGAGGGAGACACATTGTATGTGAGAATTTGAAGTGCTTATGAAGTACAAAAGCAGAGGCCAGGTGCTCACATCTGTAATCCCAGCACTTTGGGAGGCCAAGGCACACAGATCACTTGAGGTCAGGAGTTTGAGACCAGCCTGGCCAACATGGCGAAAACCCCTCTCTTACTAAAAATACAAAAATTAGCTGGATGTGGTGGTGTGGGCCTGTAATCCCAGCTACTCGCGAGGCTGAGGCAGGAGAATCGCTTGAACCTGGCAGGCAGAGGTTGCGGTGAGCCAAGATTGCGTCACTGCACTCCGGCGTGGACAAGAGAGTGAGACTCCGTCACAAAAAAAAAAAAAAAAGAAGAAAAGTATTGGATTCACATATTCTAAAAATGCTCGTCATTTGTGGCTAATTTTATCAAGTCTAGTTTAATCTCATATTTACAGAGTTTAGTTAATTCTAATTAGCTTTGTTGGAGGTCATAAACCACATTATTAACCTTGAACCGACTCTGTGTTTACTTGAGTTCCTCTGCATAATAGCATGTCACCACCATCATAAACATGTTGGTATTGCATTATGCTTCTAGAGGAGACATCCACCAATATTTGAAAATCTGGCTGGTCCGAGTGCAGTGGTGTTTACAACTAATTAATCACAACCAGTTACAGACTTTGTTTCTTCTCCAGTCCTGCTGCTTCACTTGACTAGCCTTTTAAAAAAAAGAAAGAAAATAGAGAAAATCTTAACTTATATTTACTTACTGTATGTTGTGATTAGTTTAATAGAAGGGAGTTTAATCCTTAATAATTAAGTTAGTCCTCAACGTTTATTGACTTAGTTCTGATGTAGTCCTTGTGTACTATTGTATAATGTAGACTACTTGGCCATACTTGATTTTGTCTAAAAGTTAATGCATAAATTAATATTAAATATGGCCAAATATAAAAGTTTAATGAGTCATTTGAGGTCATTTAGCCAGAAAACTGCATTTATGTTCCTGGTGAATTTTTTTCAATGTCCTTTTCCAAAAGTGGCAGTAAGCAGCTGTCTTAAAATAAGGAGACAGTGGGAATGATGTTGTTAAAGTCTTTTATACAATGTATTGTCTGTCTGTTCCATAAAAAGTAAAACTACTCTATTCGTGACCAGCTTGGGCAACATAGTGAGACTGTCTCTTTAAAAAAAAAAAAAAAAAAAAAATTAAAAATTAGCAGGTGTGGTGATGCACACCTGTAGTCCTAGCAATTCGGGAAGCTGAGGTAGGAAGATCGCTTGAGCCAAGTGTTTGAGGTTAGAATGAGCTATGATCGCACCACCTACACTCCAGCCTGGGCAACAGAGCAAGACCCAAATGGCTCATGGTTGCTTTGTTTGTTTTACCTTGTTGAGTGCCAGTGTGTATTTTGAGCAAAGCAGTGTAAATGGCCTTCTTGCCCTAGAGTCTTTCATAATTGAGCCTTATTTAATCTACCACTTTTGACCATGAAATTTAACAGGTGACTTCTTCTGGGTATCTACTCCAGGTGAAGTGATATTTTTTTTGACTGAGATGTCTAAAGCTCTTGGATTCCTGGTATCTCACCAGGACATCTTAGTAAAACAGCAAGTATCAGATGAGGAATCAGACTTGAGTTCTAGCTCTGGTCTGGCCACTAACATTGATATGATCTTGGGCAAGTTAGTTCCTGCCTGGGTTTCATTACCTTTAACTGAGGAGGTTGAAATAGATGATTTCTCATGTCTCTTCTACTCCTAAATTCTATGATTTTAGGGAGAAAATCCCCTTCAACATTCCTGGGATATATATCTAATAGTCCCATATATTGTGAAACTTCCCTATTGACGATAAAGAGGGCTGGGGAAGGCTACAAGTAAGTATATCCTATTTTCTCTAATCTTTAAAGGTTTTCCCAGCAGAGAAAAGACAGTAATCAATGATGGCTTTTACAAAGTTTGAGGAAAGCTGATCCTGCAACTTTTCAGCTGCAATTTCGTAATGTAGACTTCAGCAACAGCAATTTCAAAACCACTGCAGTTTTAAAAAATCTGAGTTATATACTTTGAAGATTTATCTTCCTAAATTTCTCTTTTATCGCAAAAGTAAAAATTGCCATCCCTAACTTGTGTCTCTGTGATATCACAAATGAATGTAATGTATGCAAGGGTGTGAAGGAATGATATAGTTGACAGTAGCACCTTGCAAATGGATTTTTTAAATTTAGTAACCCAAATTAAACACAATGGGTAGAACTTTCCCGAGTATTTTGAATGAATATTCTGGGTTGTCTTTACTCACTTTGTCTAGCTCACTAAAAAATAAAGTATGTGTAATAATTACTGCAGGTGCACATTATTCACTCACTCCTTCACTTTTGAAATAGACTCCAGACTATTACCTTTTATTTGTGTATGTTGAAGCTTGTGAGTGTTTGAAATCAAAAACTTCAAACTACAGATTCAGATGACTGCATTTCTCGTTGAGTTGATGTAATATTCTTCTACTCATCCATAAATATGGACCCGAAGGACAAGTATAATACAGATGGGGAAGGTGCTATGAAGTTCATAAATTTATCTTTCCGTGGAAGTCATTTCTGAACTGAGTTGTTCAATATTTTAGCGATATCAGTATAGAATAGATGCCTGTGGGCCAAATTTTTTTCAAGGAAGGAGCCATTCCCTGCTGTTTGACACCACATTCTGTATTGTTTTGTACACTGTGCTAGGTTCCTATAAATGATTATCTTACTGACCAGTTGAACATTTCTATGAATATAAGCCAGGGAGTTTTTTTCTTGCTTTTTCCCTGACTCTTACCTGTTTTCATAGGTTCTCTTTGTAAAGAATCCTTTTCTGGTCAAGTTTCTTCTTCATCACTCATGCCACTTACTCCATTCTGGACCCTCCTTCAGTCAAATGTTCCTGTGCTTCAACCTCCATTACCCTTGGAAATGCCACCACCCCCACCTCCACCTCCAGAATCACCTCCACCCCCTCCTCCACCACCTCCTCCTGCGGAAGATGGTGAGATCCAGGAGGTAGAGATGGAGGATGAGGGAAGTGAGGAGCCCCCTGCCCCAGGAACAGAGGAAGATACCCCTTTGAAACCTTCAGCACAAACCACAGTTGTAACTAGCCAGGTAAGTAATTCCCTTTGGCATTCTGAGTGATTTTGAGGACTGGAACATGATTGACACCATGTTTTATTTTAGAAGCATATGTTTAAAGGCCGGGCACGGTGGCTCACGCCTATATCCTAGACCTTTGGGAGGTCGAAGCAGGAGGATTGCTTAAGCCCAGGAGGCTGCAATGAGTCATGATCTCACCACTGCAGCTTGTGCAACAGAATGAGAGCCTGTCTCAAAAAAAGGAGGTGGGAGCGGGCTATGTTTAACCATGGCCTTCAGCCACTGATAACAAATGTTTGTGTTTCAGAGTTCAGTTGATTCCACCATCTCTAGTTCTTCTTCCACTAAAGGAATAAAGAGGAAAGCTACAGAAATTAGCACTGCAGTGGTTCAGAGGTCAGCTACCATTGGCAGTTCTCCAGTTCTCTATAGCCAGTCAGCTATAGCTACAGGTAATTGTGCATAGAGCGTGGTTTTTCCTCAATGTATTGTTTCTTTTCTTTTCAGCATTAGATGCCATAAAAACTAAAGAAATGTTAAAGGCTCTTGATTGCAAAGACTGTCAGTATGCATTTATTTTACTTAAAAAAAAAAAAAAAACTTTTGACAGTTTAGCTGACCGTGCACAGTGGCTCACACCTATAATCCCAGCACTTCGGGAGGCTGAGGCAAGCGGATTGCTTGAGCTCAGGAGTTGGAGACCAGCCTGGGCAACACGGCAAAAGCCTGTCTACAAAAAAGACCAAAAATAGCCAGGCATGGTAGTCTGCACCTGTAGTCCCGGCTACTCAGGAGACTGAGGTGGGAGGATCACTTGAGCCCTGGAGGTTGAGGCTGCAGTGAGCTGTGATCACACTGCTATACTTCATCCAGTCTGGGCGACAGAGCAAAACTCTGTCTCAAAAACACAAAAAACGTTCAGCACATATGCTTCCAGATTGTCTTGTATATTTATGTACATTGATGATTTCGATGTTTAGGTAGTTTAATGCCAAGGTATTCAAAATTAATATATTTTGCTACCAGCAAATATGGCTATGCTTTTTAGAAAAGGATATATTGGAATCATTTTCTATGTGATCTAATCCCCACTTCTCTTTTCATTGCATCTGTTCTTGTCATGATGTCCTTTTTATAGTATCATTTTATGTTTTCTGTGTTAGGTCACCAGGCAGCAGGGATTGGAAACCAGGCAACAGGAATTGGACATCAGACAATACCAGTTAGCCTTCCAGCAGCAGGAATGGGTCATCAGGCCAGAGGAATGAGCCTGCAGTCAAATTACCTTGGACTAGCGGCAGCACCTGCAATTATGAGTTATGCAGAATGTTCTGTCCCAATTGGAGTGACTGCTCCCTCATTGCAGCCAGTTCAGGCCCGAGGTGCTGTGCCTACCGCTACCATTATAGAACCACCACCACCACCTCCTCCTCCTCCTCCTCCACCACCACCAGCTCCCAAAATGCCACCACCTGAAAAGACAAAAAAAGGAAGGAAAGACAAGGTATAATAAATTTCCCTTTTTAAAAATTTATTTTTAAAAATTTTATTGAGGTTATATTCACATAACATGAAATTATCCATTTTCAGGCTGGGCACTGTGGCTTAAGCCTGTAATCCCAGCACTTTGGGAGGCCGAGGCGGGCAGATCACCTGAGGTCAGGAGTTCGAGACCAGCCTGCCCAACATGGTGAAACCCTGTCTCTACTAAAAATACAAAAATTAGCTGGGCCTGGTGGCACGCACCTGTAATCCCTGCTACTTGGGAGGCTGAGGCAGGAGAATCGCTTGAACCCAGGAGGCAGAGGTTGCAGTGAGCCAGGATCACAGCACTGCACTCCAGCCTGGGTGACAGAGCAAGACTCCATCTCAAAAAAAGAAAAAAGAAATTGAAATGTCCAGCTTACTTTCTCAGTGGGGGGACCTTATTTAAGAAATCTGTTTGTCTCAAGTGCTGGGAGGAGAATCAGCTTGGGCCCCCATACCTAGTCCTCACATGAGTACAGCACTCAGTCATGTCAACTCCTACTTGTTGAGCCAGCATCACCCAGACGGGTCTTCAAACATACAACTGCTTCTCTTAAAAAGCATAGGGATAAGCTATTAAAGAGGCTGAGGCGGGAGAGTCGCTTGAACCTGGGAGGCTGAGGTTGCAGTGAGCTGAGATCGCACCACTGCATTCCAGCCTGGGTGACAAAAGTGAAACTTTGTCTTAAAAAAAAAAAAGAAAAACGGGGATAAAAATTGGTCTTATCAATATCTAATATATTTGTCAGATACTCTCCCTAGGGGCTTAGGATTTAGCAGTACATCAAACAGACAAAAAAAAAAAAAACCCTCTGCTTTTGTAGAACCTTTCTTCTGGCAGGGGGTGGCTTGGGAGTAGATAAGGGAAAAATAAATCTATGAGAAATATTTTTTTTTCCTTTTTTTTTTTTTTTTTTTTTTTTTTTTTTTTTTTTTTTTTTTTTTGAGTCAGAGACATCCGCCACCACCCCCAGCTAATATGGCAGTTTGCTTTGTTGGTCTTTCCAGCTTTATTTTTTAGCTTTTTTTTTTTTTTTAATCATTTGATAGGAATGCTGCATCTATTTAAAATTTGAAAATGGGAACGCTGTAATTCTGAGGAGACGAGATAAAGGCAATATTTTGAATTGCATAGGGTAGGGAGGTTAAAGGAAATTTATATGACCTGATTTTATAAAATACCACATTTACAAATACCACCTTTTGAAACGGAGTCTCAAGAAAAGGGGCAAAAAATCTGTATGTTTATTATAGACGATTTAGACAATGAAGGTAAGCGAAAAGAAAAAATATTATATCATTATACCTTCTCTTAGAACTAACTGTATCATTGATTTTTTTTGGCAGGGGGAGGGGAGACAGAGTCTCTGTCACCCAGGCTGGTGTGCAGTGGCATGCTCTCAGCTCACTGCAACCTCTGCCTCCCAGTTCAAGCACTTCTCATGCCTCAGTCTCCTGAGTAGCTGGGGCGACAGGCATGTGCACCACCATGCCAGGCTAATTTTTGTATTTTTTATATTTTTAGTAGAGGTGGGTTTTTGTCATGTTGGCCAGGCTGGTCTCAAACTCCTGGCCTCAAGTGATCCACCCACCTTGGCCTCCCAAAGTGCTGAGATTACAGGTGTGACCCACCATGCCTCGCCCCATTGATGTTTTATTTTATTTATTTATTTATTTTTATTTATTTATTTATTTATTTTTGAGATGGAGTCTTGCTCTGTCGCCCAGGCTGAAGTGCAGAGTAGCTGGGACTACAGGCGCCCACCACCACGCCAGGCTTATGTTTTGTATTTTTAGTAGAGACGGGGTTTCACCGTGTTAGCTAGGATGGTCTCGATCACCTGACCTCGTGATCCTCCCGCCTCGGCCTCCCAAAGTGATTACAGGCATGAGCCATCGTGCCCAGCCGATATTTTTAAAAATCTGTTTGCTTTTTTTCATATTTAATTATGGCTATTTATTTATTTGAGACAGAGTCTCACTGTGTTGCCCAGGCTGCAGTGCAATGGTGCAATCTTGGCTCACTGCAAACTCTGACTCCCGGGTTGAAGCGATTCTCCTGCCTCAGCCTCCCAAGCAGCTGGGACTACAGTCGCCCACCGCCGCCGCCACCGCCCCCGGCTAATATGGCAGTTTGCTTTGTTGCTCTTTCCAGCTTTATTTTTTAGCTTTTTTTTTTTTTTTTTAAATCACTTGGGAGGAACACTGCATCTATTTAAAATTTGAAAACGGGAACACTGTAATTCTGAGACGCGATAAAGGCAATATTTTGAATTACATAGGATAGGGAGGTTAAAGGAAGTTTATATGACATAATTTTATAAAATACCGCATTTACAAAGCTTTATAGATTTTATTTATTTATTTATTTATTTATTTATTTTTTTGAGACGGAGTCTCCCTCTGTAGCCCAGGCTGGAGTGCAGTGGTGATCTCGGCTCACTGCAAGATCCGCCTCCCAGGTTCATGCCATTCTCCTATCTCAACCTTCCGAGTAGCTGAGACTACAGGCGCCCGCCACCACGTCTGGCTAATTTTTTGTATTTTTAGTAGAGACAGGGTTTCACCATGTTAGCCAGGATGGTCTCGATCTCCTGACCTTGTGATCCGCCCGCCTCAGCCTCCCAAAGTGCTGGGATTACAGGCTTGAGCCACCGCGCCTGGCCTGCTTTATAGATTTTTAACCAAGCCTTTTTGTTTATAATTGGTAAGAAATTTATGGCAAGAACTTAGAATGGTATTTACTTTCTTTTTTAAAGTGTGCATATTCTTTAGAACTGGGAAAAGGATCCTGACCTCCATTGTAGAGGACGCTTATCCTTATTTTATGTTTTCTATTCCTTTTGACCTTTAACCTTTGTTACAGGCAAAGAAGAGTAAGACCAAAATGCCATCTTTGGTAAAAAAGTGGCAGAGTATCCAGCGTGAGTTAGATGAAGAGGACAATTCTAGTTCCAGTGAAGAGGATCGGGAATCAACTGCACAGAAGCGAATTGAAGAGTGGAAACAGCAGCAGCTGGTTAGGTAAAAGAAAAGGAAACACAGATGAGATGGGGTTTTGGAGTAGGTTGAGACCTACTATGAGATGGAGTAGGTTGTGGTTGTTATAGATGCATTAGAATAGACATATTCTTAAAATCACAGCTTGTAAATTTATCTAAAGGTTTCTAATTTATAAACATGTTTAATTCCTTATAGAAATTATGGGCTAGCCTTTTTTCAAAATCAGAAACAACAGAGTTGTAATACTTTGTCCAGTTGATTGTTGGTCTTAGGCAAAGGCCTGTCTTAACTCTCAGTACATCATTTACTATCTAGATCCAGTGGACCCTTTTATACACACACACACACACACACACACACACACACACACACATACACACATAACATATTAACTTATTTTACAAATAATTTATAGAATTAGACCCTTTTATACACACACACATTATTGTACAAATGATTTACAGAATTAGAATAAAGTTTTTCCCCTGTCCCTATATTTCAGTCAAGCAGGGTAGAATACAGAGCTGCCTTCTCAATTGCACTTATTCTAGAACAGAAGTTAATGAGAGAGCACACCACACTAGGAACTAAATGAACCTCTTCTAGGTAAGAAAATCCTTCACTACCTTGCTTGACTAGAATAAAAGGATAGGGAGAACTGGCTTCAAGTAATTGCACCTCAGCCTCCCAGAGTGTTGGGAATACAAGTGTGAGCCACCACACTCAGGTCAGAAATATTTTTTATGATGAAAGCACATGTTGGGCTGGGCACGGTGGCTCACGCCTGTAATCCCAGCACTTTGGGAGGCCAAGGCGGGTGGATCACGAGGTCAGGAATTCGAGACCAGCCTGGCCAACATGGTGAAACCCCATCTCTACTAAAAATACAAAATTAGCTGGGCCTGGTGGCGAATGCCTGTAATCGCTGAGGCAGAAGAATTGTTTGAACCCGCGAGGCGGAGGTTGCAGTGAGCCAAGACCGTGCTATTGCACTCCAGCCTGGACGACAGAGCAAGACTCCATCTCAAAAAAAAAAAAAAAAAACATGTTGGGTGGGCACTGTGGCTCACACCTGTAGTCCTAGATGCTTGGGAGGCTGAGGCAAGAAGATGGCTTTCTCAAAAATTCTAGAAATTTTAAAGACTTTAGACACAGCAAGTACAATTTTTTATTTCATATTTTCCTTGTTTTGAAGGTATACATTCTGAAATGGGCAGCATTCTTTGACTGCAACTCACTGTTCATCAATTGTCAGTGTATAACCTAGAATATAGCTGTCTATTACTGATGCCAGATTTCAAATTAATCTCTGATAGGTTCTAGCTTAGTTTTTATTAAAGGTTCTAATGCATCCATTCTGTTAATTGCAAGATAGAATTTGAATTTTAATCCTTACAAATAAAACTACTTGAAAGAGAAACTCAAAAACATTAGATCCGGCCGGGCACAGGGGCTCACATCTGTAATCCCAGCACTTTGGGAAGCCGAGGTGGGTGGATCACGAGGTCAGGAGTTCGAGACCAGCCTGGCCAACATAGTGAAAACCTGTCTTTACTAAAAATATAAAAATTAGCTGGACATGGTGGCAGGCGCCTGTAGTCCAAGCCACTTGGGAGGCTGAGGCAGGAGAATCGCTTGGACCTAGGAGGCAGAGGTTGCAGTGAGCCGAGATTGTGCCACTGCACTCCAGTCTGGGCAACAGAGCAAGACTCCATCTCAAAAACAGAAAAAAAAACATTAGATCCCAGGGTCCCTGTTGGTAGACTGAGGATTAGATATATCTGCCCTGAAGAATCATAACTCCTGTGGGCTAAGAAAAACTCTAATAGAACGTGTTTCATTTCTTCAGTGTGCCTTTAATGGTTATTGGAGGTATATTTATATAAAATAAATAAGGCCGGGCACGGTGGCTCACACCTGTAATCCCAGCACTTTGGGAGGCCAAGGCAGTCAGATCACCTGAGGTTGGGAGTTCGAGACCAGCCTGACCAACATGGAGAAACCCTGTCGCTACTTAAAAAAAAAAAAAATTAGCCAGGCATGGTTGCACATGCCTGTAATCCCAGCTACTCTGAGGGGAGGCTGAGGCAGGAGAATCGCTTGAACCTGGGAGGCGGAGGTTGCGGTGAGCCGAGATCGCACCATTGCACTCCAGACTGGGCAACAAGAGCAAAATTCCGTCTCAATCAGTCAATAATAAATAAATAAATATGCACTTAGACATATACGTAAAACTGGGGTAGTGTTTGGTTGACCTATCAGAATGAAGAAGTTTGATGAAGAATATACTGATGTTTGGCTGAGAAACAAAAGATTTTCATAAACATAGACGTGATAGATCAGGTTTTTAATTTCAGTTAGATTTTTATTTGCTGGGAAATGAATACTTTTGTTAATTTTTCTTTCCACTAAAATAATCTGTATGTTGTTTTCACAGTGGCATGGCAGAGAGAAATGCTAATTTTGAAGCCCTTCCTGAGGATTGGAGAGCAAGGCTGAAGAGAAGGAAAATGGCTCCAAACACATAGTTTTTAAGTTTTTAAAACTTTTTTGTATTATTGTTTGTTTTGTGTTCAGTTCAAAGTCTTAACCAGTTTTATTGTCAAATAAACTATAAATGTTATGGGGGAGATCTTATAAATTTCCTGGGCAAGAGTGTATGCATACAAAGTTTTCACTTTTGTGAAATGTAATTTTTCTGTTTTTGCAAAGGGATGAGGTGATTGGAATTGCTTTGACCATGCTGCCTTTATTCTCAAACTGGCAAACTTAGCATGTTAGGTGTATTAACCTCATCAGTCTTGAAGAACATGTGGCTCATGAGTATAACACTTCTGTAGAGGACTCCCTGACAAAAGTGAAGAATTAACTTCTCCTCCAGAACAAGTGCAATTCAGAAGGCAGCTCTGCATTCTACCTTGCTTGACTGGAATTGTCTGAAGCTTTTTCTGGCCTCTTTTCTCTAGTCGGCCACCCCTGAAGTGCTGAGGTCTAAGTGGTTTACCTCGT
Source organism: Homo sapiens (assembly GCF_000001405.40). NCBI lineage: Eukaryota > Metazoa > Chordata > Mammalia > Primates > Hominidae > Homo > Homo sapiens. The sequence goes on along the minus strand of NC_000011.10, from coordinate 47,716,940 downwards.
GCTGATAGATGGCCACACTCTTTAGAGTAGTTCTCATAAGTTCTAGAACTGGTAGCTCGGTCGTTTCGCACACTAGGTGGCATACAGGCAGCAGCAGGTGTTCATATCCTTGATTTTGAGAATTTCCCCTCAAGTATGTGGCAGTAAATACAACAAGACACTCTATGTATTAATGTCTCCATTGTCTTAACCCTGTTCCAAAACAAAATTCACCTCCTTTCTTTATGTGAATGTATTCTCCATAAAATTCCAGTATTTAAAAAGCAGTTTACTGTTCTGTACTTTCTGTTGTATCACAATCAGGTAAAAGTCACTTTAAACTGAGGAAACGGCAAATTGTGTTTTAAAGCTCTTTGTATTTCTCCAGTTTCTGACCTTGTAAATTTGTATATATGCACTAATAAAGCTTTTTTTATAATCCTGATGGGTTATCCTTTTGCTCGTCAACTCCTGTTATTCTGATTATGTAACCAGGACTTGTTTTTTTTTCTAAGCATATACAATGCAAGGTGCAAACATTTAACAACAGCTTTCAAGAAAATGAGCAGGAGATCTTTAATGGGGAGTGGTGGGGCCAGTTTAGACAAACAGGCTTCTAGTCCCAGATGGTGCTGTGTGATCAAAGTTTTGGGGTCTAATATTATCTATAATATCTAGATTGGTTAATAGCCATATTAGATAATATTTTACCTACTTAATTCCTGGCAATGATGTAATATGGTTAACATTTCAGAAAAAAAGGTGCTTTATAGCTTTTTTCCCCCCACTGATAAAAGTAACAGATACGGTTATATTCATATATAGTTAACCAAAGACACGTGTTTGAATTTTATTGTAGTATATTTATTTTTTTGTTGTTGGTTTTTTGTTTTTTTTTTTTCTGGAGACAGAATTTCGCTCTTGTTGCTCAGGCTGGAGTGCAATGGCACGATCTCGGCTCACCGCAACCTCCGCCTCCCAGGTTCAAGTGATTCTCCTGCCTCAGCCTCCCGAGTAGCTGGGATTACAGGCATGCGCCACCACACCCAGCTAATTTTGTATTTTTAGTAGAGATGGGGTTTTTCCATGTTGGTCAGGCTAGTCTCCAACTCTCGACCTCCCAAAGTTCTGGGATTACAGGCGAGAGCCACCGCGCCTGGCCTGGAGTAAATTTCTATGCATATAATTGATTTTTTTAAACCTAATCAAAATGTGTGATTTGAATTTGTTAGCTCTGTTTCTTAAGATTTGCAGTGTAGAAGGTAATTTTTCCTTTCTAGCTGTGCAGTGGAGAGAATGTTAAGGTGAAAGGAGAGAAGCAGCAGCTCTCTTAGAGCAAATTATGCATAACAGTTATCTAAAGCCAACAGCAAACCAGCTTGGAAGTATGTTGAAGGCTACTGGCATCGTACTCATCAATGCGGTTTCGATTCCGAGGCTGGGGCTGTGATGTATGAGGGGAAGAAAGCCGCTGCCCGCCATACATGTTGCAGACCTTCCCGGGGTCCCCGCTCCCTCCTTGGGGGCGAGGCCTAGCTCCCCGGAAGCGCCCGACCGCCCCGCCCTTTCTCCGCTTCCTGCTTTCGGTTGCTAGACTACCCGGGCCCTCACAGAAGGCGGTGGCGGGCGGGTGCAGCGAGTTTGTCCCCTTGCCCGCACACTGCTTGGCCTCTGTACTTAAGTGCGGTGGCCGCCTGCCTCGCTGGAGCTTCTCTGCCGCAGCCATCCGTGCTGCTTGGGACGGGCCGGGGCGCGAAGGCGGTCGCATCCATCGCTCTGCCCTCCTGGGAAGTTTCTGCTCTCCTTCCCCGCTCCTACCCTTAGGAAACCCCCTCACCACCTGCCCCAGACCAGGTTCCTCTGAACCCTAAATTCAATCTTTAGGGCCCACTTTCCCAACCCCCTGACCTTTTTCCATCGGCACCTACCGAGACGACTTCGTCGCGTGCTCCCATACCCATTTCTTTCACTTTCCTGTGGCGAGCATCTCCTTTCTCAGGGAAAGGGAAGCATGGGGCCAGCACCTTGGGAAGAAGAAGCGGGAAGATACGCTGCCCTCCCTGTCTCAGATGCACCTCTGGCCTCGGCGTGACCACCTTGTTTAGCTGAGGAGAAGCTGGGTTGGCAGGGTTTTCTGAAGTCAAGAGGGAGCTGGGGGGCGCCCGGGGAGGTATTGGCAGTTTTTTCACTTGTCCTCTTGTGGCTTTGTAGCTTCTCTTGTGTAATCAGCTGCCTATTTGGAAATTGGGCAGGGTTTGCGACTGGATGCTAATGTCACTGACTAGTTTTCAGCCTACCATCCAGAAGTAACATGTTCCCAGCTTTGGAAACGCACCTAAAGCAGGTCGGTACACAACACGGAAAGCCACAGAAATTTCTTCGGGGAACTCCATTTCTTCGGGAACTCCACAGAAATCTGCTACTAGATGAGAAGGGATGTTCTGGTGGCATCTTTTCTCAGCTGGAGATCTTGATCCCCACGATAGAATAATTCGCATGGAATGCAGCTCGCTTGGTTTAGTCTAGTCCTATGCAACAACGCTCATGTACTTTTTGTTGAGTCTATTATGGTTTGAAAACATTATCTTGATTGAAGTGGCCTTTCCTTTCACAGACTATTCCTGATCCTTATGAAGACTTTATGTACCGTCACCTCCAATATTATGGCTACTTTAAAGGTAATACCATGTTCTTATCTAGTATCACCTTTCCTGGACTCAAGAGGAAAATTGCTTCGTTAGCTGGGAGGGTTGCACTTGGGTAGACTAATAAATAATTTGCATTGACAAATAAATACTTTTTCCTCTACCATTAGTGAAAAGTACTTCCTTTCCCCATTGATCTGCGGGTCACCTCTGTCAAGTAGACAGCATCACTTAATACAAAGGTCTGTTTCTGGGCTCTCTATTCCATTGGTCTGTTTGGCTATCCTTTACCAGTATCACTGTCTCTTAATTACTATATGGCATTAAAATAGTCTTTATCTGGAAAGACATGTCTTCCCACCTTGTTCTTCAGAAGTGTCACGGCTGTTCTTGAGTCTTTGCCTTACTATATAAATTTTACAATTGGCGGCCGGGCACGGTGGCTCACACCTGTAATCACAGCACTTTGGGAGGCCGAGACGGGTGGAGCACGAGGTCAGGAGATCGAGACCATCCTGGCTAACACGGTGAAACCCCGTCTCTACTAAAAATACAAAAAAATTAGCCGGGCGTGGTGGTGGGTGCCTGTAGTCCCAGCTACTGGGAAGGCTGAGGCAGGAGAATGGCGTGAACCTGGGAGGCGGAGCTTGCAGTGAGCCGAGATCAAGCCACTGCACTCCAGCCTGGGCGACAGAGTGAGACTCTGTCTCAAAAAAAATAAATAAATAAAAATTTAAAAAAATAAATTTTGCAATTGGCTTATGACATTTTATTTTATTTTTTATTTATTTTGAGATGAAGTCTCACCCTGTCGCCCAGGCTGGAGTGCAGTGGCACGATCTCGGCTCACTGCAACCTCTGCCTCCCAGGTTCAAGAGATTCTCCTGCCTCAGCCTCCTGAGTAGCTGGGATTACAGGCACGAGCCACCACGCCTGGGTAATTTTTGTTTCTTTCTTTTTTTTTTTTTTTTTGCGATAGAGTCTCACTCTTTTCACCCAGGCTGAAATGCAATGGCGCAATCTCGGCTCACTGCGACCTCCACCTCCTGGGTTCAAGAGATTCTCCTGCCTCAGCCTCCCAAGTAGCTGGGATTACAGGCGCCCACCACCACTCCCAGCTAATTTTTTTGTGTATTTGTAGTAGAGACGGGGTTTCAACATGTTGGCCAGGCTGGTCTTGAACTCCTGACCTCAGGTGATCCACCTGCCTAGGCCTCCCAAAGTGGTGGGATTACAGACGTGAGCTTACCGCGCCCAGTGTTTTTTTTATTCTTGAGACGGAGTTATGCTCTTGTTGCCCAGGCTGGAGTGCAGTGGTGCAATCTAGGCTTGCTGCAACTTCCACCTCGCGGGGTCAAGCGATTTTCCTGCCTCAGCCTCCCAAGTACCCAGGTAGCTGGGATTACAGGCGTGTACCACCATGCCTGGCTAATTTTGTATTTTTAGTAGAAACGGTTTCACCATGTTGGCCAGGCTGGTCTCGAACTGACCTCAGGTGATCCACCCACCTCAGCCTCCCAAAATGCCAAGATTACAGGCATGAGCCACCACGCTCGGCCTAATTTTGGTATTTTTAGTAGACACAGGGTTTCCTCATGTTGGCCAGGCTGTTCTCGAACTCCTGACCTAAGGTGATCCACCCACCTTGGCCTCCCAAAGTGCTGGGATTACAGGCGTGAGCCACTGTCCCCAGCCCGCTTATGACATTTTAAAAGATTATAGGAATTGCATTAAATCTGTAGATCAAATTTCACAAGAACTGGCAATTTTTCAACACTGGGTTCTCCAATCTATGACTATAATATTTATCTCCATTTACTTAGGTCTTTAATGTCTCCCAATAAAGATTTATAGTTTTTCATAATACTTCATATTTTTATGCTATTATAAATATTGATCTTCTTAAAATTTAATTTCCTAACTTTGTTACTGGTATATTGAAATAAGATGGAGTAATATTCATTGTATTAGTATTAATTTTATTTCTATCAAAGAATGTTGTTAAACTTTTTTATTAACTACATTAGTCCCCCCTTATCTACAGGGGGGAGGTTCCAAGGCCCCTGGATGGCCTGAAACCACTGATAGTACTAAATCCAAATCACTGTCATTCAGAACAGACTTCTATCTTCCACCCACAAATTTAATGCCTTTTCCACCATAACTAAGTACTTATGTACTGTGGCCATTACTTTTGCAATATGAAGTATGACAGCAAAACTATTATGATATTTATTTATTTATTTTTTAGACGGTCTGTTTTTTGCCTTGGCCGGAGTGCAATGTTGCAATCACAGCTCATTGCAGCCTTGACTTCCCAGGCTTAAGCGATCCTCCTACCTCCCAACTAGAAGGGAACACAAGCACATGCCAGCACACCCAGCTAATTTAAAAATTTTTTTTGTAGAGACATGGTCTTACTATGTTGCTCAGGCTGGTCATCATACAATTTTTTACTTTCCATACAAAGTCAAGAACTTCAGGCCGGGCGTGGTGGCTCACGCCTGTAATCCCAGCACTTTGGGAGGCCAAGGTGGGCAGATCACCTGAGGTCAGGAGTTCGAGACCAGCCTGGCCAACATGGCAAAACCCTACCTCTACTAAAAATACAAAAAATTAGCTGGGCATGGTGTTGCACGCCTGTAATCCCAGCTACTCGGAAGGCGGAGGCAGGAGAAATGCTTGAACCCGGGAGGCAGAGGTTGCAGTGAGCTGAGATTGCGCTACTGCACTCCAGATTGTTGAAGTTTCAATACCCTCTTCATGGGGAGAGAGACATTCAGGGAGGGGTTGTGTAGGCAATTGTGAAAGGTAGTAAATGATATTCAGGAGAAACGAATGAGCTCCAAAAACCATGTCCTGGGACAAAGTTCCTCTGAGCTCCGGGGAGGGGTGGCAAGCAAGTGAGGGGAGGAGCTTCACTGAAGAAAGGTTGTCTTATGCAAATAGTTGCCCAGGTAATCTCTGAGTTGCCCTCAGAATTGATGAAAAGTCTATCTGGGTGTCGTGACAATTTTTAGTCTCCTCTTCGGTGGTTCATCTTTAGTGGTTATTTGATGAGATTCCTAGGGAAGGGGTCTTAAAATAACTGCTTTTCTTTTGGAAAGAAGTTTCCTTAGAAGGAATTCCAGAGAGGAGTCCCTTCCTGCTCTTGGGGTAGTGGGGAGACAGGAGAGGTCAGAAAGTCCTTGATTCTGAGGCAGCTTCTGCAAGCCTTTTCTATTTTTTTTTTAATTTATTTTTTCAACTTTTATTATAGATTAGAGGGTACATGTGCAGGTTTGTTACATGGGTAAACTGCATGTTATTGAGGGTTGGAACCCTTTCTATGTTGAATTCAAAGTGTTCAGTATGCCAAAGTGCCAAACCTTTGGGCCATAATTTTTTTTTTCTTTTTTTTTTTTTTTGAGACAGGATCTCGCTCTGTCACTCAGGCTGGAGGGCAGTGGCCTCCACATCCCAGGCTCAAGCAACCCTCCCAGCCTTTGGCTATCATTTTCTGAGTTCCAACACAGCCCTTGTAGCTTCAGAATCTTTCTGCCTGCCAAGTCCTTTCTCACTCCACTACACCAGGCTGCTTCTCAAGTCTCCTCTTCACATCCATTTCCTCAGCTGTAAGGTGGGGATAATTATGCTTCACTCACATAAGTTGGAATATGAAAGCTCTTTGAAAAATGCAGTGTATTCATTGCAAAGGGCTGTGGTGGTGGGTGGTGATAAAAGGAGTAGTGGTTTGGTATTGACCTAGATGTTAGAAGTGATGAGTCGGCCTTCCAGCAACTTTAATTAAACTGCCAATTTTTAGCTCAGAGAGGCAGTTTACCAAACTCTGCTACGCATCAGCATGTTCGGAAGAATAACCCTCAATGCCTGTTGAATGGCTCTCTTGGGGAAAAAGATGATTTGATACCAGACACCCTGCAAAAGGAGAAGCTTCTATGTGAGTAACAATCAGTATGTGTGACCTCTAGAACCTCATTGCCTAGTAACTCCTCTGAGTATTCAGAAGAATCTGCTCTAACATGGGAGAGGCCAGGGAGCAGCCTTGGCCTCTGTTTCTAACACCATTCAAAACTTCTCTCTAAATCTACTTTGGATTACAGGTTTAAATCAAAATACTGTATTTTCTAGCCGGGCATGGTGATCACGCCTGTAATCTCAGCACTTTGGGAGGCTGAGGTGGGAGGATCACTTGAGGTTAGGAGTTTGAGACCAGTCTGACCAGCATGGCAAAACCCCAGCTCTACTAAAAATATAAAAATTAGCCGGGTGTGGTGACACACACTGGTAATCTCAGGACTTGGGAGGCTGAGGTGGGAGGATCACTTGAACCCAGGAGGCGGAGGTTGCAATGAGCCGAGGTTGGGCCACTGTACTCCAGCCTGGGTGACAAAGTGAGATTCTGTTTCAAAAAAAAAAAGAGTAATACACCTGGCATCGTGGCTCACGCCTGTAATCCCAGCACTTTGGATTGCTGAGGCAGGCAGATCACTTGAGCTCAGGAGCTCGAGACCAGCCTGGGCAACACGGCAAAACTCTGTCTCTACAGAAACATACAAAAATTAGCTGGGCATGGTGGCAGGTGCCTGTGGTCCCAGCTACTGGGGAGGCTGAGGCAGGAGGATTGTGTGAACCTGGGAGGCGGAAGTTGCGGTGAGCTGAGATTGCGCCACTGCATTCCAGCCTGGGCAACAGAGTGAGACCCTGTCTCAAAAAAAAAAAAAAAAGTAATACATTGATTTTTACAGTTTGATGGATAATGCTTACTAAGGCTCTTTGCATAGGAGCAGTGGAAAACAGTTCTAGCTAGCTTACACAAAAAAATAATTTTTTGCAGAGACACAGGTTTCTTCTAAAATCCAAGGGGAGGAATCCAGTTGAACTTCTCCCTCAAACCAAACACTGATCCACCCCTCTTTTCTCTACAACCCCCCCTGCTTATCCCCAACCTCCACCGCTACCCTTACACCCCCACCCTCAGAGTCCTACCACCTCCCATCCAAGCTGTCATCATTCAGCCTCCTAATTGGTCTCCTGGCTCCTCTTGTTCTGTGCTGCCCCGCCCCCTCCAATCAATTTTCCACATAGCAGTGTTTTTTATATGCAAATCTGATTAGGTCCCTTTTTTACTTAAAACCTTTGAATGACACAAGATCTGAAAACCGTAAAATACAATATTGTTTTGTTTTGTTTTGAGACGGAGTCTCGCTCTTGTCGCCCAGGCTGGAGTACAGTAGCACTATCTCAGCTCACTGCAACCTCTGCCTCCCGGGTTCAAGCTATTCTCCTGCTGCAGCCTCCTGAGTATCTGGGATTACAGGCGCCCGCCACCACTCCTGGCTAATTTTTGTACTTTTAGTAGAGACAGTGTCTCGCCATGTTAGCCAGGCTGGTCTCAAACTCCCAACCTCAGGTGATCGGCCCACCTCAGCCTCCCAAAGTGCTGGGATTACAGGTGCGAGCCAACACACCCAGCCAATATTGATAATTTTTTTTTTTTTTTTGAGACAGAGTCTTGCTCTGTCAAAAGGCTAGAGTGCAGTGGCTCCATCTCGGCTCACTACAACCTCCGCCTCCTGGCTTCAAGTGATTCTCCTGCCTCAGCCTCCCGAGTAGCTGGGACTACAGGCACGCGCCACCATGCCCAGCTAATTTTTGTATTTTTAGTAGAGACGGGGTTTCACCATGTTGACCAGGATGGTCTTGATCTCTTGACCTCGCGACCCGCCTGCCTTGGCCTCCCAAAGTGCTGGGATTACAGGCATGAGCCACTGTGCCCAGCTGATAATTTTTAAAGGAAAAATTTAAACTTCTCTTTGGAAAAAATACCATTGATAAAGTAAAGGACAAACTAAAAAAAAAAAAATTTGCAACAAATATGCCAAAGGGTTCATTTCCTTTACATATAACAGCTCTTTCAAATCAGTAAGTGTTAATAAAAGATGATTGGGCTGGGCACAGTGGCTCATGCCTGTAATCCCAGCACTTTAGGAGGCCAAGGTAGGCGGATCACCTGAGGTCAGGAGTTCGAAGCCAGCCTGGCCAATTTGGTGAAACCCCGTCTCTACTAAAAATAGAAAAATTATCCCAACGTGATGGTGCCCACCTGTAATCCCAGCTACTCAGGAGGCTGAGGCAGGAGAGTCGCTTGAAATTGGGAGGCAGAGGTTGCAGTGAGAGGAAATTGCACCACTGCACTCCAGCCTGGGTGACAGAGCGAGACTCCATCTCAAAAAAAAAAAAGATGACTAAATCTGAACATGGTGGCAAATGGCTGTAGTCTCAGCCACTTGGGAGCCTGAGGCAGGAGGATCATTTGAGCCCCAGAATTGCCCAGGATTTTGAGTCCAGCCTGGGCAACATAGAGAGACCCTTTCTCTAAATAAACACAAACAAAAAAGATGACCAAATAGAAAAATGAGTAAAAGACATGAACAAGTAGTTCATGGAAAAACATAGTCAATAAGCATATGAAAAGATTCTCCACTACTAACTGAAAATGCAAATCAAAATAGCAAGTTACCATTTTTTTAAATTATGAGATTTGGGCAAAATTTTAAAGAAACTTATACGTAGTGTAGGTTAGGGTATGGAGGAACACACTTTCCTATACTGCTGTTGCCAATGTGAGTAAGTAGACTTTTAGGAAGGCAATTTGGCAATAGCTGGTGATATTGTTTGGCTGCGTCCCCACCCAAATCTCATCTTAAATTCCCACGTGTTGTGGGAGGGACCTGGTGGGAGGTAATTGAATCATGGGGGCAGGTTTTTTCCATGCTGTCCTTGTGATAGTGAATAAGTCTCACGAGATCAGATAGTTCTATAAGGGGGAGTTTCCCTGCACAAGCTCTCTCTTGGCCTGGTGCCATTTATTTAAGACATGACTTGCTCCTCCTTGCCTTCTGCCATGATTGTGAGGCCTCCCCAGCCACGTGGAAGTGTAAGTCCATTAAACCTCTTTCTTTTGTAAATTGCCCAGTCTCAGGTATGTCTTTTTCAGCAGTGTGAAAATGGACTAACACAGCTGGGAAAATTAAAACAGTAATTTACCCTTGATGTAGTATTTCCCTTTTCAGGTATGTATCTTATACGTTTGCTTACACCAGCCCAAAAGTTTCCTATATTCTGTGTGCTAAAGCTCCTGGCAGGGAGTAGAAAGGCACGATCTCTGCTCACTGCAACCTCCACCTGCCGGGTTAAAGCAATTCTCCTGCCTCAGCCTCCCTAGTAGCTAGGATTACAGGCACGTGCCACCATGCCTGGCTAAATTTTTTTTTTTTTTTTTTTTTTTTAGTAGAGACAGGGTTTCACCATATTGGCCAGGCTGGTCTTGAACTCCTGACCTCAAGTGATCCGCCTGCCTTGGCCTCCCAAAGTGCTGGGATTACAGGCCCGGCTAATTCTTTTTTTTTTTTTTTTTTTTTTGGAATAGTAGAGACAGGGTTTCACCATGTTGGCCAGGCTGGTCTCGAACTCCTGACCTCAAATGATCCGCCTGCCTTGGCCTCCCAAAGTGCTGGGATTACAGGTGTGAGCCACCACACCCAGCAACCCTGTCTTAAAAAAACAAAAGAGAAAGCCTTTTCATATGAGCACCACAAACAAAACAAAAAACACATTCTTTTGAGGCTGGACTCAAATTCCTGGGCTCAAGTGACCACAACCCAACCCCTACCCTGCAGCCTCTGGACTAGGTGGGACTATAGGCACACGCCACCTCTCCTGCCTTTACCCCATTCTTTATAAGGGCACCTGTCATATTCCACAATTATTTATTTTTATTTTTATTTATTTTTTTTTTGAGACGGAGTCTTGCTCTGTGCCCCAGGCTGGAGTGCAGTGGCGCAATCTAGGCTCACCGCAAGCTCCGCCTCCCGGGTTCACGGCATTCTCCTGCCTCAGCCTCTCGAGTAGCTGGAGCTACAGGCGCCTGCCACCACGCCGGGCTAATCTTTTGTATTTTTAGTAGAGACAGGATTTCACCATGTTAGCCAGGATGGTCTCGATCTCCTGACCTCGTGATCCGCCCACCTCAGCCTCCCAAAGTGCTGGGATTACAGGCATGAGCCACCGCGCCCAGCCGGCCAGGCTGGTCTTGAACTCCCAACCTCAGGTAATCCGCCCGCCTTGGCCTCCCAAAGTGCTAGGATTACATGTGTGAGCTACCGTGCCCAAACTGCTTTATATTTCTTTAGTTATGAGTGACATTGTGCAGCTTTACTATCTTTTCAAATGTTTATTTCCTTTTATTTCCCCCATTAAAGTATGGGAGAAAGATTTAGATAGAAATGCAGGGGTCCAGAGTGAGCATAGGAAATGAGAAGGGATGGGGATAGCAGACAGAAGAAAAGAAGACAACGATCCCTGACACCAAGGGTGCCTCCTCTTCCTCTTTCTAGGGCCTATCAGTTTATCTTCAGCTGTGCACAGACAGATAGAAGCCATCAACAGAGGTATTTCATGTCCTTCCAGACCAGAAGATTCAAGCTCCTTTTTTGGACTATGTCTTCATCACCTGCTGTTCCCACCAGACCTAAGAATTACCAGACAGGAATGGGATTCATGCCTGATGAGCACTGAAGGACCCTCAGCCTTTAGTTCCCCCTTTCATTTCCATTTTTTTCTTTTTTCCTCATTCCCTTTCTTCTTTTTCTTTTTCTTTTTTTTTTTTTTTTGACACAGACTTTCACTCTTGCCTGGGCTGGATGCAGTGGCGCGGCCTCAGCTCACTGCAACCTCCACCTCCCAGATTCAAGGATTCTCCTGCCTCAGCTTTCCGAGTAGCTGGGATTACAGGCATGTGCCACCACGCCCAGCTAATTTTTATGTTTTTAGTAGAGACAGGATTTCACCACGTTGGCCAGGCTGGTCTCGAACTCCTGAACTCAGATGATCAGCCCGCCTCAGCCTCCCAAAGTTCTGGGATTACAGGCTTGAGCCACCACGCCTGGCCCCTCCTTTCTTTTTTATCTTCCTGAAAGCCTTTCTTTTCTTCCCTTTTTTCTCATTCTTTCTTTCCCAAGAGCTCTTCCTCTCTTCTGCCCCATCTCATGCCTTCTCTCCCCTTCCTCTTTCCATCTTCTTTGTTTTATGTCTGTCTTTCCTTTGTATGGTTATATTATGGCCCTGAAATTTTATTTATAGATTATTTCACTATAGTTGATAAAAAAGAAGAAAAAAAGAATAAAGTTTTATGTAATTTTTTCTAAAATGCTAATGGATATATTGAAATTTCCTCTCTTGCCACTAGCTAAACAAAAATAATAAAACATATTAAGTAACTTCTTATTCATTGTAACCCACTGTTGAAATGTCTTGGACCATTAAATTTAATTTTTAAAAGGTTTTTAATTTACCCTAAAGCTTTATATTTAAACATTTAATAGACTGTGCAGAATTTTAACGTTTTATAATTTTGAACCTGTTATTCTGGACTAAATCTTCTTGAAGGAGAAACATGTCAGAGAATCACATATCTGTGCTAATATTTTAATATAATGCTTAAAATAGTTTCATTGTTATAGATGAGCAGTAAAGTTCCCAAGGAGGAAAAGGAAGATGTTCACTTACTCTCTTTCCCTTTGGCAGATTCACATATGCTGAGTTTACCACATCTTAGGAGCAGACAGCTTCTTTATGATGAGTTGGATGAAGTAAACCCACGTCTTCGAGAACCCCAAGAGCTCTTTTCCATTTTGTCTACCAAGAGGCCACTGCAGGCTCCAAGATGGCCAATTGAATGTGAGGTCATCAAGGAAAACATCCATCATATTGGTAATATGACTTACTCACAGTGGTCTTGCTATTCTGCCTGACTTTTTTTTTTTTTTTTTTGAGACGAAGTCTCACTCTATTTCCCAGGCTGGAGTGCAATGGCGCAATCTCAGCTCACTGCAACCTCTGTCTCCCAGGTTCAAGGGATTCTCCTCCCTCAGCCTCCTACTGAGTAGCTGGGATTACAGGCGCACACCACCACGCCCAGCTAATTTTGCATTTTTAAGTAGAGACGGGGTTTCATCATGTGGGCAAAGCTAGTCTCGAACTCCTGACCTCGTGATCCGCCCACCTTGGCCTCCCAAAGTGCTGGGATTACAGGCATAAGCCACCAAGCCCGGCCTTCTGCCTGACTTTATTACAAGATCTGAGAATGTTAAGTCCTACGTGCTTAAGTATAAGGCAGGACAGAGTCAACATTTATTTATTTATTTATTTACTGAGACAGAGTCTCACTCTGTCACTCAGGCTGGAGTGCAGTGGCGCAATCTCGACTCATGGCAACCCCCACCTCCCAGGTTCAAGTGATTCTCCTGCCTAAGCCCCCCAAGTAGCTGGGATTACAGATGCCTGGCCACCACGCCTGGCTAGTTTTTTTTTTGTTTTTTTTTTTTTTTGAGACTGACTTTCGCTCTTGTTGCCCAGGCTGGAGTGCAATGGCATGAGCTCGGCTCACTGCAACCTCCGCCTCGCAGGTTCAAATGATTCTCCTGCCTCAGCCCCCTGAGTAGCTGGGATTACAGGCATGTGCCACCACACCCGGCTAATTTTGTATTTTTAGTAGAAACGGGGTTTCTCCATGTTGGTCAGTCTGGTCTCGAACTCCCCAACCTCAGGTGATCCACCCGCCTCGGCCTCCCAAAGTGCTGGGATTACAGATGTGAGCCACCACACCCGGCTAGTTTTTTATTTTTATTAGAGTCAGCGTTCCTCCATGTTGGCCAGGCTGGTCTCAAACTCCTGATGCTAAGTGATCCACCCGCCTTGGCCTCCCAAAGTGCTGGGATTACAGGCATAAGCCAGTGCACTCAGCCTAGAGTCAACATTTATTAACTCACCCTGGAAAAAATTAAACTGTGAGAAACTGATATAAACTCACCAAAATCAAGTTACACTAATGTGTAAACTAGAATGCTTCTGAGTTTTTCAGAATGAGAGGATACCTTCCTAGAAGCCAAAATATATAAATACTGAAATCTGTTTTCTAGATTAACCTGTTTCAGTGGTTTTTTTCTTTTCTTTTTCATTTTTTGGAGAGAGGGCATAGCATCTTATCTAAAAATACAGGGGTGCTACCCTGTCTCAGTATTAATGTGTTTGGTTGTGTGGTATTTTTACCAGTCTTGGTATAATTGAAGACTACATATACCACGACATAGTTTTTACAGTTTTTAATTAAATATAAAATTAATTTAATTTTATATTTTGAGTTTATTGGAGTTTTCTTGTCGGAATGGTGGAGACTTTTTTATGACATTATGGGTCATACCTGTGAGCTCTTGGAGCAAGTACAATCTTCTGCATCCATTTTATGGATTAAGCATTTATGGAATTGGGTTGCATTAGAAAGTGGGGACTTCTCTAATTACCAGAACAAGTCTAGCAAACATCACGTATGTCTCTGCTTTATACTACTGAATAAACAACTGGATGTTCCTTTTTTTTTTCTGAGACGGAGTCTTGCTCTATCACCCAGGCTAGAGTGCAATGGCTCCATCTCGGCTCACTGCAACCTCCGCCTCCCGGGTTCAAGCGATTCTCCTGCCTCAGCCTCTGGAGTAGCTGGGATTACAGGCACCCACCACCGCACCCAGCTAATTTTTGTATTTTTAGTACAGACGGGGTTTCACCATCTTGGTCAGGCTGGTCTCGAACTCCTGACCTCATGATCCACCCGCCTCGGCCTCCCAAAGTGCTGGGATTACAGCCATGAGCCACCGCACCCAGCTGGATGTTCCTCATTTTCTGTCTCCCTGCTTTATAATATTCGTTCATATGTGTTGTTATATGCTAAGTACAGTGCTTGGTGCTAGAGATAGTAGTGATGAGCAAAGTGGAGAGTTCATGGACCCAGAGTTCATGAACTAGTGGGGAAGTTAAACATTTTAACAGACAATTGCATAGTGCTTGGTCCCTCTGAGCATACCTAACCCAGCTTAGAGATCAGCATAAGTTTTCAAAAGGAGTTGACAACTAAGCTGAGATCTAAAGGATGAGTTCGAAATGATCCAATTAAGAGGGTCAAAGAAAAGTATTTCAGTTGGAAGAAACAGAAAAAGAGCATGGCATGCTTGGGCAACCATAGAACATTGAGCATTAAAAACAAGAGAAGAGTCTGAAAATATAGGGAAAAAATAAAAGTAGAGTTTATTTGACTTTATATTTTATTTTTGAGACAGGGTCTTGTTCTGTCACTCAGGCTGGAGTGCAGTGGTGCAATCATAGCTCACTGCAGCCTTGAACTCCTGGGCACAAGCCATCCTCCCCTCTCAGCCTCCTGAGTAGCTAGGACTATAGGCGTGCACCACCATGCCTGGCTAATTTTTTTTCTTTTTTTTTTTTTTTTTTTGAGAACAGAGTCTCGCTCTGTCGCCCAGGCTGGAGTGCAGTGGCATGATCTTGGCTCACTGCAACCTCCGCCTCCCAGGTTCAAGTGCTTCTCTGCCACAGCCTCCCAAGTAGCTGGGATTACAGGCACGTGCCACCACACTCTGCTCATTTTTTATATTTTTGGTAGAGACGGGGTTTCACCATGTAGGCCAGGCTGGTCTCGAACTCATGACCTCAAGTGATCTGCCTGCCTCAGCCTCCCAAAGTGCTGGGATTACAGGTGTAAGCCACTGTGCCCGGCCACCTGGCTCATTTTTAAATAGTTTTTTTGTAGAGACACATGGTCTCACTATGTTGCCCAGGCTACTCCCAAACTCCTGGCCTCAAATGATCCTCCTGGCCTCCTAAAGTGCTGAGATTACAGGTGTGAGCCACCACCCCCAGCAAGGACACTGGAATTTAATAACCAAGTTAATGCTGTGGTAATTCACTAAACTACAAGATCTTTTTTTTTTTTTTTTTTGAGACGGAGTCTTGCTCTGTCGCCCAGTCTGGAGTGCAATGGCACAATCTCGGCTCACTGCAACCTCCGCCTCCCAGGTTCAAGCAATCTCCCTCCTCAGCCTCCTGAGTAGCTGGGATTACAGGTGTGCACCACCACGCCTGGCTAATTTTTTACTTTTTTTAGTAGAGACGGGGTTTCACCATGTTGGTCAGGCTGGTCTCGAACTCCTGACCTCATGATCCGCCCGCTTCGGCCTCCCAAAGTGCTGGGATTACAGGCGTGAGCCACTCACTGCGCCCAGCCAACTACATGATCTTTTATAAAGCAATTTTTAAAAAAATGTTTCAAAGAAACTTATTAACAAACACCTTATTGTTTAAACTAAATTGTATTAATAAGCACCTTATTGGTTGTTTGTTTGTTTTTTTTTTTGAGACAGAGTCTCACTCTGTCGCCCAGGCTGGAGTGCGGTGGCACCGCGTCAGCTCACTGCAGCCTCTGTCTCCTGGGTTCAAGCAATTCTGCCTCAGCCTCCTGAGTAGCTGGGATTACAGGTGCCCACTGTAACTCGGCTAATTTTTGTATTTTTTAATAGAGACGGGGTTTCACCGTGTTGGCCAGGCTGGTCTCGATCTCCTGACCTCATGATTCACTCTCCTTGGCCTCCCAAAGTGCTGGGATTACAGGCATGCAAGCACCTTATTGTTTAAACTAAATTGTGAAAGCCTCATCACTTCCTATAATCTTCGAGAAAATAAATTCATGTAATATTTGACTGAGGTGTATCTTTATATGCTCTTGGAATTCATCAGTGGCTACTCTTCTAAAAATGATATTGAAAAGTTCAAGTTCCGTAAAGGAAATGTTTGTTTGTTTGTTTGTTGGTTTGTTTGTTTTAAATTTATTTTGAGACAGAGTCTTGCTCTGTTCGCCCAGGCTGGCACGCAGTGGCGTGATCTCGGTTCACTGCAACCTCCGCCTCCCAGGTTAGAGCGATTCTCCTACCTCAGCCTCCCGAGTAGCTGGGACTACAGGCACATGCCACAATACCCGGCTAATTTTTGTATTTTTAGTAGAGGCAGAGTTTCACTATGTTGGCCAGGCTGGTCTCGAACTCCCGACCTCAGGTAATCTACCCACCTTGTCCTCCCAAAGTGCTGGGATTACAGGCATAAGCCGCTGCACCCAGCCAAAGAAATCTTTTTAAATTCAGTGTTAATGAAAAAGCCTTCGCTAGGCACAGTGGCTCACACCTGTAATCCCAGCAGTTTGGGAGGCAGAGGAGGGCGGATCACCTGAGGTCGAGAGTTTGAGACCAGCCTGACCAACATGGAGAAACCCTGTCTCTACTAAAAATACAAAATTAGCCGGGAGTGGTGGCACATGTCTGTAATCCCAGCTACTCAGGAGGCTGAGGCGAGAGAATCGCTTGAACCCGGGAGGCGGAGGTTGCGGTGAGCCGAGATTGCACCATTGCACTCTAGCCTGAGCAATAGAGCAAGACTCCATCTCAAAAAAAAAGAAAGAAAAGAAAAAGGCTTGCTTCCTCTGAAACAATTGATAGACCTAGTCCTCTATGGTAATAAAAAAAATTATGTTAATGACCATATTTTGCTCACTTTAAGGAAACTCAGGGCCAAATTTTGAAGAGCTGTTGCAGCAGCTATATTGACCTTTCTGACTTATTCTTAGGTCTTCTATGGATAGTTTATATTTCATTTTATATGCTCTTTGTTAAAAGTGTCCTCATAAGTCTTTATAGAAAGAAACAAGACATAATTATTTTATAAACAAGCAGGAAATTTAGGGTGGGAATTTGGTTTGATTCAACCAAACTAGCCATTTGAAAAATTATTATTATTATTTTATATTAGTTCTGATAGTGCCGTTTACATTATTTCTTATTTTGTACTTTTTAAAATGTCTTCTTTCAGAGTGGGCTCCACCTCAACCAGAATATTTCTATCAGCCTAAAGGAAATGAAAAGGTACCAGAGATTGTAGGAGAGAAAAAAGGAACAGTTGTCTATCAATTAGATTCAGGTATTGTCATTACACTGAACAATGAATGGTTAATCATGACAAAGTTATAATAAACATATGTTCCATAATAAAAGTGATTTTAAAAATCCATAGTTTAGTGGTAAACTCTTTTCCAGGCCAACATGAGTGGGAGCCTGGAGGAGGAGTCATAACCAGTCTGCTGCAAAATTTCGATAATTTTCTAAAATCAAAGTACATTATTTTTAATAGTTCTAAGTCCATTTTACAGCTTCTCTCTTGTTATTCTCCTTCCTGAAAATCAGATGTTGGATCATCTTTGGGGAGATTTCTTTTCTCCACCTGTTATACGTACTTTAGTGAGTACTTTGTTCTATGTGCATATGACTGTCATTTAGTAATGCAGTTTCCTGTGTTGAGTTTTAAGCTTCTAAGGATTGAATATATATCTTTTATAGAAATATGCAGAACACCATACCTAACAACAACAAAATACTCATTCTTTTTTTTTTTTTTTTTTTGCCATTCCTACTGAAGTCATACACATTCTTTTTAAGGGTACCTGTTAGATTCCCCAGGATAAACCATATGTTAGGCCGTAATGGAAGTTTTTATACATGTAAAAGGATTAAAATAATACAAAGTACATTCTCTGACCATAATAAAATTAAGTTAGAAATCAACAACAGAATGAAATATGAGATATCCATAAATATGTGGAAATTGAATAACATCTTTCTAAATAAACTGTGGGTTAAAGAAATCACAAGTAGACTTCAAAAATATTTTGAATGTAGTGAAAATAAAACCATAACATATCAAAAGTTATAGGATGCAAAACAAAATGAACCAGTGCCAGGGATATTTATGGGTATTTATGGCTTTAAGTGCCTGAATTTCAAAACGAAAAAGGCTTCTTATCAATTACCTAAGCTTCTACCTTAGTAAACTGGAAAAATAAGAGCCAACTAAACCCAAAGCAAGCAGCAGGAAAGTAGTAATAAAAATAAGAATGTGGCTGGGCGCTGTGGCTCACGCCTATAATCCCAGCACTTTGGGAGGCCGAGGCAGGCAGACCACCTGAGGTTGGGAGTTCCAGACCAGCCTGACCAACATGGAGAAACCCTATCTCTACTGAAAATACAAAATTAGCCAGGTGTGGTAGTGCATGCCTGCAATCCCAGCTACTTGGGAGGCTAAGGCAGGAGAGTCTCTTGAACCTGGGAAGCAGAGGTTGTGGTGAGCCAAGATCGTGCCATGCACTCCAGCCTGGGCAACAAGAGTGAAACTCCGTCTCAAAAAAAAAAAAAAAAAAAAAATTATGTAGACTGGGCTTGGTGGCTCATACCTGTAATGCCAGCACTTTGGGAGGCCAAGATGGGCAGATCACCTGAGGTCGGCAGTTCGAGACCAGCCTGCCCAACATGGTGAAACTCTGTCTCTACTAAAACACAGTAAATTAGCCAGTCATGGTGGCAGGCGCCTGTAAACCCAGCTACTCAGGAGGCTGAGGCAGGAGAATCGTTTAAACCTTGGGAGTTGGAGGTTGCTGTGAGCCAAGATGGCGCCACTGCACTCCAGCCTCGGCAACAAGGGTGAAACTCCGTCTCATTAAAAAAAAATAAAAAATAAAATAAAAAAAGGCCGGGCGCGATGACTCACGCCTGTAATCCCAGCACTTTGGGAGTCTGAGGCGGGCGGACGACGAGGTCAGGAAATTGAGACCATCCTGGCTAACACGGAAAAACTCCGTGTCTACTAAAAATACAAAAAAAATAGCCGGGCGTGGTGGCACACGCCTGTAGTCCCAGCTACTCGGGAGGCTGAGGCAGGAGAATGGCGTGAACCCGGGAGGCACAGCTTGCAGTGAGCCAAGATTGCGCCACTGCACTCTAGCCTGGGCGACAGAGCAAGACTCCGTCTCAAAAAAAAAAAAAAAAAAAAAAAGTAGGCTTGGCGAGGTGGCTCACGCCTGTAATCCCAGCACTTTGGAAGGCCAAGGTGGGCGGATCATAAGGTCAGGAGATCGAGACCATCGTGGCTAACATGGTGAAACCCCATCTCTACTAAAAATACAAAAAATTAGCCGGGCATGATGGCATGCGCCTGTAGTTACAGCTATTCAGGAGGCTGAGGCAGGAGAATCCCTTGAACCTTGGGAGGTGGAGGTTGCAGTGAGCCAAGATTGTGCCACTGCACTCCAGCCTGGGCGACAGACCGAGACTCCATCTCAAAAAATCATCATCATCATCATTAAGAGGCTGGATGTGGTGCCTCATACCTGTAATCCTAGCACTTTGGGAGGCTGAGGTGGGTGGATCACTTGAGATCAGGAGTGTGAGACCAGCTTGACCAACATGGTGAAACCCTGTTTCTACTAAAAATACAAAAATTAGTTGGGTGTGGTGGCATGCCCCTGTAATCCCAGCTACTTGGGGGGCTGAGGCAGGGGAATTGCATGAACCCAGGAGGCAGAGGTTGCAGTGAGCCAAGATTGTGCCACTATACTCAGCCTGGGTGACAGAGCGAGACTCTATCTCAAAAATCAATAAATAAATAAAAAATAAAAAAGGAAAGCATTGAATAGAAGACAGAAAACTGATGGAGAAAAACAAACCAAAAGTTGGTTGTTTGGAACATCAACAAAATTGAAACACATTTGCTAACCCAAGAAAGGAAAAGAGGCACAAATTATCAAAATCAGAAATGAAAAAGGTAACATAAGGACCAAACCTGTACAAATCAAAAAAATTACAAGGTAATACTATTAACAACTTTATGACAACAAATTAGACAATTTAGATCAACAGGACGAATTGCTAGAAAGTTACAAAAACTGACTCAAGGAAGAAATAAAAGGTTTAAATACATTATAACAAAGAAATAATAATTAGAAATCTTTCCACAAAGAAAACCCAGGCCCACCTGGGGCCTGGTAGTTCAGGCCTCTAATCCCAGCACTTTAGGAGGCCAAGGCAGGTGGATCAGCTGAGGTCTTGAGTTTGAGACCAGCCTGGCCTACGTGAAACCCTGTCTCTCTACTAAAAACACAAAGAAAGTAGCCTGGTATGGTGGTGCGCACCTGTAGTCCCAGCTACTTGGGAGGCTGAGGCAGGAGAATTGCTTGAACCAGGGAGGTGGAGGTTGCAGTGAGGCAAGATCACACCACTGCACTCCAGCCTGGGCAACACAGCAAGACTCTGTCTCAAAAAACAAAAAACAAACAAACAAACAAACAAAACCCAGGCTCAAATGACCTACTTCACAAGGTTTGTTTGAAATCTTTTTTTTTTTTTTTTTTTGAGACAGAGTCTCACTTACTCTGTCACCCAGGCTGGAGTGCATGGCACTGCAACCTCCACTTTCTAGGTTCAAGCGATTTGTTCCTCAGCCTCCAGGGTAGCTGGGATTACAGGTGTGCGCCACCACGCCCAGCTAATTTTTTTTTTTCTTTTTTTTTTTTTTTTTTTTTTTTTTGTATTTTTAGTACAGACGGAGTTTCACCATATTGGCCAGGCTGGTCTCAAACTTCTGGCCTCAAGTGATCCACCTGCCTCCGCCTCCCACAGTGCTGAGATTACAGGCGTGACCCACCACACCTGGCTGGTTTGTTTGAATTCTGTTAAACATTTAAAGATGAAATAATACCAATATTTCACCAACTCTGAAAACAGAAGAGGAAAAAATGTTTCCCAACTATTTTTTTTAATTTTTAGACAGGATCTTCCTCTGTCGCCCAGGCTGGAGTGCAGTGGGATGAACATGGCTCATTGTATCCTCCACCTTATAGGCTCAAGTGAATTGTCCAACCTTAGCCTCCTGAGTAGCTGGGGCTACAGGCATGTACCACCCTGCCCAGCTAATTTTTTGTATTATTAGTGGAGACAGGGTTTCACCGCTGCCCAGGCTGGTCTCAAACTCCTGTGCTCAAGCAATCTACCCACTTCAACCTCCCAAAGTGCTAGGATTACAGGTCCCATTCCCCTCAACTGTTTTTTTTTTTTTTTTTTTTGAGACAGAGTTTCACTTTCGTCGCCCAGGCTGGAGTGCAGTGGTGTGATTTCGGCTCACCGCAATCTCTGCCTCCCAGGTTCAAGCGATTCTCCTGCCTCAGCCTCCCAAGTAGCTAGAATTATAGTTGCCTACCATCACACCTGACTAATTTTTGCATTTTTAGTAGAGACAGGGTTTCACTATTTCAGCCAGGCTGGTCTCTAACTCCTGACCTCAGGTGATCCACCCACCTCAGCCTCCCAAAGTGCTGGGATTACAGGCGTGAGCCACCATGCCCAGCCTTTGTTGTGGCGTTTTTGTTTTTGTTTTGTTTGTTTGTTTTTTGAGACGGAGTCTCGGTCTGTTGCCCAGTCTGGAGTGCAGTGGCGCAATCTCGGCTCACTGCAACCTCTGCCTCCCGGGTTCAAGCAATTCTCCTGCCTCAGCCTCCTGAGTAGCTGGAATTACAGGCACCCGCCATCACACCTGGCTAATTTTTTATCTTTTTGGTAGACACTGGGTTTCACCATGTTGGCCAGGCTGGTCTTGAACTCCTGACCTCAAGTGATCCACCCGCCTCAGCCTCCCAAAGTGCTGGGATTACAGGCATGAGCCACCACGCCTGGCCTGTTGTGCCATTTTTGTTTGCCCACTTACTATTCCCCATTCCCCTGCCTAGCAGAGGTCATGAGGATAGCAGCCCGCCATCCTGATGTGGAATGCTGGTGTTGGAAGTGGAAGAGGGGAGGAGGACAATGTAGACCTTATTCTCAAACTGGTCGTGACTCTTTTTTACCTTTCTCACAATTCCTTGAGGAGCCAGAGGAAAGACTGACTTTTGTTACTGCCTCCCTCAGGCTAAAGCAGTTTTTCCAGGTGCCATCTGCATCTATCAAATTTTAAAGTGTATTTAAAGACATACACTGCTCATAGCTACCTGGGGCAAGGGATAGCAAATAGGCAAGGAGCAGATAGGCCCAAAAGCCTGGGAAAGAAGCTGAGGAGAAAGATTCTTGGGGAAATGAGCACTTGGAAGGGCCTCCACATATACTGGAGAACGCAGTATACATGGCTAGGGCTGGACCCACATTCAGAAAAAACCTGAGAGGATCCTAGGCTTGCATCTCTGGTTGGTGGTTGGGCTCTGTGCAACTAAAGAGGAAGGCTAACATCGAGTTTTTGGCAGCCTGACTTAGTGTTGAGGAGTGCCTCACCTCAAAGCCAGTCTGCCCAGACTAGGAAAGTTTTGTGCTTTTTTTTTTTTTGGCTTGGGAGTGAGTGAATGAATGAATGAATGAATGATAGGATCTCACTTTGTCACCCAAGCTGGAGTGCAGTGGAAAAATCACAAATCACTGCAGCCTCGACCTCTCAGCTGAAGCAATCCTGCCGCCTCAGCATCCCGAGTAGCTGGGACTACAGGTGCACACCACCACCCAGCTAACTTTTGTATTTTTTGTACAGAGTATATCACACGACATTTTGCCATGTTGCCCAGGCTGGTCTCAAACTTCTGAGCCCAAGCAATCCTCTCACTTCAGCCTCCCAAAGTGCTGGGATTACAGGCATGAGCCACTACACCTAGCCAAGCCCTGGTTATTGAAGAAATCTCTGTCTGGTCACTGGCTGACCACTGATATAATGGAACGGAGAAGACACCTGGTGACCTACACATGACAAGAATAACATATTCAGTGGGGAAAGACTGAAAACTTTCCCTCTAGAATCTGGAAACTTCAAAGGGCTTTTATGCAGAACGAAAAGATGTTCCTCAAATTTATATGGAATTGTAAAGGGCCCTGAATAGCCAATACAAAAAAAGAAGTACAAAATTCGAAGATTCACATTTCTTGATTTCAAAACACTACGAACATACAGTAATCAAAACAGTATAATCCTAACACAGGGTAGGCATATAGGTCACTAAAACAGAACTGAGAGTCCAAAAATAAACTCATATTTTTGGTCAATTCATTTTTGACAAGGGTGCCAAGACTGTTCAGTGGAGAAAGAATGGCCTCTATAACAAATGGTGTTGGGATAACTGTATAGCCACACTCAAAAGAATGAAGTTGAATCCCTACTTCATACCATATTTAAAAATTAACCCAAAATGGATCAGTGGCCTAAAGATAAGTACTGAAACTATAAAAATCTTAAAACAAATGAGCCGGGCAGGGTGGTGCACGCCTGTAGTCCAGGCTACTCAGGAGGCTGAGGCAGGAGGTTCACTTGAACTCAGATGTTTGAGGCTGCCATGAGATATGATTGTGCAACTGCTCCAGCCTGGGTGACAGAGCAAGACCCTGTCAAAAAAAGGAAGGAAGGAAGGGAGGGAGGGAGGCAGGGAGGGAAGAAAGAAAGAAACAGGTATCTGCAGGATGCAATGGCTCATGTCTGTAAACTCAGCACTTTGGGAGGCTGAAGAAGGAGGATCGCTTGGGCCCTGGAGTTCAAGAATAGCCTGGGTGACATAGTGGGACCTCATCTCTACAAAAAAATTAAACAATTAGTTGGGTGTGGTGGTGCACTCCTGTGGTCCCAGCTACTCAGGAAGTTGAGGTGGGAGGATCACTTGAGCACAAAAGGTAGAGGCTGCAGTGAACTGTGATTCACGCTGCTGCATTCCAGCCTGGGTGATAGAGTGAGACCCTGTCTCAAACAAAGAAAACATAGGGATAAATCAAAACATAGGGATAAATCTTCATGACCTTGGATGTGGCAGTGGATTCTAGATATGACACCAAAAGCATAATTCATTTAAAAAAAAATTGATGTTGGATGGCCAGGCGTGGTGGCTCACACCTGTAATCCCAGCACTTTGGGAGGCTGAGACGGGCAGATCACAAGGTCAGGAGATCGAGACCATCCTGGCTAACACGGTGAAACTCCGTCTCTACTAAATATACAAAAAAATTAGCCAGGCGTGGTGGTGGGCGCCTGTAGTCCCAGCTACTCGGGAGGCTGAGGCAGGACAATGGCATGAACCTGGGAGGCGGAGCTTGCAGTGAGCCAAGATCGTGTCACTGCACTCCAGCCTGGGTGACAGAGTGAGACTCTGTCCCAAAAAAAAAAAAAAAAAAAAAAAAAGATTAAAAGTCTCTGCAAAGATAGTTGAAAATTAGAAATTTCATTGTTGGTCTAGAATAGTGTTGACCACTTAGAGGGGCCACTTAAGTATTTGCTGAATGAGTGGATTCTGAGTAGAACCTAGCCTAAATATATCTTTTCTCTGCAGTGCCTATAGAAGGTTCCTATTTTACCAGTTCCAGAGTGGGAGGCAAACGAGGAATTGTCAAGGAACTTGCTGTCACGTTGCAAGGACCAGAAGATAATACTCTACTGTTTGAATCAAGGTTTGAGAGTGGGAATCTGCAAAAAGCTGTCAGAGTGTGAGTAACAATTTCTCAAAGGGATGATAATTGGAGTGACTAGAAGGTGTCTTCAGTAATGATATTAGGAATCAGAAGTACTTGCAAAAAAGAAAGAGGTGATGGGGAATAGTTATGGGTATGAAGAAAAATGGAGTAATTATTACTCATTTTTTCCCCAAAATAAAATGTTTTCTAAATTGTTTACTTTGCTTATAGAAGAAATTAGAGCTCACCTAAAATTTGTATTAGTAAAAATATGTAACATAAAAAGTCCTATAGTCATACTTCCTAGATGCAGCAAATATTAAGTTTAGTGTATATGCCTTAATATTTTTCTGTGTGTGTATATGTAATATGCACAAATTATATATATATATATATATATATATATTTTTTTTTTTTTTTTTTTTCTTGAGATGGAGTCTCTCTCTGTTGCCCAGGCTGGAGTGCAGTGACATGATCTTGGCTCACTGCAAGCTCCGCCTCCCAGGTTCATGCCATTCTCCTGCCTCAGCCTCCTGAGTAGCTAGGACTACAGGCGCCTGCCACCATGCCTGGCTAATTTTTTTGTATTTTTAGTAGAGACGGGATTTCACCATGTTAGCCAGGATGGTCTCGATCTCCTGATTTCGCGATCTGCCCGTCTCGGCCTCCCAAAGTGCAGGGATTACAGGCATGAGCCACTGTGCCCGGCCATTTATATATTTTTAAAATAAAAATTGATTAATGGTGTATGTACATATTGTTTTGCAAATTGGCAAATTTTTTTTCCACTTCATAAATTTCAGGTGTTTTTCTATGGCAGTACCATAGATATACTTCCTTATTGTTTTTGTTTGTTTGTTTGTTTTTTCCTCAAGATGGAGTCTTGCTCTGTTGCTCAGGCTGGAGAGCAATGGCACGATCTCAGCTCACTGCAACCTACACCTCGTGGGTTCAAGTGATTCTCTTGCTTCAGCCTCCTGAGTAGCTGGGATTACAGGCACCCGCCACCACACCTGGCTAATTTTTTTTTTTTTTTGTATATTTAGTAGAGATGGGGTTTCACCATGTTGGCCAGGCTGGTCTTGAACTCCTGACCTCAGGTAATCAGCCCGCCTCAGCCTCCCAAAGTGCTGGGATTACAGAGAATAAATGATTAAGGTAGCAGATTTTTCTGTTGTAATAAGACCTGTTTTTACCAGGAGAAAACAACATTTTCCCAATTTGTTTTTTAAGGCAGGGTGTAAGCTTACAGAGTTGTTCTATTTTCTCCATTACAGAGACACCTATGAGTATGAACTCACCTTGCGAACTGACCTCTACACTAACAAACACACTCAGTGGTTTTATTTTCGTGTTCAGAACACCAGAAAAGATGCTACCTATCGCTTCACCATTGTCAACTTGCTAAAACCCAAGAGTCTTTATACTGTAGGGATGAAGCCACTCTTGTACTCCCAATTGGATGCCAACACCCGCAATATTGGCTGGAGGAGAGAAGGAAATGAAATCAAGTACTACAAGAACAACACGGATGATGGGCAGCAGCCCTTCTACTGTCTCACGTGGACCATTCAGTTTCCATATGACCAGGACACTTGCTTCTTTGCACACTTCTACCCATATACATACACTGATTTGCAATGCTACCTCCTGTCAGTGGCAAACAACCCTATCCAGTCTCAGTTCTGCAAGCTCCAAACTTTATGCAGGAGCCTAGCAGGAAATACCGTTTACTTGCTCACCATCACCAACCCATCCCAGACCCCTCAAGAGGCAGCTGCAAAGAAAGCTGTGGTCTTGAGTGCCAGAGTTCACCCTGGAGAAAGTAATGGCTCCTGGGTTATGAAAGGCTTTTTGGACTTCATCCTTAGCAACTCCCCAGATGCCCAGCTCCTCAGAGATATTTTTGTCTTCAAGGTGCTTCCCATGTTAAATCCAGATGGTGTGATTGTGGGGAATTATCGGTGTTCCTTGGCCGGAAGGGATTTGAACAGGCATTATAAAACCATTCTGAAGGAGTCTTTCCCTTGTATTTGGTACACCAGGAACATGATCAAAAGGTGAGACTTTTTATCTGTTGATCTTTCTGTGACTGCTATGAGTCCTAGCACCAGATATCCCTACCTGATGGGGTATGAGGTCTCTTCTGTTGTTAAAGGAATTGAGTATGACTTTGGAGACAGAGCCCTTACCAGTCTCTTTGTAGTCAAGTGACTTTGTTAATTTTCAGACTTTTAAATCATGTCTTGTCTTTGGGTTGAAACTGGACATGCAACATTTCAGCAAGAGTCATTTCACTTGTAAGTGAAATAATTGAATGGAAAAGGTCAGAGTTCAGGGGAGTTCATAGGTCTTCATGATGAGACTTGTATCATAATAATAGTAGCTAACAATTAGTAAATGTGTATGCATGAAGTGGCAAGCTGTATGGTAGGTGCATTACACACATGACTCATTTAATCTTCACATTAACATTATGAGGTAGGCACAGTCAATATCGCATGTTGTATGATACAGAAATTGAGAACCTAGGCCAGGCGTGGTGGCTCACGGCTGTAATCCCAGCACTTTGGGAGGCTGAAGTGGGCGGATTACCTGGGGTCAGGAGTTCAAGACCAACCTGGCCAACATGGCGAAACCCAGTCTCTGCTAAAGATACAAAAATTAGCCAGGCGTGCTGGTGGGTGCCTGTAATCCCAGCTACTGAAGAGGCTGAGGCAGGAGAATCGCTTGAACCAAAGAGGTAGAGATTGCAGTGAGCCAAGAGCGTGCCACTGCACTCTAGCCTGGGTGGCAGAGTGAGACTCCATCTCAAAAAAAAAAAAAAAAAAAATTGAGAAGTGGGTAGGTTAAGTAACTTGCCTAAGGTCATAAAGCTATTAAGTGACAAAGTAGATATTTAAATACAGGCTCTCTCTCTGGTTCCAGAGTCTAAATTCCTTTTACGATCTTATATTGCCTATCACAAAGAAAGAATCATAACATCAGTCAGCAGTTTTCAAGCCTGTATAAAAGCATTGAAGGCTATAATGTAATAGCACCCACCTTAAAGGAATTTTCATGCCATTGGAAATGAAAATACAGCATATAAGAATATGTGGGCTGGGCTCAGTGGCTGACACCTGTAATCCCAGCACTTTGGGAGGCTGAGGCAGGCAGATCACCTGAGGTCAGGAGTTTGAGACCAGCCTGGCCAACATGGTGAAACCTCGTCTCTACTAAAAATAGAAAAATTAGCCGGGCATGATGGTGGGTGCCTGTAATCCCAGCTACTCAGGAGGCCGAGTCAGGAGAATCACTTGAACCTGGGAGGCAGAGGTTGCAATGAGCTGAGATGGCACCATGGCAGGCATAGCTAAAGAGCATATGTTTCAGAGTCAGACAGGCCTGAGTTTGAGACCTGTTTTTACTGCTGGCTGGTTCTGTGACCTTGGCTAAGTGATTTAATGTGTCTGAGCTTCAGCTTTCTCATCTGTAGAGTGGAAAAATAATACCTGCCTTGGGTGGTTACTGTGAGGATTGAGATAATCACATGATCTATTTACTATAGTACCCAGCATATTATAAATGTGTAGCATTGTTGTTATTATACTCATCATGGGGAAAGTGAACATATTTGGAAAGCTGGAATAGGTGTCCTGGGTGATCATGAGACAAAGAAGAGCTGAGCCTTGTAGGAACTGGCCCTCGAAAGTCAGGAATCAAGGCTTTCTTTGGTTCTTTTTCTTTCCTGCAACTGCCCACTCTCTGCCTCCCTCTCTTTCTTCACAGGTCTGCACCATGGTGAGCTTTTTCTCAATAGGCTTTTTTGCACTTCCTTGTCAACTTACGCAAGGCTACCCACCACCCCTTTCCAAATCAGAACTTTTCCATTTCTGGTCAGGCACAGTGACTCATGCCTGTAATCCCAGCACTTTGAGAGGCCGAGGCAGGAGGATCACTTGAGCCCAGGAGTTGGAGACCAGCCTGAGCAACACAGTGAGACCCCGTGTATTAGGTTGTATTTGCATTGCTATAAAGAAATATCTGGCCAGGCGTGGTGGCTCATGTCTGTAATCCCAGCACTTTGGGAGGCTGAAGCAGGCAGATCACTTGAGGTCAGGAGTTTGAGACCTGCCTAGCCAACATGGTGAAACCCCGTCTCTACTAAAAATACAAAAATTAGCCTGGCATGGTGGTGCACGCCTGTAATCCCAGCTACTCAGGAGGCTGAAGCACTAGAATTGCTTGAACCTGGGAGGCAGAGGTTGCAGTGAGCCGAGATCACGCCACTGCACTCCAGCCTAGGTGACAGAGTGAGACTGTGTCTTAACAAAAAAAAAAAAAAAGAAAGAAAGAAAAGAAAAAAGAAAGAAAGAAATACCTTAGACTGGGTAATTTATAAAGAAAAGAGGTTTAATTGGCTCATAGTTCTGCAGCTTTACAAGAAGCATGGTGCTAGCATCTGCTCAACTTCTAGGGAGCCCTCAGGAAGCGTACAATCATGGCAGAAGGCAAAGAGGGAGCAGGCACATCATATGGCGAAAGCAGGAGTAGGAGAGAGAGAATAAGTGTAGGGGAGGTGCCACACTTTTTTTTTTTTGAGACGGAGTTCATTTTTTTTTTTCAATTTCACATACATTTATTGAATATTTACTGTGTGCCAGGCACTGTGCTAGCAGCCAAACTAAATATTCTTTAGTTTCAATGAATAATTGATAACGGGAATGTTTTTCCATCATTTCTAGTATAAGTGGGGTTCTTTTTCATTTTTAGTAGAGAGCTATATTTTTGTAGGACAAAACATATAATACTGTCCCCTCTGTTGATATTAAGTCAAATATTTTATCTGTTCAGTCAAAGCCCAGTTCTGGTGTTAATGGGCCTGGATTTAATTAATTAAAGGATTAACTTACTGTATCATTACCTGTGTGCACCAGGCACCCTTCTGAATTGCAGACAGCATGTAGGAAGATCTAACTAAACTTTATTTTTTTTTATTATTTATTTATTTATTTTTTTATTATTATTATACTTTAAGTTTCAGGGTACATGTGCACAATGTGCAGCTTAGTTACATATGTATACATGTGCCATGCTGGTGTGCTGCACCCATTAAGTCATCATTTAGCATTAGGTATATCTCCTAATGCTATCCCTCCCCCCTCCCCCCACCATTTTTTTTTTTTTTTTTTTTGAGATAGAGTTTCACTCTTGATGCCCAGGCTAGAATGCAATGGCGCAATCTCGGTTTACTGCAACCTCCACCTCCTGTGTTCAAGTGATTCTCCTGCCTCAGCCTGCCAAGTAGCTGGCATTACAGGTATGCACCACAACACCTAGCTAATTTTGTATTTTTAGTAGAGATGGGGTTCACCAGGTTGGTCAGGCTGGTCTCGAACTCCTAACCTCAGGTGATCCACCCACCTCAGCCTACCAAAGTGCTGGGATTATAGGCATGAGCCACCGTGCCCGGCCAGTGTCACACATTTTTAAACAACCAGATCTTGTGCAAAGTCAGAGTGAGAGCTCATGTATCACCAGGGGATGGCCCAAGCCACTCATGAGGGATCCACCCCCACTATCCAAATACCTCTCGCTAGACGCCACCTCCAACACTAGGGATTATATCTCAACCTGAGATTTGGGCAGAGACAAATACCCAAACTCTATCACCCTGCCTCTACAAAAAAAAAAAAAAAAAAAAAACCAGAAACAAAAATAGCTGGGTGTATTGGTGTGTGCCTGTAGTCCCAACTACTTAGGAGGCTGAGGTGGGCGGATGACTTGAGCCCAGGAGGTCAAGGCTACAGTGAGCCATGGTCAGGCCACTACACTCCAGCCTGAGCAACAGGGCAAGACCCTGTCTCAAAAAAGAAAAAAAGAAATTTTCCATTTCAAGTCCTTCTGACTGGCAAGGCAAGCTGATGACATGTTTTCTGCAGTGGCTGAGAATGGAGATAGGGTCCATTGAAGGCCAATGGAGTTGAGATTTTCTTAGGAGGGAAAGTATTAACAGCTGTATTTAAGGAAGAGATACCAAATGATCCTTAATTATTTGTATGCATTTGGGTGTCCACTGAGTCCTTTGTTTGCCCCCTCAATAGACTTCTTGAAGAAAGAGAGGTTCTGTTGTATTGTGATTTCCATGGCCACAGTCGTAAGAATAATATCTTCCTGTATGGCTGTAATAACAACAATCGCAAATACTGGCTTCATGAACGAGTCTTTCCTTTAATGTTATGCAAAAATGCACCAGATAAGGTAAGCACATAATGTAATTTTCTCTCCATTGAGTTAGGGACATGGGAACTCACTGCTTCCTATATGTAGTGTTTTATTTGGCATTTTGTATCTCTTTTTATTATCTTTGGTAAATCCGAGCAACCTAGACTTCAAGAATTTAGAAAAGCGTGGTTTTAAGAATTGCTGTGGGGCCAGGCACAGTGGCTCACACCTGTAATCCCAGCACTTTGGGGGGCCAAGGCAAGCAGATTACCTGAGGTCAGGAGTTCGAGACCAGCCTGACCAACACGGAGAAACCCCATCTCTATTAAAAATACAAAAAGTAGCCAGGCATGGTGGCACATGCCTGTAATGCCAGTTACTTGGGAGGCTGAGGCAGGAGAATCGCTTAAACTTGGGAAGCAGAGGTTGCAGTGAGCAGAGATCGTGCCATTGCACTCCAGCCTGGGCAACAAGAGCAGAACTCCATCTCAAAAAAAAAAAGAATTGCTGTGTCCTGCCAGCTACAGTGGCTCATGCCTGTAATCCTAGCACTTTGGGAGGCCGAGGTGGGCATATTGCTTGAGCCCAGGAGTTCAAGACCAGCCTGGGCAACATAGGGAGACCCCTGCCACTACTAAACAATAGAATAAAAAAGAATTGCTGTGTCCATCAACCAATCAACAGATAAATAAAATGTGGTATCCTTTTTTATTTTTTTTTTTGAGACGGAGTCTCGCTCTGTCGAGGCTGGAGTGTAGTGGTGCAATCTTGGCTCACTGCAACCTCTGCCTCCCAGATTCAAGCAATTCTCCTGCCTCAGTTTCCTGAGTAGTTGAGAGTACAGGCATGCACAACCATGCCTGGCTAAATTTTTTTGTACTTTTAGTGGAGACGGGGTTTCACCACGTTGGCTAAGCTGTTCTCAAACTCCTGACCTCAAGTGATCCGCCTGCCCCGGCCTCCCAAAGTGCTGAGATTACAGGCGTGAGCTACTGCGCCCCTCCATAAGTTGAAATTCTTGCATATACAGTTATCTATCACCTATCCTGTGGTGGTTGACCCTGGAAGAAGAGATTGAAGGACAAGCAAAATGCTAATGTCATGAGTCTTCATAGGAAAGGTTATATACTAGAAGATCACAAATAATTGTAAGATATTAAAGAGCTTAATGAAAACAATATAAAAGTTTTTAATAATTGACTAATTTTGTGACAGGCATATACAGGTAATCTTCATTGGTGTAGAAGCTGGTTTTTCACATCATAAATAGATCCACAAAATGTAGCTTTCAGAAGAAGAAAGTAGATTGGATTTTTATTTATTTATTTATTTATTTTACTTATTTTTTTTTCTTCTCCTTATTTTTTTTTTTTGAGACAGAGTCTTGTTCTGTCGCCCAGGATGGAGTGCAGTGGCGCGATCTCGGCTCACTGCAACCTCCATCTCCCAGGTTCAAGCAATTCTCTGCCTCAGCCTCCCGAGGGTCTGGGATTACAGGCACCCGCCACCACACCCAGCTAATTTTTGTATTTTTAATAGAGACAGGGTTTCACCATCTTGGCAAGGCTGGTCTTGAACTCCTGACCACCCGCCTCAGCCTCCCAAAGTGCTGGGATTATAGGTGTGAGCCACCATACCCGTCCTTTTATTTATTTTTTCAAGACGTAGTCTTGCTCTGTCACCCAGATCGTGCAGTAACACGATCTCCACTCACTGCAACCTCCGCCTCCCGGGTTCAAGCAATTCTCCTGCCTCAGCCTCCCGAGTAGCTGAGATTACAGGCAGGCGCCACCATGCCTGGCTACTTTTGTATTTTTAGTAGAGATGGGGTTTAGTAGAGATGGGGTATTTTTAGTAGAGATGTAGGCCAGGCTGGTCTCAAACTCCTTACCTTGTGATCTGCCCGCCTTGGTCTCCCAAAGTGTTGGGATTACAAGCTTGAGCCACCACGCCACGCACGGCCTAGACTGGATTTTTTTAAGTTTTTTTTTTTTTTTTTTAATAGAGACAGGGTCTCACTATGTTGCCTAGGCTGGTCTTGAACTCCTGGGTTCAAGCAACTCTCCCGCCTCACCACCTCAGCCTCCCAAAGTGCTGGGATTACAGGTGTGAGCCACTGCACTGGCTTTAGAAAAGTATTTTAATTTTTTTTTTTTTTGAGATGGAGTCTCACTCTGTCTCCCAGGCTGGAGTGCAGTGGTGTGTCTCAGCTCACTGTAACCTCCACCTCCTGAGTTGAAGTGATTCTCCTACCTCAGCCTCCTGGGTAGCTGGGATTACAGGCACAAGCTACCACACTTGGCTAAATTTTTTTGTATTTTTAGTAGAGACGGGGTTTCACCATGTTGACCAGGATGGTCTCAATCTCCTGACCTCATGATCCACCCACCTCGGCCTCCCAAAGTGCTAGGATTCCAGGGGTTAGCCACTGTGCCTGACCGATATTACAGACTTTTTCCCATAAAGATATATGATAAAAATATTTTGTATTGTTACTCTTATTTGTTTAAAAAAAGAAAAGGAGGAAGCTTTCCTTCCTTCCTCTCTCTCTCTTTTGTTTTTTGAGTCTCGCTCTGTCGCCCAAGCCGGAGTCAGTGGCACGATCTCAGCTCACTGCAACCTCCTCCTCCCAGGTTCAAGTAATTCTCCTGCCTCAGCCTCCTGAGTAGCTGGGATTACAGGTGCATGTTGCCATGCCCGGCTAATTTTTTTGTATTTTTAGTAGAGTCGGGGTTTCGCCATCTTGGCCAGGCTGGTCTCAAATTCCTGACCTCAGGTGATTGGGCCGTCTCGGCCTCCCAAAGTGCTGGGATTACAGGCATGAGCCACCATACCCGGCCTCTCTTTCTCTTTCTCTTCTCTTCTCTTTTTTCTTTTCTTTTTTTCTCTTCTCTTCTTCTTTTTCTTTCTTTCTTTTCCTTTCCTTTCCTTCTTTTCTTTCCTTCTTTTCCTTCTCTTATCTTCTTTTCTTTCTTTCAGGAAATCACACCCAGAACCCATATCTAAAACAAACTAATTGAAGCAGGGAACTCTGTCTCCTCTGCTCCTTCCCTCCATGAAGCAGAAATGCCCTGAGGCTCCTCAATAGAACCCCTGGATTCCACAGAGCACAATTTAAAAATCGCTGGACAATGAGATACTTTCCAACTGCAAAATCTTTTTAGCACGATAGGGTGGATAGAGAGAGGTGCCAAGTGTATATTACAAACTCCAAGTGACACACAAGGGCTGAGGGGTCATAAAAGATAAGGGAGGATATTGAACTCCAAGTGATAAGATTAGTGTAAGGGAGAGGGTTCCAGGCAGAGATTATGGGGGTAAGGAATACACATCATAGACAGAAGATAAACACAACTAGATTTAGGGGTTCAAGTTGGGGAGTGGCAGAAAATAAGTCTTAGAAAGGTTGGCTAGTGCCTTGAATGCCAAACGGATGTTCTAGGAAACCAATTCCTGCAAAATTCTCCTTAGGGGAGTGGGGTGGGGACAACAGGAAGGAAGAGTTCATGGGCAAAAATGTTTGGAAAACATATTGCAAATATACTCTCTTCCCTTTGGAAGATTACAGTCCTCATATTAAACACTCTAAGAGGGCTTGCAGAGAGAGCCTGTTTAGTTTTGTTAACCCTTCATCTCCCTGACTAACATGACCACAGAACTCCTTTTTCCCCTGTAATACCTGTTAACATCCCTCCAAATTAGTATTTTGTGGAACATGCTTTGGGAAATAACATATGGACCCCAAGGAAATTATTCTTGTATCATATTAATGAATCTTAGATATTTTACATTTGCTGATTTATGATTAACAGAAAATTTGGATTTCTTTTTAGTTCTCTTTTCACAGTTGTAATTTTAAGGTCCAAAAATGCAAAGAAGGAACAGGACGAGTTGTTATGTGGCGGATGGGAATCCTAAACAGCTACACCATGGAGTCTACCTTTGGCGGGTCCACCCTGGGTACATTCTCTTTTGTATATCATAGGCCAGCATAGGAAGGGAAATCCAAGCAAAGCATCAGGGAGATAAAATGCCTTTGAATGCTGGGGAGATAACTGATCTAGAGGATTTCTTTGTCTAGACTTATGCTAAATTTGAGTGCCCAACATATGAATGTGAAATATATTTGATGAGGCAGTATGGCATAGTGGTTGCTAAAGACCTGGAATCAGGCCAGGCGCAGTGGCTCACGCCTGTAATCCCAGCACTTTGGGAGGCCAAGGCGGGCAGATCACGAGGTCAGGAGATCAAGACCAGCGTGACCAACATGGTGAAACCCCATCTCTACTAAAAATTAGCTGGGCGTGGTGGCACGTGCCGGTAGTCCCAGCTACTCTGGAGGTTGAGGCAGGAGAATCGCTTGAACCCGGGAGGTGAAGGTTGCAGTGAGCCAAGATCGTGCCATTGCACTCCAGCTTGGGTGACAGAGCGAGACTCTGTCTCAAAACAAACAAACAAACAAACAAAAAACCTGGAATCAGGCAGATAGGGGGTTGAATTTCAGCTGCATTAACAAGTTTTGTGTTCTTGGGTAAATTATCTGGCCTTTTTGAACTTCATTTTTTCTTTCTTTTTTTAATTTTTATTTATTTTGTTTTTTTGAGACAGGGTTTCTTTCACCCAGGCTAGAGTGTAGTGGCATGATCATGGCTCTCTGCATTCTCAACCTCCCAGGCTCAAGCGATTCTCCCACCTTAGCCCGTCGTGTAGCTGGGACTATAGGTGCATGTCACCATGCCTGGCTAATTTTTTTATTTTTTTTGTAGAGACAGGGTCTCCTTATGTTGCTCAAGCTGGCCTCAAACTCCCTGGCTCAAGCAATCCTCCTGCCTCGGCCTCTCAAAGTACTGGGATGGCAGGCATGAACCACCATGCCCAGCCTCATTTTCCTTTTACTGCAATAATAATAGTACTTGCATTGTAGGTACTGCTTAGTGAGATGGTGCATGGAGTGCACTTCCCATAGTGCCTAACATGAAGTAAAAACCCCAGTAATTAGAACCATCATGATTATAATTTTTTCATTGCCAAAGATTCTTCTGAACCAAACTAAAACTAGGAGAGCTACACTCTCCTGAAGCATAATATTCTAGAATAAGAGGTGTTTTGTTTTGTTTTGTTTTGTTTTGTTTTGTTTTGTTTCAGGGTCTCCCTCTGTTACCCAGGCTGGAGTGCAGTGGCGCAATCCCAGCTCACTGAAACCTCGCCTCCCTGGCTCAGGCGATCCTCCCACCTTAGCCTCCAACCTCAGCCTCCTGAGTAGCTGGGACTATAGGCACATGCCACAACGTCAGGCTAATTTTTGTATTTTTTGTAGAGACAAGGTCTCACCATGTTGCCCAGGCTAGTCTCGAACTCCTAGGCTCAAGTGAAGGGCCTGCCTTGGTCTCTCAAAGTGCTGGGATTATAGGCATGAGCCACTGTGCCTGGCCAGTGGTGGTATTTTTTTATTTTTTATTTTTATTTTTTTGAGACAGTCTTGCTGTGTCATCCAGGCTGGAGTGCAGTGGCACGATCTCAGCTCATTGCAAGCTCCACCTCCCGGATTCACGCCATTCTCCTGCCTCAGCCTCCTGAGGAGATAGGACTACAGGCTACAGGCGCCCACCACCACGCCCGGCTAATTTTCTTTGTATTTTTTAGTAGAGACGAGCTTTCACCATGTTAGCCAGGATGGTCTCAATCTCCTGACCTCGTGATCTGCCTGCCTTGGCCTCCCAAAGTGCTGGGATTACAGGCGTAAACCACCCCGCCTGGCCAGTGGTGGTATTTTTAAAAAGATAATCATAAATTAGATTTACATTCAGTCACTAAGATTTAATTGGAAATGTTTGCGGGGTTTTTTTTTTTTCCAGGTAATAAAAGAGACACCCACTTTACCATCGAAGATCTGAAGTCCTTAGGTTATCATGTCTGTGACACCCTTCTGGACTTTTGTGATCCTGACCAAATGAAGGTAAAAATGGGGTTTCAAGAAATGTGATGAAGGCCAGGCATGGTGGCTCACACCTGTAATCCTAGCACTTTGGGAGGCTGAAGTGGGTGGATTGCCTGAGCTCAGGAGTTCAAGACCAGCCTGGGCAACATGGCAAAACCCTCTCTCTACTAAAAATACAAAAAATTAGCTGGTCGTGGTGGCATGTGCCTGTAATCCCAGCTCTCGGGAGGCTGAGGCAGGAGAATCACTTGAACCTAGGAGGCGGAGGTTGCACTGAGTCGAGATCACACCACTGCACTCCAGCCTGGGGGACAGAGCGAGACTCAAAAAAAAAAAAAAGAAATGTGATGATGATGCTGTGGTCAGTTTCACATGGGTCCAAAGTGAGCCCAGTGGAATTATAGGCAATCTTTATTTTCCTCTTACTAGTTTTCTGAAGTTTTTATAATAAAAGAAAATAAGAAAGCCCCCAGACTGCATACTGTCTACAAATGGTAAGACCTCATAATTCACCAAGAAGATGGAGACAGTCCTTTGGAACACCTCTCCCTCACTTCTGGACTTAACCTATGGCAACACCTATTCTTTTTTTTTTCTTTTGAGACAGGATCTGACTCTGTTACCCAGGCTGAAGTGCAATGGGGTGATCACGGCTCATTGCAGCCTCAACACCTTAGCCTCCCAAGTAGTTGAGACCACAAGTATGCACCACCACACACAGCTAATTTTTAAGCTTTTATAGAGACAGGGTTTTTCCGTTCCCAGGCTGGTCTCCAGCTCCTGGGCTCGTGATCCTCCTGCCTCAGCCTCTCAAAGTGCTGGGATTACAAGCATGAGCCACTGTGCCCAGCTACAACACTAATTATCTTTCCTTTTATTTTAGAAAATCAGGTGTCTTTTCTTTTTTTTTTTTTTTTTTTTTTTTTTTTTTTGAGACAGGGTCTCCATCTGTCGCCCAGGCTGGAGTGCAGTGGCGCGAACTTGGCTCACTGCAATCTCCACCTCCCAGGATCATGCAATTCTCCTGCCTCAGTCTACTGAGTAGCTGGGATTACAGGCGTGCACCACCACGTCCGGCTAATTTTTGTATTTTTTAGTACAGATGGGGTTTCACCATATTGGTCAGGCTGGTCTGGAACTCCTGACCTCAGGTAATCTGCCCGCCTCAGCCTCCCAAACTGCTGGGATTATAGGCGCGAGCCACTGTGCCCAGCCAGGTGTCTTTTCTCTTCTCCAAAGTTAGCCCTGCTCTGTGTACACTTGTTGACTTCCCCTATGGCCTTTCTGAGGTCTTGCCTCATTAATTATGTCTTCCCAAACAAACAAACAAACAAAAAACTAATAATAATCATCATCAGGCCGGGTGCAGTGGCTCACACCTCTAATCCCAGCACTTTGGGAGGCTAAGGCTGGCAAATCACAAGGTCAGGAGTTCGAGACCAGCCTGACCAACACGGTGAAACCCCCATCTCTACTAAAAATACAAAAATTTAGCCAGGCGTGGTGGCAAGCGCCTGTAATCCCAGCTGCTCGGGAGGCTGAGGCAGGAGAAACACTTGAACCTGGGAGGCAGAGGTTGCAGTGAGCAGAGATCATGCCACTACACTCCAGCCTGGGTGACAGAGCAAGACTCCGTCTCAAAAAAAATAAAATAATAAAATAAAATAAAATAAAATAAAATAAAATAAAATAAAATAAAATAGAGTATTGCATTGTTGAAGAAGTTGGCAGCCAGGCATGATGGCTCACGCCTGTAATCCCAGCACTTTGGGAGGCCAAGGCGGGCAGATCACGAGGTCAGGAGTTCGAGACCATCCTGGCCAACGTGGTGAAACCCCATCTCTACTAAAAATACAAAAATTAGCTGGGCGTGGTGGTGTGCGCCTGTAGTCCCAGCTACTCAGGAGGCTGAGGCAGGAGAATGGCTTGAACCCAGGGGGCGGAGGTTGCAGTGAGCCAAGATCACGCCACTGTACTCCAGCCTGGAGACAGAGCAAGACTCTGTCTCAAAAAAAAATAAAAAAGAAGAAGTTGGCTCTAGTCAGAGAAAAGTGGCTAGAGCAGTGCTCACTGATGTTCTGCCCTAAAAAAATTTCTATTTGTTCCTCCCGCTCATGTAATTTTCTGTTAACATGTCCTTACTAGCAGGGGTGCAGGTTATTCATCTTTGTGTTCCCAGCAATAAATAAAATGCCTTTCAGCATATACTTAGTAAATATTTGATGAATAAATAAAATGGGCCAGGCATGATGGCTCACGCCTGTAATCCCAGCACTTTGGGAAGCTGAGGCAGGTGGATCACCTGAGGTCGGGAGTTCAAAACCAGCCTGACCAATATGGTGAAACCCTGTTTCTACTAAAAATACAAAATTAGCTGAGTGTGGTGGGGCATGCCTGTAATCCCAGCTACTTGGGAGGCTGAGGCAGGAGAATCGCTTGAACCCAGGAGACAGAGGTTGCAGTGAGCCAAGATAGTGCCATTGTACTCCAGCCTGGGCAACAAGAGTCAAACTCCGTCTCAAAAATAATAATAATAAATAAATAAAATAAAATGAATTAACAAAATAGTTCTTTTTTTCACTTTCATAGTTCACTCAGTGTCTAGCAGAGCTTAAGGAGCTTTTACGACAGGAAATCCACAAGAAATTCCATGAACTTGGACAAGATGTAGATTTAGAAGGAAGTTGGAGTGACATCTCTTTGTCTGACATTGAATCCAGGTAACAAAGAAAAAACAGAGTTTTGTTTTTTTTTAAATACTTTGTTGTTAACCTGGGTGATATAGTGAGATGTTGTCTCTACAAAAAATACAAAAATTAGCTGGGCTTGGTGATCTATGCCTGTAGTCCCAGACACTGGGGAGGCTGAGGTGGGAGGATCACCTGAGCCCAGGAAGTTAAGGCTACAGTGAGCCAAGATCATGCCACTGCACTCCAGCATGGGCGACAGGCTCAGAAACAAAAAACAAAACAAAAGAGTGAATATTCTTTGCCAGCCTCTGTTTTAGCCATTAGAAAGGAGTAGGGAGTTGGGCAGGCAGTTTGTGTAGGGCCTTGTAGGGAACTGCAAAGCCTTTGCCTTTCACTCCAACGGAGATGGAAAGCCTTTGGAAGGTTTTGAGTAGAGAAATATCATGGTTTGACAGGTTTTAGTTTCTTTTTTTTTTTTTTTTTTTTTGAGATGGAGGCTCGCTCTGTCGCCCAGGCTGCAGTGGCGCGATCTCCACTCACCGCAAGCTCCGCCTTCCGGGTTCAGGCCATTCTCCGGGCTCAGCCTCCCGAGTAGCTGGGACTACAGGCGCCTGCAACAACGCCCGGCTAATTTTTTGTATTTTTAGTAGAGATGGGGTTTCACCGTGTTAGCCAGGATGGTCTCAATCTCCTGACCTCGTGATCCACCCGCCTGGGCCTCCCAAAGTGCTGGGATTACAGGCGTGAGCCGCCGCGTCCGGCCCCAGACAGGTTTTAGTTTCAACAGGAACACTGGCTGCTGTGTGAAAAGTAGATCATAAAGAGGGAAGTTCTAAGCAGGGAGACTCAATAGGAGGCTCTTGCAATAATATAGGTAAAAGATAATGGAGGCTTAGACCAATAATACAGGTAAAAGGTAATGGAGGCTTAGACCAGAGTAGCAGCAGTGGTTGTGGGGGGATGTGTGAATTGGTTGGATTCTAGATATATTTTGAAATTATAAACATTAGGATTTGCCTGTGGATTGGATATGGGCATGAGAAAAGAAGAGAATGACTCCACAATTGGTTGGATGGAGTTGCCTTTAGCTGAGATGGGAAAGATCAAAGGAGTGGAAAAAATTAGAGAGGTAGTGAAGATCAGGAGTCTAGTGTTAGGCTTGTTAAGTTTGTAATGTCCATTATATATTTAGTGGAGACCTCGAACAAGCAGTAGGCTATATGGGTCTGGAGTTCAGTGGAGAGGTCCAGTGGACCAATGAGAGAGTCATCATTGGATAGATGACTTTTTTTTCTTGAGACAGGGTGTTGCTCTCCACCCAGGCTGGAGTGCAGTGGTATGATCTCTGCTCACTGCATCCTCAACTTCCTGGGCTCAAGCAATCCTCCTGCCTCAGCTCCCCAAGTAGCTGGGACTACAGGTGTGCACCATCATGCCCGGTTAATTTTTGTGTTTTTTGTAGAGAACAGGTTTTGCCATGTTGCCCAGGCTGGTCTCTAACTACTGAGCTCAACGGATCTGCCCGCCTCAGCCTCCCAAAGTGCTGCGATTACAAGCGTGAGACACCATGCCCAGCCTGGTAGATAATATTTAAACCTTAACACTAGATGGGGACTGGATGAAGTGGCTCACACCTGTAATTCCCACTCTTTGGGAGGCCAAGGCAGGCGGATCACTTGAGGTCAGGAGTTCAAGACCTGCCTGGCCAACATTATGAAACCCCATCTCTATTAAAAATACAAAAATTAGCTGGGTGTGGTGGCACATGCCTGTAATCCCAGCTACTTGGGAGGCTGAGGCGGGAGGGAGGATCGCCTGAACCCGAGAGGTGGAGGTTACTGTGAGCTGGGATTGCGCCACTGCGTTTCAGCCTGGGTGACAGAGTGAGACTCTGGTCTCAAAAAAAAAAAAAAAAAAAAAAAAAACTTAGCAGGGGGTCGGGGTATGCACCTGTAGTCCTAGCTACTTAAGAAGCTGAGGCAGGAGGATTGCTGAGCTCAGAAATTCGAGGTTGCAGTGAGGTATGGCCGCGCTAGTGTACTACAATCTGCGCTATAGAGTGAGACCCTGTCTCAGAAAAAAAAAAAAAAAAAAAAAAAAAGACTGGTGGGATCTCAAGGAAGTAAGTGCAGATAGAGAAGAGGTCCAAGTCTGAGGTTTGAGCTGGATAATACAACTTTAATAGGGGAGGAGCCAGCAAAGGCGACTGAGACGAAGGGACTAGCAAGGCTGAAAAAAAGCAGAAGAGTGATTTTTTAAAAAACCTAAATCAGGCGCGGTGGCTCACACCTGTAATCCCAGGACTTTGGGAGGCCGAGGCTGGCAGATCACCTGATGTCAGGAGTTCAAGACCAGCCTAACCAACATGGAGAAACCTCATCTCTACTAAAAATACAAAATCAGTTGTGTGTGATGGCACATGCCTGTAATCCCAGCTACTCGGGAGGCTGCAGCAGGATAATCACTGGAACCCGGAGACGGAGGTTGCAGTGAGCCGAGATCGCACCATTGCACTCCAGCCTGGGCAACAAGAGCGAAACTCCATCTCAAAAAATGAATGAATAAATAAATAAATAACCTAAATCAGATAATATCATGTATCTGTTGAAAGCACTTCAGTATCTCCCCGACTCAGTTTTAAAAAAAGCCAAAGACCCTACAATGGCCTATAAGGCTATAAGCCTCCTGATACCTCTATGGCCTCCACCCTAACCCTTTTTTTTTTTTTTTTTTTGAGACGGAGTCTCGCTCTGTCACCCAGGCTGGAGTGCAGTGGCACGATCTCAGCTCACTGCAACCTCCGCTTCCCAGGTTCAAGCAATTCTCCTGCCTCAGCCCCTCAAGTAGCTGGGACTACAGGTGCACGCCACCACGCCTGGCTAATTTTTTGTATTTTAGTAGAGACAGGGTTTCACTGTGTTGCCTAGGATAGGCTGGTCTCGAACTCCTGACCTCAGGCAATCTGCCCACCTCGGCCTCCCAAAGTGCTGGGATTACAGGCGTGAGCCACCGCGCCCAGCCAAATGCTGCCTTTTTCAACATGACCTACACACATTACTCTAATGCTACAACTTACTCCCCTCCTTCACCCTCCTGCCACTCCTTATCCCCCTTAGGTGCTCTACTTTTTTCCATAGCATTTATTGCCTCTGTCATTCTGTATCATTTAAGTCTTTACTATATCTGTTTTATTTATTTATTTATTTTTGAGACAGACTTTCACTCTTCTTGCCCAGGCTGGAGTGCAATGGCGTGATCTCCACTCACTGCAACCTCTGTCTCCCAGGTTTAAGCTATTCTCCTGCCTCAGCCTCTCGATTAGCTGGGATTACAGGTGCCCACCACCACGGCTGGCTAATTTTTAGTAGAGATGCGGTTTCACCATGTTGGCCAGGCTGGTCACGAACTCCTGACCTCAGGTGATCCACCCATCTCGGCCTCCTCAAGTGCTGGGATTACA
Source organism: Homo sapiens (assembly GCF_000001405.40). Lineage (NCBI taxonomy): Eukaryota > Metazoa > Chordata > Mammalia > Primates > Hominidae > Homo > Homo sapiens. The sequence continues at coordinate 47,673,840 of NC_000011.10, read as the reverse complement.
GGCATGAACCACTGCGCCTGGCCAATTTTTTTTTTTTTTTTTTTTTTGAGATGGAGTCTCTCTCTGTCACCCAGGCTGGAGTCCAATGGCGTGATCTCAGCTCACTGCAACCTCCGCTTCCCGGGTTCAAGCAATTCTCCTGCCTCAGTCTCCCGAGTAGCTGGGATTATTACAGGCGCCCACCACCATGCCTGCTAATTTTTTTTTTTCTTTTTGAGACAGAATTTCGCTCTTGTTGCCCAGGCTGGAGTGCAACGGCACGATCTCGGCTCACTGCAGTCTCCACCTCCCGGGCTCAAGCGATTCTCCTGCCTCAGTCTCCCAAATAGCTGGGATTACAGGCATGTGCCACCACGCCTGGCTAATTTTGTACTTTTAGTAGAGATGGGGTTTACTCATATTGGTCAGGCTGGTCTCGAACTCCCGACCTCAGGTGATCCGCCCACCTCGGCCTCCCAAAGTCCTGGGATTACAGGCATGAGCCACTGCGCCCGGCCATCTAATTTTTGTATTTTTAGTAGAGATGGGGTTTCACCATGTTGCCCAGGCTGGTCTTGAACTCCTGACCTCAAGTGATCCACCCACCTTGGCCTCCCAAGGTGCTGGGATGACAAGCATGAGCCACCATGCCCAGCCAATATCTGTTGTTTATTGTCTGTTTCCCTCTACTAGGAGATAGGTTCTGCAAAGTCAGAGATCTTTTCGTTTGCTCTGTATCTCATGCACTTAGAATGGTACTGTTCTGTACCTAGCACAGAGGAAGAGCTCAACAAATATTTTTTGAATTAATTTAGCATTCAGGATCTCATCTGTACCTTCATAGTCTCCCCAGCTATTTAGGAAGCCCCCAAAAGGTTATGTCTCCCAGGTATGCAAGAATACCTTCTACTCTAACTTACTGGCTAAAGTGCCTCGTGGATGACCCAGCTGCTTTCAGGCTTCTGAGCTGGCGTGGAAGTCTTCTGACAGAGGCTGCACTGTAGTCTGTGGTGGACAGTGGAAAAGGGATGGCTCTTCCACCCACTCTATGGCACATTGACATCTGGGCCCAAAAGCAATTCTGAGTCTCACAAATATTTCTTTGGGGACCTTAAACTAGGCCATCAGACCAGGTAGTGTGCCCCATTCACCATGTCATCCCTTCCACTCTCTCAGAATCCTATGCCTAACTCACCAAGACCTCTGCACCAACCCCTCTCCAAATACACCCTCAAAAACAAAATGCCGGCTGGATGCAGTGGCTCACGCCTGTAGTCTTAGCACTTTGGGAGGCCAAGATGGGCGGATCACTTTAGCCCAGGAGTTCAAGACAAGCCTGGGCAACATGGAGAAACCCTATCTCTACAAGAAATGCAAAAAGTAGCCAGTCATGGTGACTCATGCCTGTTGTCCCAGCTACTTGGGAGGCTAAGGTGAGAGGATCATTTGAATCCAGGAGGTCAAGGCTGCAGTGAGTCAAGATTGCACTACTGCACTCCAACCTGAGCGACACAGCGAGACCCTGTCTCAAAAAAAAAAAGTGTGCTCTGCATATCAACTCATAGAAATAGTGCCCAAGATGTGGCTAGGCATGATGGCTCATGTCTGTAATAACGGGTATGATGGCTCATGTCTGTAATCCCAGCACTTTGGGAGACTGAGATGGGAGGATTGTTTGAGGCCAGGAGTTGGAGACCAGCTTGGTCAACATAGTGAGATCCCATTTCTATTTTTTAAAAAATTTAAAAAGAAATAAATAGGGCCCAAGGGGAACCAATTCAGAAACAGGCAGACTCTACAGTCTAGTGGCTCAGCAGGGACACTCTGATGCATATGGTTAAGAATTATTGAACCCAATTTGCCAGCCTCTGCCTCAAGAAACTGGCTGTCACAGTCTCCAGTGGGGTTCCACCTATTCATTGTCACGATTGCAAAGGAAAGCAGACTGTGAGTGTACAAGCCCAGTTTGAGTTTGCTCTGTGTGTGTACACACAAAGGTTTTGACACTTTCTGGGACATACTGCTTTTAGTGCTTTTGTCCCATTTGCTAACATTTTCTACCAACAGGACTTCCAGCATCCTAAAAGGCTACTCCTTGACTAGAAAAACACCTTGTGAGAACAGGGAATTGGGAATTAGGTCAGAGAAGATGGGGTTTTCTTCCTGCTGTCTTTCTGTGGGACTACTACTCATTGTGCACTGAGAGGTGGGAGGGGAGCAGAAACAGAATGAAGGCCTGGGCAGCTGAATGGTTTGAAATCCTGACTTCTCCCATGTGATTCGAGCTCTGTGCCAATAAGTGTTTTTTGTTTGTTTGTTTGTTTGTTTGTTTTTGAGATGGAGTCTCACTCTGTCACCCAAGCTGGAGTGTAGTGGTGCGATCTCGGCTCACTGCATCACTGCAATCTCCACCTCCCGGGTTCAAGCAATTCTCATGCCTCAGCCTCCCGAGTAGCTGGAATTACAGGCACCCGCTACCACACCCAGCTAATTTTTTTTTTGTATTTTTAGTAGAGATGGAGTTTCACAATGTTGGCCAGGCTTGTCTCGAATTCCTGACCTCAAGTGATCTGCCCATCTCGGCCTCCCAAAGTGCTGGGATTACAGGCATGAGCCACCGCGCCTGGCCTTGTGCCAGTAAACTGTGTGTATAGACCCCTGTCATAGAGAACAGCTCTTGGTTCTAGCCAACTAAACCCCAGGAAAGGGGAAAATATAATGTGACACTTAAGCAAAAGACATGAAGAAAGAAAGGTTTGATTATTTAAGTTTTCATTCATCCTAGCCCTTGCAGAAAGGGGGAGGACACAGTTTGTGAGGGAAGACTTTAGATTAGTCTAGATGAGCATCCAAACCTTTTTTTTTTTTTAGAAAGAGTGTCGCTCTGTCGCCCAGGCTAGAGTCAGTGGCGCAATCACAGCTCACTATAGCCTCAACCTCCTGAGCTCAAATGATCCTCCCAGCTCAACCTCCCCAGTAGCTGGGACTATAGGCGTACACCACCACACCTGGCTAATTTTTGTATTTTTTTGTAGAGACAGGGTTTTGCCATGTTGCCCAGGCTGGTCTCAAACTCCTGGGCTCAAGAGATCTTTAAGCCTCAGCCTCCCAAAGTGCTGGGATTACAGGTGTGAACCACTGTGCCCAGCCACCCTTTTTTTTTTTTTAATAGAGACAGGGTATCACTGTGTTGCCCAGTCTGGTCTTTAATTCCTGGCCTCAAGTGATCCCTCCTGCCTTGGCCTCCCAAAGTGTGGGGATTATAGTCATGAGCCACCATGCCTGGCCTCATTCAAAACTTTTGAAGGAAAATTGGGGTGATAAAAGTAATCTTGGTCTCTGACCTGAAGGTTCTTTTTGTTATTTATTTATTTTTTTAGATAGTTTCTTGCCCTGTTGCTCAGACTGGAGTGCAGTGGCACAATCTCGGCTCACTGCAGCCTCAACCCCCTGGGCACTAGTGGTCCTCCTATCTCAGCCTCCCAAGTGTCTGGGACCACAGGAGGCACCACCATTACTAGCTAATTTTAAAAAAAACATTTTTTGTAGATACAGCGACGTACTGTATCGCCCAGGCTCAGATTCTTTATTAAATGCATATGTTTATATATTGAATACATTTCTTCAGAGTACCTGTTAGGATCCTGGATTTCTGAATTGGTACCAGCCAAAGAGGAATAAATGAGAAAGATCCCTTGTTTTCAAACAAATGACAGTCCTCTGCTGTTCTCTAGGCCTGCACATTGAGAATCCTGTAGCCTCTCACAACCTCCACCAAGGGCAATTCTGCCCATCTGGCCAGTATTTGCTTTGCCATATGGACTGCAAACTCTTTGGTGCCAGAGGCTCTGCCTCGTTCATCTGTGTTCCCTGTGCCTAGCACACTGCTTGGCATGCAGTAGGTGTTCGGAGTGAATGAATGAATGTGCTTGTCAAGAATTCTTTTTTGGGTACCGGGTACAGTGGCTCACGCCTGTTATCCCAGCACTTTGGGAGGCCGAGGCGGGAGGATCATGAAGTCAGGAGATCGAGACCATCTTGGCTAACACGGTGAAACCCCATCTCTACTAAAAATACAAAAAATTAGCTGGGCATGGTGGCGGGCACCTGTAGTTCCAGCTACTCGAGACGTTGACATAGGGAGACTCTGTCTCAAAAAAAAATTTTTCTTTTTTTTTTTTATTGAGACAGCTTCACTCTTGTTGCTTAGGCTGGAGTGCAATGGCGCAATCTCGGTTCACTGCAACCTCTGCCTCCCAGGTTCAAGCAATTCTCCTGCCTTAGCCTCCTGAGTAGCTGGGACTACAGGCGTGCGCCACCACACCCAGATAATTTTTTTGTATTAATAGAGACGGGGTTTCACCATGTTAGTCCGGGTGGTCTCAAACTCCTGACCACCTCCTGACCAAGGTGATCCACCCACCTTGGCCTCCCAAAATGCTGAGATTACAGGCGTGTGCCACCGCACCCAGCTGTCAAGAATTCTTAGTGATTGCTTGGGCGCAATTTCTCATACCTGTAATCTAAGTACTTTAAGAGGCTGAGGCAAGAGGATCGCTTGAACACAAAAGTTCAAGACTAGCCCAGGCAACATAGTGGGATCCTGTGACTACAAGAATTTTAAAAATTAGCCAGGCATGGCGGCATGAGCCTGTAGTCTCAGTTGCTCAGAAGGCTGAGGTGGGAGGATCTCTTGAGCCGGGGAGGTCAAGGCTGCAGTGATCTATGATCACAGTACTGCACTCCAGCCTGGGTGACAGAGTGAGACCCTGTCCCAAAAATATAAAAAAGGAAGAAAATAATAATTTTTAGTAATTGAAGCATAGACAATGAGAGAAATAGTAGACTAGAAGATATCCTAATCCTAATCCCATACAGCTGGTCTGGTAAATGTTATGCTTCCTAGACATATCAATGACAGTTATTTCCTCTTCTTTTTTTCTTTTGGAAACAGCACCAGTGGCTCTGACAGTTCTCTCTCAGATGGTCTTCCTGTTCACCTAGCAAACATAGCAGATGAGGTAAGCTGAACTCTTATACCCAGGAAATAGCAGCCTTAAAAAAAAGTCATGACACTACCAGACAATTTGTTGGAATTTTCCAACAGTCCTAAGACCTGCAGAAAATATACAGTAATGTCCTAACTAGTCACCTTGCCCTAAAGTCTCTTGTTTTGTCCTTTATAACTTTCTTGCTTAATTTTTAAGGCCATCTTAAGGTAACACCCAAACTGAATCTTTTAACCACACATTTAATGATCATTAATATCTGGGCCTGATATTATTGCCATAAGTAATCTGATTTCATATTGTAAATCACAGATATTTGGTTATTAGTATAAGTGCCCCTTTGTGTTTTTTTGTTTGTTTGTTTGTCTTTTGAGATGGAGTCTTGCTCTGTCTCCTAGGCTGGAGTGCAGTGGCGCAAACTTCCGCCTTCTGGGTTCAAGCAATTCTCCTGCCTCAGCCTCCTGAGTAGCTGGGATTACAGGCACATGCCACCACGCCCGGCTAATTTTTGTATTTTTAGTAGAGATGGGGTTGGCCATCCTGGTCTCAAACTCCTGACCTCGTGATCTGCCCGCCTTGGCCTCCCAAAGTGCTGGGAATATAGGCGTGAGCTGCTGCACTGGGCCTTTTTTTTTTTTTTTTTTGAGATGGAGTCTCACTCTGTCGCCTAGGCTGGAGTTCAGGGGCGTGATCTCAGCTTACTGCAACCTCCACCTCCCAGGTTCAAGCAATTCTCCTGCCTCAGCCTCCTGAGTAACTGGGATTACAGGCACCTGCCACCTCACCCGGCTAATTTTAGTATTTTTAGTAGAGGTGGGGTTTTACCATGTTGGCCAGGCTGGTCTCAAACTCCTGACCTGAAGTGATCCACCCGCTTCAGCCTCCCCAAGTGTTGGGATTACAGGCATGAGCCACCATGCCCAACCATAAGTACCCCTTTGGCAGTTTATCTGTAACAGTGTGATTTGGGGGTATTAAGTAGGAAGCATCCTCCAGTAAGGAGGGAACTGAACTGTTTGTTTATTCTCCAAACCAACACCACAAATCTGCATACCGAGTTAGCCTTTGTGTCTTGAGTGTTGCATGAAGAGTGCCACATGTGGGTGGGCCTAGTTCTGGAATCTTCAATGACCAGTTTCTCTACTTTCTGGAATAGCTGACTCAGAAAAAGAAGATGTTTAAGAAGAAAAAAAAGAAGTCACTTCAGACTAGGAAACAGCGAAATGAGCAGTATCAGAAAAAAAATTTGATGCAGAAGTTAAAGTTAACAGAAGATACCTCAGTAAGAAAGACTTGCTGGCTATTTCTACTGTCTAGTTTCAGACCATTCCATAGAGGGATAAGGAAAGGGGGTTAAAGTTTACTCTAAACCAAAAAGGGGATGGAGATTGGGGCAGAGGGAGACTTTCTGTTTTGCGATCAGAACCCTTCCAGGGGCCCTCCGGACATCTCCGAGCAGGTTTTGGCCTTGGCCCACTGAACCTCTCCTACACTCTGGCATAAGAAATCTGGGTTTTAGCCAAGTCTGAATTTCCAGAGAAAATACATGATACTGGAATGGTAGTGGCTAGAGCTAGTCAGGAGTAGATGGATGGCTGGGGGCCAGGCCTGGTCCAGGCTAAGACAGCTGGATAGCTCATCAATCTTTGTCCAAGCTGCCACACTCCCACCATACCCTCTGCTTTCTAAAGACAAACGTGCTTTCAGAAGTACAAGTTTTGCTGTTGGGTAAATTGGATCAATTTTGAATAGATCAATTGAAAAAGATTCTCTTTTCACTCAATCCTAGGAAAAGGCAGGATTTGCTTCTACTCTGCAAAAGCAGCCAACCTTTTTCAAAAACTCAGAGAATTCCAGTTTTTTACCAATGAAAAATGAAAACCCAAGGTTAAATGAGGTAGTATTTTTGTTTTTGACTCTTTGTCACACAGATTCTCTAACCTCTCGAATTAGCACCTCTCTCCCACAATGTGACAAATGTAATAGCCATTTACGTTACCCTAACCTGACAGTGCCACTGGGAGCAAGAAAACATTAAAACTGGGGGAGACATTGACACTGCTTTGGATTAGACATGACTGAAGTCTGGAATCAAATATTGGTGATTTGTGATTTTACACCAAGAACATAAGAACAGGCTGCCTTACTTACCATCCATTCATCCCTCTACTCACCCATCTACTCAATCAGCAAATGTTATTTTAAAATAAATCAATGAATTTTATTGGGCACCTACTACATGCCAGTCCCTTTACTGGATGCTGTGAATGCAACCTTGAACAAAATACTATCCCTGCCTCGGGGACTTCAGAATCTGGTGGAGATTTCAGCAAGTAAGTAGGAAATTGTATCACAGAGTAGGATGCAGTGGCAACACAGAGGAGAGACACTCAGCCAATGTTTAGTACTTTATAGTTTTATGGCTATAAAATCTTTGATTTTTTTTCTTTTTTTTTTTTTTGAGATGGAGTCTTACTCTGTTACCCAGGCTGGAGTGCAGAGGCAATCTCAGCTCACTGCAACTTCCACCTCTTGGGTTCAAGTGATTCTCGGGTCTCAGCCTCTGGAGTAGCTGGGATTACAGGTGCCCACCACCATGCTCGGCTAATTTTTGTATTTTTAGTAGAGACAGGGTTTCGACATGTTGCCCAGGCTGGTCTCAAACTGCTAAACTCAAGTAATCCACCCACTTTGGCCTCCCAAAGTGCTGGGATTACAGGCATGAGCTACCATGCCCAGTCAAAATCATTGATTTTTTTGTGTAAAAAAATAGGCTGTCCGGCCATGGTGGCTCACACCTGAAAGCCCAACACTTTGTGTGTTTTCTTTTTTGTTTCTTTTTTTGAGACAGAGTCTCATTCTGTCACGCAGGCTTGAGTTCAGTGGCGCGATCTCAGCTCACTACAACCTCCACTTCCCGGGTTCAAGTGATTCTCCCGCCTCAGCCTCCCGAGTAGCTGGGATTACAGGCACATGCCACCTTGCCTGGCTAATTTTTTATTTTTAGTACAGACGGGGTTTCACCATGTTGGCCAGGCTGGTTTTGAACTTCTGATCTCAGGTGATCCGCCTGCCTCAGCCTCCCAAAGTGCTGGGATTACAGGTGTGAGCCACTACGCCTGGCCAAACCCAACACTTTGGAAAGCCGAGGCAGGAGGATCACTGGAGCCCAGGAGTTCAAGACCAGCCTGCACAACATAGTGAAACCTCATCTCTACAAAAAATAAACAAAAATTAGCTGGGCATAGTGGTGCACATAGTCCCACCTATCTGAGACACTGAGGTGGGCAGATCACATGAGACCAGAGTTGGAGGCTGCAGTGAGCCATGATCATACCACTGTACTCCAGCCTGGGTGGCCAGGCACGGTGGCTCACATCTGTAATCCCAGCACTTTGGAAGGCTGAGAGAGGAGGACTGCTTGAGTCCAGAAGTTTGAGACTAGCTCTGGCAACATAGCAAGACCCCATCTCTACAAAAATTTTTTTTAAAAATTAGCTAGGCATGGCTGGGCACGGTGGCTCATACCGGTAATCTCAGCACTTTGGGAGGACAAGATGGGTGGATCACATGAGACCAGGAGTTCAAGACCAGCCTGGCCAACATGGTGAAACCCCACCTCTACTAAAAATGCAAAATTAGCTGGGCATGGTGGTGTATGCCTGTAGTGGCAGCTACTCAGGAAGCTGAGTCACAGTAATTGCTTGAACCTAGGAGGCAGAGGTTGCAGTGAGCTGAGATTGCGCCCAGCTTGGGTGACAGAGCAAGACTCTGTCTTAGAAAAAAAAAAAAGAAGAAAAAAAATGAGCTGTGCATGGTGGCGCATGCTTATAGTCTTAGCTACTTGGGAGGCTGAGGTAGGAGGATTGCTTGAGCCCGAGAGGTCAAGGCTACAGTGAGCTGTGATCCTACCACTGCACCCCAGCCTGGGCGACAGAGCAAGACCTTGCTAAAAATTAAAAAAAAAAAAAAAAAAGGTGGGAGGTGGGTTTTGAGGTCAGGTACGGTAGCTCACACCTGTAATCCCAGCACTTTGGGAGGCAAAGGTGGGAGGATCACTTCAGGCCAGGAGGTCAAGACCAGCCTGAGCAACATAGCAAGATCCTATCTCTACAAAAAACTTTAAAACTTAGCTGGATGTGGGCTGGGCACAGTGGCTCATGCCTGCAATCCCAACACTTTGGGAGGCTGAGGCAGGCGGATCACGAGGTCAGGAGATTGAGACCATCCTAGCTAACACAGTGAAACCCCGTGTCTACTAAAAATACAAAAAATTAGCTGGGCGTGGTGGTGCATCGCTGTAGTCCCAGCTACTCGGGAGGCTGAGGCAGGACAATCACTTGAACCTGGGAGGCAGAGGTTGCAGTGAGCCGAGATCACGCCACTGCACTCCAGCCTGGGCAATAGAGCGAAACCCCGTCTTAAAAAAAAAAAAAAACTTAGCTGGATGTGGTAGCCTGCCCCTGTAGTCCTAGCTACTTGGGAGGCTGAGGTGGGAGAATCACTTGAGTCCAGGAGTTTAAGGTTACAGTGAGCTGTGATCCTGCCACTGCACTCCACCCTAGATGACATAGTGAGACTTTGTCCCAAAAAAATAAAAAAACAGTTTTGGTACAATAGTTAGTAGCTGATTCTTAGGGGATAGGGTGCAAAATGGGCCCTCCTCATGTGAAACACTACCCTATGGTTAACAGTGCTGCCCAGGCACGGTGACTCACGCCTGTAATCCCAGCACTTTGGGAGGCTGAAGTGGGTGGATCACCTGAGGTCAGGGGTTCAAGACCAGCCCAGCCAACATGGTGAAACCCTGTCTCCACTAAAAATATAAAAATTAGCCAGGCGTGGTGGCAGGCGCCTGTAATTCCAGCTACTGGGGAGTCTGAGGCAGGAGAATCGCTTGAACTCAAGAGGTGGAGGTTGCCGTGAGCCAAGATTGCGCCATTGCAACCAGCCTGGGCGACAAGAGTGATACTGTCTCAGAAAAAAAGAGTACTATAGGCTGGGCACGGTGGCTCATGCCTGTAATTCCAGCACTTTGGGAGGCCGAGGCGGGCGGATCACCTGAGGTCGGGAGTTCAAGACCAGCCTGACCAACATGGAAAAACCCTGTCTCTACTAAAAAGACAAAATTAGCAGGGCATGGTGGCGCATGCCTGTAATCCCAGCTACTTGGGAGGCTGAGGCAGGAGAATCGCTTGAACCCGGGAGGCAGAGGTTGCAGTGAGCCAAGATTGCGCCATTGCACTCCAGCCTGGGCAACAAGAGTGAAACTCCGTCTTAAAAAAAAAAAAAAAAGAATACTATAATGAGGCCTCACTGTGTAATACTGGGGAATCCCCACAGAGCACAGCTGGTGGCAAGAGCATACATACATTTTGAAGTCTGCCTTGAGTTCAAATTTCAGCCCCACTATTTAATATTCTGTGAGTCATCTGACCACCCTGGGGTTACTAAGTTTCTGCATCTGAAATACTGAGGTAATAATATCTACATCCTAAAGTTGTGTGAATTAGTGTGAAAGGGTAAAGCACCTGGCATATCGTAGGTACTCAGTAAATTAGTCACTTTTCCTCCTTTGAATTGTTTTTCCTTCTTTGAATTATGTTTTGCCTGTCCTTTTATGTGGGAATATCACAATGAATCAACATGTATGAATAAGAAACAAATGAATAATGTATATTCACTGTAATCACACTTGCTCAAGTGGAAAATTTAGTGAGGATATGTTCATTTATTTTAGACAAATTTAAATAGAAGAGACAAAGACACCCCCCTGGACCCATCAATGGCCACCCTGATTCTGCCTAAGAATAAAGGGAGAATGCAGGTACTTCACCTAATATACTGTATATACTTATATGCCAGTGATTAATTTTAATTAGTTCTCAAATGTATTATGTGATTTGGAGGGCGGTGATGCACAGTCCAGTTTTACCTTCTCGGATTCGTTCTGCGCAGGTGAACATCTAAGGCATTTTGCACCCTCAGGCTACAGTTACCACTGACCATTCAGTACCAAGTTTTGTGAATTGTTTGCTTTTTTAAAAGAGTAAGTTTTAGGCCGGGCACAGTGGCTCATGCCTGTAATCCCAGCACTTTGGGAGGCCAAGGCAGGCAGATGATTTGAGGTCAGGAGTTCAAGACCAGCCTGGCCAACATGGTGAAACCCCATCTCTATTAAAAAATACAAAAATTAGTTGGGCATGGTGGTGTGTGCCTGTAATCCCAGCTACTGGAGAGGCTGAGGCAGGAGAATCGCTTGAACCCGGGAGGCAGAGGTTGCAGTGAGCTGAGATCGTGCCATTGCACTCCAGCCTGGGTGACAGAGTGCGACTCCGTCTAAAAAAAAAAAAAAAAGTGAACGAGTAAGTTTGGTCAGGTGCAGTGGCTCACACCTGTAATCCAAGCACTTTAGGAGGCTGAGGCGAGTGGATCACCTGAGGTTAGGAGTTCCAGTTCAAGACCAGCCTGGCCAACATGGCCAAACCCTGTCTCAACTAAAAATATAAAAATTAGCTGGGTGTAGTGGTGCATGCTTATAACCCCAGCTACTCGGGAGGCTGAGGCAGGAGAATCACTTGAACCCAGGAGGCAGAGTTTGCAGTGAACCAAGATTGCACCACGGCACTCCAGCCTGGGTGACAGAGTGAGACTCTTTCTCAAAATAAATAAATAAATAAAATATAAAAACTTTAAAAAAAGAGTAAGTTTGAATGAATTCATATTTATCCCTATAATAACATTCATCATGCTCATTTGCACTCACATGTTTTTTCCTGAAAGGGAGGAAAAAAGAGGTGGTGAGGCCAGGCGCGGTGGCTTATGCCTGTAATCCCAGCACTTTGGGAGGCCGAGGTGGGCGGATAACCTGAGGTCAGGAGTTCGAGACCAGCCTGGCCAACATGGTGAAACCCTGTCTCTACTAAAAACCAAAAAATTAGCCAGGTGTGGTGGCACACGCCTGTAGTCCCAGCTACTTGGAAGGCTGAGGCAGGAGGATCACTTGAACCCGGAGGTGGAGGTTGCAGTGAGCAGAGATCGCACCACTGCAGCCTGGGCGACAGAGTGAGACTCTGTCTCCAAAAAAAAAAAAGGTGGCAAAACAGCTAGTAAGCTGTTGTTTCTAATAGCCCAGGGAATGTGTACAGGAGGGTGTTGTTCACATGAGTCTGGGTAAAACACAGGTTGAGAATCAGTGGATTATGTTAGGTGTACTAGATATAGAGTAGATGGTTCTCCCAATGGATGGAGTCCCTGCTGTCTTCCCAAGTCTGTTGCTTGGGAATTCTTGCACTGATGCTCTCATTTACCTATCAGTGTCTTCTAGTGTCTACTATGTGCAAGGCCCTTAAAAGACATGAAGACAAGATCCTCTAGGAGTGACAAGACTGATAGTCCAATCACCATATTATGACAGAAAATGAAGAGCGGCGAAAAGATAGGCTTAAATAAAGTCAAATTAAAGAGAGTTTCAGTCCTGACAGACTAATCAAGAATGAGCTTGTCCTCTTTCTTCACTTAGCATTCATTGCTGGAAGGCTATGAGTAGCAAAAACCATATCCCAGAACTGAAACATACTAATTAGGTTGTAACATATAACCATGAATTCAGTTAAATCCAGTGTAGTGGATGAATGTTATCCAAACCTTTATCTTTAGTTCATTTTCTTAAAAAAAAATTTTTTTTTTTGAGACAGGGTCTTGCTCTGTCGCCCAGGCTGGAGTGCAGTGGCATGATCTTGGCTCACTGCAACCTCTGCCTGCCAGGCTCAAGCGATTATCCCACCTCATATTTTCTTAAAATTTATAGTGTGATACTTGTGTAACAGAGATGTGGGTATTTAATTTCTATAACATGTCAGATAAACATAATTGAAAAAAATGAGGCAATCTGCCACCTTGACAGATTGTTTTTCTATTTTTTTGTGTAATGTTTCTAGACAGCTTATAAAATGCAGTCCTTCTGCTTTTGGGGGCAATTAAAATGTTGCCCATGTTGGCCGGCGTGGTGGCTCACGCCTGTAATCCCAGCACTTTGGGAGGCCAAGGCAGGAGGATCACTTGAGGTCAGGAGTTTGAGACCAGCCTGGGCAAAATGGCGAAACCCCATCTCTACTAAAAATACAAAAAAATTAGCTGGGTGTGGTGGTGCACGCCTGTAGTCCCAGCTCCTCGGGAGGCTGAGGCAGGAGAATTGCTTGAGCCCAGAAGGCAGAGGTTGCAGTGAGCTGAGATTGTGCCATTGCACTCCAGCCAGAGCAACAGAGCAAGACTCCATCTCAAAAAAAAAAAAAAATGTGTCTCATGTTGACCTTGATTTGGCTAAGGGACCAGGACAAATGCTCAATTCACCTCTGTTCTGTAACATTGTCAACTACTTTTATATTTGGGGAAGAAATGCAAATATTTCTCACCAGCTCCTTGTAAAGCCAACCCCAACCCTAACTACATATTTGGAAATGGCAAAATAAACTGAATTCAACTTTTTAAAATCTTATTTGCACAGAATAAGAAGCCAGGCTTTACAGTATCATGCTCTCCAAAGAGAACCATAAACTCCAGCCAAGAGCCAGCTCCAGGTATGAAGCCAAACTGGCCTAGGAGCAGATATCCTGCCACAAAGAGAGGCTGTGCTGCCATGGCGGCATACCCATCCTTGCACATATACACATACCCGTAGGTGAGCCTGGGCTGTGCCACACAAGCACTTCATCGGGGGTTTTGAGATTAGACACATTTTATAATGGGGGAGATGTATGACTGGGAACTGCATTTACTTGTGGTATACTGTGTTGTGCACTCATGCACTGACCTTACACTTTGTACTTACACTGTGGGCATGTGGTCAAGATGCATACCTCATGAATTCAACTATTTTTTCATAAAATGAAATTTTATTATGATGTGTAAAAATGCTTTATCAGAAACTGAAGTGTGTTCTCATGGCACACTTCATGGCAGCACAGATATACCTCATTTTAACCAATAGATATTCTCTCTAAAATTATGTGCAAATCAATTTTTAAAAATCAAAATCTATGTTAAACACATTTTGGCAGTGTGCTATAATAAAAAAAAGTGTTGTGTCAAAGCTTTCTAGTGACGGTCAGTCCTACTGCTGTATGTCAGGTTTGCTCACAATGAGGTATTCCCACATAGAAATAACAATGCATGTATTACCCAGAATTTAATGTTGCGTACCTTATGTTCAATGAGGTTTTGTAATTTTTTTAGGCTGATGATTAAAATTCTTTCTCTCTAACCAGTTGTTTCCTTTGATTGGTTAACTGCATAATTTTATGTGAACAGATATTTTTTATCCGCCTTTTCTTTCCAATAGCCTCTCCTGAGCACCAAGCAAAGTCGGCCAGCTGCAGCCTGTCATGTCAACACGCTGGAGTCATTTACAGGGGTGGTCACTCCAGCTCATGCTAGGAGCCCTATTTTGACTACTTTTTTTCTATCACATGGGATTGAAAGTTTTCTAGCACATTTTTCATTATCACTTTTAAACTTTCAGCCACCATCACTACCTGGATTACTAGTGATTAGAACCACATGACAACACAAATTTTATTGCAATCCTAGTGTAGGAGTATTTTAAAAATATTTTAGAACAGTTTTAGATTTACAGACAAATTGAGCAGAGAGTACAGAGAGGTCCTAGGTGCAGCTACCCTCAATCTGTGAGTCTTTTTAAGGGCAATATCAGCCCATACTTTTTTTTTTTTTTTGAGATGGAGTCTTGCTCTGTCACCCAGGTTGGAGTGCAGTGGGGCAATCTTGGCTCACTGCAACCTTCGCCTCCCTGGTTCAAGCAATTCTCCTGCCTCAGCCTCCTGAGTAGCTGGGATTACAGGCGCCACCACCACACCTGGCTAATTTTTGTATTTTTAGTACAGACTGAGTTTCACCATGTTGGCCAGGCTGATCTCGAACTCCTGACCTCGTGATCCTCCCACCTTGGCCTCCCAAAGTGCTGGGATTACAGGCATGAGCCACCATGCCTGGCCCCCATACTCTTTATATAGGGAGTTTGCAAATGGCCTTCTCCTATGCCGCACCTTACATACATCCTAAAACTATTAGCATTTTAAGTATCTAGAAAGCACCCAGCCAAAACCCCACTTTTTATCCCTAAAAGGATATCCTTAAAGGACAAGTCCCAAAAGCAAACCTTGTTTGAAAGTTGTTCAGAAATTCAGCCGGCAGCCTTTGGGAGGCCAAGGCGGGTGGATCAGTTGAGGCCAGGAGTTCGAAACCAGCCTGGCCAACATGGTGAAACCCTGTCTCTACTAAAAATACAAAAATCAGCAGTGTGTGGTGGTGTGTGCCTGTAATCCCAGCTACTCTGGAGGCTGAGGCAGGAGAATAGCTTGAACCCAGGAGGCAGAGGGTGCAGTGAGCCACCTGGCCTATGAACATGGTTTCTTTCGAAGCCTTACTCTTTGGACCACAGGGCCTAATGAAGGTCCTATCACCATCTGGTGGCAGCATATCTTTGTTTTTGGAGAGAGGACAACATCTCTTGAAAGTGAGATAGGCCAGGCATGGTGGTTCATGCCTGTAATCCCAGCACTTTGGGAGGCTGAGGCAAGTGGATCCATTGAGCCCAGCAGTACGAGACCAGTCTTGGCAACGTGGTGAAACCCTGTCTCTAGCAAAAAAATACAAAAATAGCCGGGTGTGGTGGCACATGCCTGTAGTCCCAACTACCCTGGAGGCTGGGGTGGGAGGATCACTTTAGCCCAGGAGGTGGAGGTTGCAGTGAACTGAGATCATGCCACTGTACTCCAGCCTGGGTGAGAGTGAGACTCTGTCTTTAAAAAAAAAAAAAGACTGGGTCATGCCTGTAATCCCAGTACTTTGGGCTGAGGCAGGTGGATCACGAGGTCAGGAGTTCAAGACCAGCCTGGCCAAGATGGTGAAACCCTGTCTGTACAAAAAATGCAAAAATTAGCCAGGTGTGGTGGCAGGGGCCTGTAATCCCAGCTACTCAGGAGGCTGAGGCAGAGAATTGCTTGAACCCGAGAGGTGGAGGTTGCAGTGAGCCGAGATTGTGCCACTGCACTCCAGCCTGGGCAACAGAGCGAGAGTCCTTCTCAAAAAAAAAAAAAAAAAAAAAAAAAAAGGTGCATTGAGCAGTGATTTACTTAGGAACTATGGAGAACTGCCCCTGTGTTTAAAACCTAGATGGAGAACAAAGACTAGTAGGCAAAACAAAGCAGTCAGATGTTTTGCTAGGTTCAGAACATTGTAGTGAGTTAAAGAGCCACCAATGTGGCATTTAGAACACCTGAGTTTGAATCCCACAGAGGCTGGGGGCAAGTAGGCATGGGGCAGTTGCTTAATAGCTCTGCACTTTTACTACCCGACCTTAAAAGTGAAAGGTGAAATGATCTCTAAGGTCCCTTCATTTGACCACTACTCTTAGCTGTTGATCATACATTGCAATAATGTGCTTTAAACAGTTTCCCTCTTCAGCCTGAGCTAGCTAGGTCTTCTCTCCCTCAATCTCTGGTCTTTGGGGAAACAAGACCTCTTTGGTTGCTCTGAGTACAGTTCTTCTCATCTTGTCGCTAACCAATTTTGATACATGCTGGCCGGGTGCGGTGGCTCATGCCTGTAATCCTAGCACTTTGGGAGGCCGAGGCGGGCGGATCACCTGAGGTTGCGAGTTTGAGACCAGCCTGACCAACATGGAGAAACCCCGTCTCTACTAAAAATACAAAAAATTAGCATGGTGGCACATGCCTGTAATCCCAGCTACTCGGGAGGCTGAGGCAGGAGAATCGCTTGAACCCAGGAGGCGGAGGTTTTGGTGAGCCGAAATCACGCCATTGCACTCCAGCCTGAGCAACAAGAGCGAAACACGGTCTCAAGAAAAATAAAATAAAATAAAATAAAATAAAGATAGATGCCATCTCTCCTCATAGCCCCCTGAACTGCTATTCCTAGATTATTGGATTTAGTGACCAGAAATCACATGAATAAACCCCTTCACAGCTCCAGTCATTCCCCTTTCTCTTGGCTTCATTTCTTCCCCAATTCAGCCCAGACTCCAGGGTTCGTGACATCAACCATTCTCTTGCCAGCACCCCAGTGTCCTCACACTCTGTCCTTCTGCCACATCCACCTGGTAGTTCCCCAACTTTGGATCAGCCAGTCATCTCAGCCATCTGTCTTCTCTACTGTACCCAGGCTGCCAAGATGGCTTCGGGAAAATATGCCATCAAGTGGTCCTGGGCCAGCACACAAGTATCTCCTTCAGCCTTGGAAATTTATCTTCTGCTTCTGAAACTGAAGTTCCCGCACCTTTCCCCCTCCGTGGCTATTTCACACCTCCATTTCAAGTCTCTTGCTCCCTCTCTGCTGCCACCTTCCTCCGAGCAAACAGCCATACTAGTCAAGACTGGTTCAGAAGCTAGGCTCCCGTGAGGCAGGGGTAGGAAGATAACTTCAAACAAATTCTGAAGTCTCTTTGGTAGGTTTGTTTATGTAATGGCATTGGCAAATCAATTCTGAAACATTTTAGACATATTATATGCTTGAACAAATGAATAAATGTGTTGATGTTGTTGAAAGCCAAGAACTCATTATTTCTTTCCTTTTTTTTTTTTTTTTTGAGACGGAGTTTTGCTCTTGTTGCCCAGGCTGGAGTGGAGTGGCACAATCTCGGCTCACTGCAACCTCCACCTCCTGGGTTCCAGTGATTCTCCTGCTTCAGCCTCCCAAGTAGCTGGGATTACAGGTGCCCACCACCACACCCAGCTAATTTTTTTTTTTTTTTTGTATTTTTAGTAGAGACGGGGTTTCATCATGTTGGCCAGGCTGGTCTTGAACTCCTGACCTCAGAACTCCACCTGCTTCAGCCTCCCAAAGTGCTGGGATTATGGGCATGAGCCACTGCACCTGGCCAGAACTCATGATTTCTAAAACATGTATATGTCTGAACATACACATGTATGTATACACAAGTATGTATGTGCATGTGTGTATGCATATTCATATATGTAGATAATGTGTGTATGTGTATTCAGCTGTATCTGCTAAAAAGGGCTAAAATCAAATACATCCCATTAGCAATAAGAACATTTTGCACTGAGATCTTGGTCTCTAATACATTCCTCACTAAAAGGAATCAGGGTTCATTAGAGAAATGTCTGGGGCAATGTGGATATGAGATGAGGAGCCTGAAATGTTGTGTTATGTCAAAAAGTAAAAAAGTGCTGGGGGCATGTCACAGGATAAAGGAACCAACTTTAAGGAGCTCCCACTGGCCAAATCTGGGATATTAGGGCACCAAAATGATTAAGGACATTAATAAACTATAACCCATTGAAAAAATAGGAATCATGAGTTCATATCAATGAGAGAGAAAGAGAGGAAGAGCGCTCTTGTTTAAGAAGAATGAAGCTGAGGTCGATGGTGAATGTAGAAGTAGTGCTGCAATTGGGAATTCATTATTTTGCAATTATTGTAGTAAAATGGATCAGGCAAGAAGTACCTATGGATGCAAAATTTAGGAGGAAACTTGAGGAGCAAGATAATTGCATGGTTTTAAAGTGTCTCCACTCAGATTGCTTATTAGTTGGAAGGGAAAAAGTAGTGACTGTATAATAGGGCAATTGGACACCACCTTAACAGTGTGATTGTTTAGGGACAGATGGACATTCTGTGCCCTCTGATGGAAAGCCTGAGACGAACACATCACTTAAGTAGTATTCTGGTTGGAAATGCATATCTTGAATCTAATCATGAAAAAACATCAGATAAAACAAAAATAAGGAACATTCTGCCAAAAAGAATCTAGACTCTGGCATCAGGATGCCTGGGCTCAAAGGCTGACTCCATAGCTTTATGACCTTAGGCTTTATGACCTCTCAAAGATTCAATTTCCTCATCTGTAAAATGGGAACACAAACAAGACACACTTTTCAGAATTGTTGGGAGGACCGGACAAGAAAATGTATATAATGCACTTAGTAGAGTGCTCTACACACAGAAAACACTCGGGAGTGGTGAGCTGGCATCACTCTTGTCCACCCTTACTTCTGTTCCGTTCCTTTGTTCTATTTTTTTGAGACAGTCTTGTTCTGTCACCAAGGCTGGAGTGCAATGGCACCATCTCCGCTCATTGCATCTTCTGCCTCCGAGGTTCAAGTGATCCTTATGCCTCAGCCTCCCAAGTAGCGGGATTACAGCCACGTGCCACCATGCCTGGCTAATTTTTATATTTTTAGTAGAGACAGGGTTTCACCATGTTGGCCAGTCTGATCTTGAACTCCTGACCTCAAGTGATCTGCCTACCTCAGCCTCCCAAAGTGCTGGGATTACAGGTGTGAGCCACCATGCCCGCCCTCTTTCCTTTGTTCTTAGAGAAAAAAAAGTGCCCAACTTTGGGTTTAAGGCTAATCTCTCCACCTTATGCTTCAATTCAGTCTCTCTATTTTCCCAAACTTTCTGCATTGCTTTACCCCCTCTTGTCTTTCTCCTTCCCTACCAGCAACTTCGCTGTGGCCTCAAAACATGCCAGGCTTCTTCCATATTTAAAGAAAGAACATGCAGGCCAGGCACCGTGGCTCACACCTGTAATCCCAGCACTTTGGGAGACCGAGGTGGGTGTATCGCCTGAGATCAGGAGTTCGAGACCAGCCTGGCCAACATGGTGAAACCCGTCTTTACTAAAAATACAAAAATTAGCTGGGTGTAGTGACAGGTGCCTGTAATCCCAGCTACTCAGGAGGCTGAGGCAGGAGAATCGCTTGAACCAGGGAGGTGGAGGTTGCAGCGAGCCGAGATCACACCATTGCACTCCAGCCTGGGCGACAAGAGCAAGACTTCATCTCAAAAAAGAAAAAAAAGAAAAAAAAAAAAAGAACATGCCTTCTGATCAGTTGTGAATAAATAAATATAAAGAAAGTGCAGGCCGAGCACAGTGGCTCACACCTGTAATCCCAGCACTTTGGGAGGCCAAGGCAGGCGGATCAAGAGGTTAGGAGTTCGAGATCAGCCTGGCCAACATGGTGAAACCCCCGTCTCTACTAAAAATACAAAAATTAGCTGGGCATGGTGGCAGGAGGTGGAAAGTGCAGTGAGCCGAGATCACACCACTGCACTCCAGCCTGGGCAACAGAGCGAGACTCCATCTCAAAATAAATAAATAAATAAATAAATAACTTGAGACTGGGTAGTTTATAAAGAAAAGAGGTTTGAGCCGGGCACAGTGGCTCACGCCTGTAATACCAGCACTTTGGGACGCCAAGGCAGGCAGATCACCTGAGGTCGGGAGTTCAAAACCAGCCTGACCAACATGGAGAAACCCCATCTCTACTAAAAATACAAAAATTAGCCAGGCATGGTGGTGCGCACCTGTAATCCCAGCTACTTCGGAGGTTGAGGCAGGAGAATCACTTTAATCCAGGATGCAGAAGTTGCAGTGAGCCAAGATCGAGCCATTGCACTCCAGCCTGGGTGACAGAGTAAGACTCTGTCTCAAAAAAATAAAGTGTCTTCCTAAATTCTGCAAACCGTTCTAGTGTTGACAAAAAGAGCCAAACTTTATGTAATATTTGAAGAGATTTATTCTGAGCCATATATGAGGACCATGACCCATGACACAGCCTCAGGAGGTCCTTATGTGGTTCACAGCCACATGTGCCCAAGGTGGTTGCATTACAGCTTGATATTAGGGGGACAGAAGTTATAGGCAGACATCAATCAATACATATGGGGTGCCGGCTCAGTGGCTCATGCCTGTAATTCCAGCATTTTGGGAAGCCAAGACGGGAGGATTGCTTAAGGCCAGGAGTGTGAGACCAGCCAGCCCAACATGGCCAAACCCTGTCTCTACTAAAATGCAAACAATCAGCTGGGCATGGTGACACGTGCCTGTAGTCCCAGCTACTTGGGAGGTTGAGGAAGGAGAATCACTTGAACCCGGGAGGTGAAAGCTGCAGTGAGCCAAGATCACACCACTGCACTCTGCGTGGGCAACAGAACAAGACTCTGTCTCAACAACAACAACAACAACAAAATGTGGGGTATACATTGGTCCAGAAAAGCAGGACAACTCAAACTGGGGAGAGGGAAGTGCTTCCAGGTCATAGGTGGATTCAGAGATTTTCTGATTGGCAATTGGTTGAAAGAGTTATTATATAGACAGATCTGGAATAAAAGTTTTTATTATGTAGATAAATTGTATGTAGTTTTATTATGTAGATGAAGTCTCATAGGTGGCCACCCTTAGAGGCAATAGGTGGCAAATGTTTCCCATTCAGACTTTTAAAAGGTGCTAGATAGGCGGGGCATGGTGGCTCATGCCTGTAATCCCAGCACTTTGGGAGGCCGAGGCAGGCGGATCATGAGGTCAGGAGTTTGAGACAAGCCTGTCCAACATGGTGAAACCCCATCTCTACTAAGGGAGGAGAATCGCTTGAACTGGGGAGGTGGAGGTTGTGGTGAGCTGAGATGGTGCCATTGCACTCCAGCCTGGGCAACAAGAGTGAAACTCTATCTCAAAAAAAAAAAAAAAAAAGAGGTTTAATTGGCTCAGCTCTGTAGGCTTTACAGGAAGTATGATGCTGGCATCTGCTCAACTTCTAGGGAGGCCTCAGGGAGCTTACAATCATGTAGGAAGGCGAAGGAGGAACATCACATAGCAAAAGCAGGATTGAGAGAGAGAGAGGGAGGGGGAGGTGCCACATAATTTTAAATGACTAGCTCTCATGAGGACTCAATTATCACGAAGACAGCACCAAGCCATGAGGGATCCGCCCCCATGATCCAAACACCTCCCGCCAGGCTGCACCTCCAGCATCCATGGTCATAATTCAACATGACATTTGCACAGGGATAAATGTCCAAACTATATCAGGGGTTTTATTTTTAGTTTACACTAGCAAATTATCAAACCTTAGGAGAGGACTGTGGAAACCCTGATTTATAACCAGTTGGGCATAAAGGTCTTTATAAAAGGGAGGCAGGAGGATCAGACTCAGAAAAAGGACATGTGAATGATCCAGGATTTATGCTCCTTAGTTCAGCTAAATCTGGGTTCTTGTCTCATGACCAGGAAAAATTAGGCATGTGGCCACATTGAAGAATAGAATAGAATTTATTAAACGAAGGGAAAGCTTTCAGCAAGGAGAGGGGTCCTACAAAACAGTTTCCACTTCACAACTGAATACAAGGGCTCCCACACATGAGCTGAAGAGGCAAGGCTCCTCTCCAGCATACAGCATGAAATCCTAGTAGCTCCACCCTGATCCCCCCAGTGCGCATTCGGGCATGCCCACACAAGCCATGGGTAGTATCAGAAAGGCAACATTCAATTGGTTGAAAGGCATTATTCAGAGACAATCAATAGGGAAAGGGCGAACAAACAAGGGCAGAAGATCTCCCTGTGGGTTGCAGGTTTCATCTGGAACAAGCAGTCCGGTCTTTTAGCCTTCAGGCTGTTTTAGGCTTGAAGGTGGGGTTTTCACCAGGGACCCTTCCCTATCTGCCCAGGCATTTGTCTGCCTCCTGCCTCTATCATGAAGACAGAAGAGGTTGAACTGATGCCCTTTGAAGTTGGAGGAAGTGGCCAGAAGGCAAGGAATGCAGATGGCCTCTGGAAGCTTGAAAAGGGAAAGACACAGTTTCTCCTCTGGAAACTGCGGAAGGAATAGCGCCTTGGCAACACCTTGATTTTAACCCTTTAAGACTCATTTCAGGCCAGGCATGGAAGCTTATGCTGGTAATCCCAGACTTTGGGAGGCCAAGTCGGGTGGCTCACCTGAGGTCTGGAGTTCGAGACCAGCCTGGCCAAAATGGCGAAACCCCGTCTGTACTAAAAATACAAAAATCAGCCAGGTGTGGTGGCAGGCCCCTGTAATCACAGCTATTCGGGAGGCTGAGGCAGGAGAATCACTTGAACCCAGGAGGCGGAGGTTGCAGTAAGCCGAGATTGCGCCACTGCACTCCAGACTGGGTGACAGAGCGAAACTCCATCTCAAAAAAAAAAAAAAAAAAAGACTCATTTCAGGCAGGGTGCAGTGGCTCAGGCCTGTAATCCCAGCACTTTGGGAGGCCGAGGTGGGAGGATTGCCTGAGCCCAGGAGTTCGAGACCAGCCTGGTCAACATGGTGAAACCCTCTCTAGTAAAAATACAACAATTAGCCAGGCATGGTGCTGCACGCCTGTAATCCCAGCTACTCAGGTGGCTGAGGCAGGAGAATTGCTCGAACCCGGGAGGCGGAGGTTGCAGTGAGCTGAGATCATGCCACTGCACTCCAGCCTGGGTGACAGAGTGAGACTCCATCTCAAAAAAAGAAAAAATAAAGACTCATTTCAGATTTCTGACCTCCATAATGGTATGATAATAAATTTGTGTTGTTTTAACCCACTAAGTTTGTGGTAATATTCACAGCAGCGAAAGGAAATTAACAGCACTTAAATATTACAAAAAAATAGACCAGGCACAGTGGCTCACGCCTGTAATCCCAACATTTTGGGAGGCCAAGGTGGGCGGATCACGAGGTCAGGAGGTCAGGAGTTCGAGACCAGCCTGGCCAACATAGTGAAACCATGTTTCTACTAAAAATACAAAAATTAGCTGGGCATGGTGGCACACACCTGTAGTCCCAGCTACTCAGGTGGCTGAGGCAGGAGAATCGCTTGAACCCAGGAGGTGGAGGCTGTGATGAGCCGAGATTGCGCCAGTGCACTCCAGCCTGGGCAACAGAGCAAGACTCCATCTCAAAAAAATATATGTTTTTACAAAAAAAATCAATATGATATTTTGAAAATGAGATCACTGAGGTCCATTCTGGAAACTGGTCAGGGTGTACTAAAGAAATAAACCGCATACTTCATAAGGCCAGGGCATAAAGAAGGGTGGCATCATTTACACCTTTGGCAAAATGAGACTTAAGGTGCCCCAGTGTCGTGTGGGAGATCCTAAGTCTGTGTTGAAAACAATGACTGAGGCTGGGCACTGTGGCTCACGACTGTAATCCCAGCACTTTGGGAGGCCGAGGCAGGCGGATCACCTGAGGTCAGGAGTTCGAGACCAGCCTGACCAACCTGGAGAAACCTCGTCTCTTCTAAAAGTACAAAATTAGCCGGGTGTGGTGGCACACACCTACAATCCCAGCTACTCGGGAGGCTGAGGCAGGAGAATTGCTTGAACCTGGGAGGTTGTGGTGGGCCCAGATCATGCCATTGCACTCCAGCCTGGGCAACAAGAGCAAAACTCTGTCTCAAAAAAACAAAAAAGAAAAAAAGAAAACAAGGACCGATGCCAAGAAGGAGAATAATTTTTGCCTTTCCTCCAGTTCTCAGGATTGGAATCCAAAGACAGCATCCACGACTGTGCTGCCAGGCAACATGTTCTTTGTCATTTTTCAGACTTCTCTAGCGAACAAAGATAGGAAAGTAATGTTGAAAGGCTAGTGGAACCCTAACCAAACCAGAAAAATTTGCTATGCTTGAAAAGGAAAAGGGAAAATACTTTCCAAATATGGCTCCCAAGCTGAGATATTTGAAATAAATCTCTAAAGCACACAGATTTTGTGCAAGAGATGGGCTTCTCATGACACTATGCAGGGGAACTATACTTTTCAAAGGATGTTCTCTCTAAGGAACTGTTTTACATGCAAGATAACAGTTTTATTTTTTATTTTATTTATTGATTGATTTTTGGAGACAGAGTCTCACTCTGTCACCCAGGCTGGAGTGCAGTGACTTGATCTTGGCTCAACGCAACCTCTGCCTCCCGGGTTCAAACGATTCTCCTGCCTCAGCCTCCTGAGTAGCTCAGACTGCAGGTGTGTGCCACCATGCCCAGCTAATTTTTTTGTATTTTAGTAGAGTCAAGGTTTCATTGTGTTGGCCAGGCTGGTCTCAAACTCCTGAGCTCAGGTGATCCTCCCACCTTGGCCTCCCAAAGTGCTAGGATTACATGCATGAGCCACCGCGCCCGGCAAGACAATATAGATACTTCTTAGGAAGCTCGAGAAGGACAGGAGGAAAATGTAAGGCCAGCAAAGAGAGTTTGCCTATCCCTTTAGCTGGGTGACCCTTTTCAGTCATTCTAAGACAAATTGAACTTAAGTTGGTGGAAAGAACCCGAGAACCCCAGCTGTCAGGACTTCCCTTCCTTTCGTAGATATTGTGGTCGGCTCCCTAGCAACCCAGATCCTTAGGCAGGACAGGATTTCTCCACAAGTATAGTACTGATGTCTCCAGATACAGGGGTCAAGGGAAGGCCCCTTTGCCCTCTGAAGTTTTGCTGAAAAATCAACTCAAAAAAGGCAGATTAACTGGAAAAAAAAGGCATAGAAATTTATTGACATTAGCATGGTGTGAATCACAGAGTGATTGTCCACCCCTCTAGGTGGTTCAGAAGTTAATATACCATCCTAGAAAAACAGGTTGTAGGAGGGGGAAGAAGAGGAATTTGCTGTTGTTTTGAGACAGGGTCTTGCTCTGTTGCCCAGGCTGGAGTGCAGTGGCACGATCATGGCTCACTGCAGCGGCACGATCATGGCTCACAGCAGCGGCACGATCATGGCTCACTGCAGCTTCAACCTCCCTGGCAATCTTTCCACCTCAGCCTCCTAAGTCACTGGGACTACAAGCACACACCGACAAGCCCAGTTAATTTTTTCTTCTCCTTCTTTTTTTTTTTTTTTTTTTTGAGACGGAGTCTTGCTGTTTTGCCCAGGCCGGAGTGCAGTGTCGCAATCTCAGCTCACTGCAAGCTCCGCTTCCCAGTTTCCCAGCATTCTCCTGCCTCAGCCTCCCAAGTTGCTGGGACTACAGGTGCCTACCACCACACCCGGCTAATTTTTTTGTATTTTTAGTAGAGATGGGGTTTCACCGTGTTAGCCAGGATGTTCTCGATCTTCTGACCTTGTGATCCACCCGCCTCGGCCTCCCAAAGTGTTGGGATTACAGGCGTCAGCCACCGCGCCCGGCCTATTTTTTCTATTTTTTTGTAGAGCCAGGTGTCACTATGTTGCCCAGGCTGGTTTTGAACTACTGGACTCAAACAGTCCTCCTGCCTAGGCCTCCTAAAGTGCTGGGATTACAGGCGTGAGCCACTACGCCCGGCCAGGGTAAAGGTTTTGGGAGAGATTATAGGAGGGTGAAAGCCAGGGAGACCTTGATGCTTTTTCAGTTCAGTATGTCAAAATACCATACATTTTGGGGTATTGGTTTTGGAGCCCTAACACAGACTTTGATAAGTATCCCCTGAGGGCCAAAATTAACCCTGTTGAGAACCACTAGTCTAAGCCAATCATTGGTTTAGGTGGTGGTGGGTGACTCCTGTCCAGTAATTCATGAGAATTCTGCTGGGGAGGTTTCTGAGAAAAGGTTTCTTCCTCCAAAAAGAGCCAATTTGAGAGCCAGGCATGGTGGCTCATGCCTGTAATCCCAGCACTTTGGGAAGTTGAGGCGGGCGGATCATCGAGGTCGGGAGATCGAGACCATCTTGGCTAATACAGTGAAACCCCGTCTCTACTACAAAAAAAAAAATTAGCCAGGCATGGTGGCACATTCCTATAGTCCCAGCTACTTAAGAGGAGGAGGCAGGAGAATCGCTTGAATCTGGGAACAGAGGTTGCAGTGAGCCGAGATCGTGCCATTCCACTCCAGCTTGGGTGACAACGTGAGACTCCGTCTCAAAAAAAAAAAAAAAAAAAAAAGAGCCATTTTGTGATGAGCTTTGGTGTGCCAAAAAAGAGAGAACTATTTTTAAAAAGACACCTTCTCGAAGGCTGGACGCGGTGACTCACACCTGTAATCCCAGCACTTTGGAAGGCCAAGGCAGGCAGATCACCTGAGGTTGGGAGTTCGAGACCAGCCTGACCAACATGGCAAAACCCCGTCTCTACTAAAAATAACAAAAATTAGCTGGGCGTGGTGTTGGGCGCCTGTAATCCCAGCGACTCGGGAGGCTGAGGCAACCTCCTTGAACCCGGGAGGCGGAGGTTGCAGTGAGCCAAGATCACACCATTGCACTGCAGCGTGGTCAACAAGAGTGAAACTCTGTCTCAAAAAAACAAAAACAGAAACAAAAACCCTTCTCTCTTCTTCCTCTGACTATCAGTGTTGCATATGAGGCTCAAAACTATTTTGATACCGGCCTAAGGAGGAAGAGCACAGGGATGGAAAGAATCTAGGTATTTGGTAAGACTCTTGTGTCACAGCCTCATCCAACTCAGAAGGCTCCTTGAACTCAGGTCTTCCTATAAGGCAAAATAAATATAATAAATATATGCCGGCTGGGTAAGCTGGTTCATGCCTGTAATCCCAGCACTTTGGGAGGCCGAGGTGGGAGGGTCACTTGAGCACAGAAGTTCAAGACCAGCCTGGACAGCCTTGGACCAGGTTAGGATTAAGACAGGGGCTTGAATTTTGCTAAGATACAGGCCCAGTTAAACGATAGCTAGTCATTATTCTGGCGATCACGAGATATAGGAGTAACTTTCCCAATTACTCCTATAGATAACATCACTATTGTACAACTTAAGATTGGCCTTTTACGACGTTTTTCAATTACTTGAGGTTTTTTGGTCTTTTTATTTTTCTCCTTTTTGTGGAAAATGGGGTCTTGCTGTGTTGCCCAGGCAGGTCTCAAACTATCCTCCCACCTCTGCCTGAAATGCTGGGATTACAGACGTAAACCATCACACCTGGCAGAGATAACATCACTAACATAGAATCTAAGATTGCCTTTTTGAGATGTTTTGGTGGCTACTGACTCCACTCAGACCCACCACTCATGACATCTGGTCCTGTGGCCTCCATCCAGAGGCTGTCAAGGACCGCTTTCTATACCCCTATGATTTCATCCCCAACCAATCAACATTCCCCATTTGAGCCCCCTGCCACCAAAGCATCCTTGAAAAACCCTCACCTCTGAGCCGTCGGGGAGAGTGATTTGAGCGATAACTTAAGTTCTTCCACATGGCCCACACTGTGTTAATTAAACTCTTTCTTTACTGTAATGCCACAGTCTCAGTGAACTGATTTTGTCTGTGCAGCAGGCAGGAAGAACCCACTGGACAATTACGTGATCTCTCTCCCAAGTCAGACCGCCTCCCAGTCCAGGAGACTTTTTTTTTTTTCTTCAAGACAGGCTCTTACTCTGTCCCCCAGGCTGGAGTGCAGTGGTACAATCTCGGTTCACTGTAACCTCTGCTTCCCAGGCTCGAGCAATCCTCCCACCTCAGCCTCCTAAGAAGCTGAGACTACAGGTGCAAGCCACCATGCTCAATTAATTTTTTTTTCTTTTTTGCAGAGACGGGGTTTCACTATGTTGCCCAGGCTGGTCTCAAACTCCCGAGCTCAAAGCAATCCACCCAAGTGCTGGGATTACAGGCATGTGCCCTGCTCCCAAGAGGCTTTTAACTGGTAAATCCATTCAGCCTTCCCTGGGCTTCATTTTTTTCTGAGATGGAGTTTCACTCTTGTTGCCCAGGCTGGAGTGCAATGGCATGATCTCGGCTCACTGCAACCTCCGCCTCCCGGGTTCAAGCGATTCTCCTGCCTCAGCCTCCCGAGTACCTGGGATTATAGGCATGTGTCACCACGCCCGGCTAATTTTGTTTTTTAGTAGAGATGGGTTATCTCCATGTTGGTCAGGCTGGTCTTGAACTCCTGACCTCAGGTGATCCGCCCACCTCAGCCTCCCAAAGTGCTGGGATTACAGGCGTGAGCCACCGCGCCCGGCTTCTGGGCTTCATTATTGACCTCTTGGAAGCTTTTGACATATTGACTATCCTTTCTTTTTCCAAACTTTTCTGTTGACTTCAGTGACATGCTGTTCTAGTTCTGTTTCCTTCCCAGTTAATTCTGCCCCTTTTGACTTCCGTTATTCCTCTCACCACTGCAATATGGGTCAGCAAATATAACCCATCTTAGGGTCATCATACTGAACTGTATCAGGGAATGCCATTCAGATCATAGTCTTTGTGACTGGCCCCACTCTGAGTTATGCAGTGCACAGCCTAGGCAGCTGTACATAGCACCTCTTCCCTTATCTATACTGCTGACTTCGGTTACCTATTCTCTGCAGATTCTTCCCAAAACCTCATCAGCAGCTTCTGCCTCACACCATTGGAAAATATTGTGGAGCAGACTGAATCCCCCAACCACCCACCCCTGGCAAGAGGCTCTGTGCCTCCCCATGCTCACTAGCATCAGTGGGACAAGGCAATATTATTTGGCACCATCAATGCACAAATCCAAGAATAAATAATCCAACCAGGTGTGGTGACTCACACCTGTAATCCCAGCACTTTGGGAGGCAGGTGGATCACTTGAGTTCAAGAGTTTGAGACCAGCCTGGGGCAACATGGCGAGACCCCATCTCTACTAAAAATACAAAAAAAATAGCTGGGCATGGTGGTGCACACCTGTGGTCCCAGCTAATTGGGAGACTAAGGTAGGAGGATCGCTTGAGCCCAGGAGGTGGAGGTTGCAGTGAGCCGAGATTGCACCACTGCACTCCAGCCTGGGTGACAAAGAGAGACCCTGTCTCAAAAAAAAAAAGAAAAGAATCCCCTGCTAAATAGTCTCTCTGGCTCAGCTTTATGTTTCTAGATTCAGTTAGAAGCAACTTGTTTCTTACAACTTTATTTTTTATTTATTTATTCTTTTGAGACTGAGTCTCGCCCTGTCACCCAGGCTGGAGTGCAATGGCGCAATCTTGGCTCACTGCAACCTCCAACTCCCGAGTTCAAGCGATTCTCCTGCCTCAGCCTCCCGAGTAGCTGGGATTACAGGCACCCGCCATCACACCCAACTAATTTTTGTACTTTTAGTACAGATGGGGTTTCACCATGTCGGTCAGGCTGGTCTTGAACTCCCGACCTCAGGTGATCCACCCACCTCAGCCTTCTAAAGTGTTGGGATTACAGGTGTGAGCCACCGTGCCCAGCCAATATCTGTATTTCAATATAAAGTTTTTTAAAAAAAACCCTTTCCTATGCATAATTTCACTTAATGCTCATAATAACCCTGAGAGATACACAGTAGTGTTAGATTTAGATACAAAAACTGGAAATTAAAGTAGCTAAAATGACAAATGGATGCAGTGGAAAAGCCAGGATCCAAATCCAAGTCTTTCCCCTACAGTACTTCACTCTGCTCCAAGCTCAGATTCACCAAATGTTGTTTGATAGAACACGTGAGCTGGGGCTGAAGGAGCAGGGACAATGCCTTTTTCACTTTTGCCTCTGATAGCCTGTAGACTGGTAGGCACTGAAGTATTTGTTCACTTGTGCAATAAATATTTATTGAGCACCTCGTATGTGCTGGGCACTGAAAACACAACCGTGAACAGAGGCTGTCACGGTTCCTGAACTCATGGAGCTTTCATTCCAGTGGAGGAGACATAATTTCAGTGATAATGCTACGACGGGGCACAATGTGGGAGAAAATAAGAGGGAGGTGGCCAGGCGCGATGGCTCCTCACTCCTGTAATCCCAGCACTTTGGGAGGCCAAGGCGGGTGAATCACGAGGTCAGGAGTTTGAGACCAGCCCGGCCAACATCGTGAAACCCCGTCTCTACTAAATAGACAAAAATTAGCCGGGCGTGGTGGCGTGTGCGTGTAATCCCAGCTACTAGGGAGGCTGAGGCAGGAGCATTGCTTGAACCTGGGAGGCGAAGGTTGCAGTGAGCTGAGATCGGGCCACTGCACTCCAGCCTGGGTGACAGAGCGAGACTCCGTCTCAAAAAAAAAAAAAAAAAGAAAGAAAAAGAAAAGGGGGAGGTAATTTTAGAATGGTCAGAGAAGGTTTTTTTGAAAAGATAACATTAATCAAACGAATAAATGAATGAAAAGCCACTCGCTAGCGGATTCATTATTTGCTATACTTATTTAGAGTTTGTCAGTCACGAGACTGTTACGGCTCTGATGCTGAGTATCTTTTGAATCCTATGTTGATGATGCCCAAAAGGCAAGTGCAGAGATGAAGCATAATGAAGAATCCTTTTCAATTTCTTTTCAGTCCTCTGACCTTGCCTCTGCCGTCACGGTCACACTCCCCCACTGACACTCCCATTCTTCTGTTTCCGGACACTTGCGGCCTGGAAGCGCATGTGCAAGAGAAACCGTCATTCCTGGTGAAGGGCGAGCCCCCGGCAGAACGCATGCGCCTCTGTCCCTTAAGCCCCGCCCCGACCTCAGCGCCCCCTCGCGAGCGCCTGCCGTTTCTCGGGGCGGGACGGGGGGGCGGGGACTGGGCGGAGAGGCGCGTGCTGCTGCGTGCGTGCGCGCGCGCCGCGGGCGGGCCAGTGAAACCGGCGGCCCTGGCACGTGACCTAGGACCGGCTCACCGGGTCGCTTGGTGGCTCCGTCTGTCTGTCCGTCCGCCCGCGGGTGCCATCATGGCGGACGCGGCCAGTCAGGTGCTCCTGGGCTCCGGTCTCACCATCCTGTCCCAGCCGCTCATGTACGTGAAAGTGCTCATCCAGGTATGAGGCGTCGCCGCTCCCTACCCCGCCCGGCGCCCCGTTCGGTCGCTGCTGCTCAGGGCGCCTGAGGATCGGCTCAGCCTTGCGGGCCTTTCATTCTCCCGAGATGCTGCTGCTCCTCCGCTGCCCTTTACCTCCCCGCAGGGACAGCTTCCTCAGTCCCGCGGCCCCGCTTGGGGGCCTCGCCGAGCCCTCGCCTCGCCGCCCAGCGTTGAGGCCCTCTCCTCCCTTAGCCAACCGCCACCCGGCCCTGCCCTGCCCGGCGGATCCTCTGAACTTTGGTTCTTCGTCACTGAGGTGGATCCTGGCCGGTCGCCACCAAAGGCTTCCGAACCCTCCCTCTCGCCCCTCCGAAATTCACATTCACCACTACTCCCCCCAAAATCTCAGACGCAAAACACGAAATACTCAGTTGAAGACAAATGTGAAGTTAGGTGGGAACCAACATTTTATTTTTTATTCCTTTTTTTTTTCTTTTTATGCTACTGTTACTACTGCTTTTCTGTTCCGAGGTTTTCGCACCAGATACTGAGAGAAACACAAGGAGCTCATTCAGAAGTGTTAATGAAGGGGTTGCTCTGTCAGATTTCGGAAGGATGCATTGAGCGCTTTCCAGCAGCGGCCCATGTGGCTCCTGACAATGAAAATCACATTTGTCAGAGCTGGAAATTAGTGAAGCTGAGTTTTAGCGAGTTTAAACATGGGAGTTAGTTTCTAATCTACTGTCAAATAATTATTACATGGTATTTTATATTCACATGCAGGTAGGCCAAGTAAGTGATAGACTTAGTGTTTCCAGTTCCTTTGCTATATCCCTGTAATGGGCAGGTCATTCTTTTTTTTATGCTTTTACTGAGAGTTGACATAATTACCTCATGCACTGTGCCTAGGAATGGAACAGTTTTTAGAACCCCTGTCTCGCCGTCTACTTTTCTGTAAAAAATAGGCAAGACACTAGAGAGGGCCCCATTTCTTATTCTTGAGTTGTTGGGAATCCAAATTATTTCTTGCTGAGTAGACCTGTGTGAATTCAGATTCCATATGTTAAAGGCTATTGCAAATAAATTCTTTGTACTTAGAACAAAGACTGATTAGAATGTACTGTAACATCCAAAACAGAATTGGCACATTTGGGGCTAGATAGCATCGGAGGTGACAGCATGTTGCAGTATATAGTAAGAACCCTTGGGGCCGGGCGCGTTCGCTCACGCCTTCCCAGCACTTTGGGAGGCCGAGGTGAGCGGATCACGAGGTCGATGTTTGAGACCAGTCTGACCAACATGGTGAAACCCCGTCTCTACTAAAAATACAAAATATAGCCAGGTGTGGTGGTGCGTGCACGTAATCCCAGCTAGTCGGGAGGCTGAGGCAGGAGAATCGCTTGAACCCGGGAGGTGAAGGTTGCAGTGAGCCGAGATCGCGCCATTGTACTCCAGCCTGGGCAACAGAGCAAAACTCAGCCTCAAAAAAACAAAACAAAACAAAAAAGAACCCACTACTCAATACTTCTCTGGGAGACGGGGTTTTCTAATGATGTTCAGAGCTCTTGCCCCAAAAACTTTGAATATTCTTAATTCTGATTTCACAACATCTATGTGTTGCCAAGTAGCCCAGGAGTTTTGGTGAAATTCCCAAATGCTCAGTTGTAAAAATAGTTACTTGGGCCGGGCACGGTGGCTCACGCCTGTAAATCCCAACACTTTGGGAGCCTGAAACAGGCGGTTCACCTGAGGTCAGGAGTTAAAGACTAGCCTGGCCAACATGGCAAAACCCCCTCTCTACTAAAAATACAAAAATTAGCTGGGTGTGGTGGTGGGTGCCTGTAATCCCAGCTACTCAGGAGGCTGAGGTACGAGAATGGCTTAAACCTGGGAGATGGAGGTTGCAGTGACCTAGATC
The DNA here is from genome assembly GCF_000001405.40 of Homo sapiens. Classification (NCBI taxonomy): domain Eukaryota; kingdom Metazoa; phylum Chordata; class Mammalia; order Primates; family Hominidae; genus Homo; species Homo sapiens. The sequence continues at coordinate 47,640,479 of NC_000011.10, read as the reverse complement.
GTGCCACTGCACTCCAGCCTGGGCGACAAGAGCGAAACTCTGTCTCCAAAAAATAAATAAGTAACTAAATAAAAATAAAAATGGTTACTTGGTAGCACTTTCAGGGAGCTCAGACAGGAGTTATTTGTTTATTTATTTGTTGTTGTTTTTGAGATGGAGTTTTGCTCTTGTCACCCAGACTGGCATGCAATGGCACAATCTCGGCTCACTGCAACCTCCGCCTCCCAGGTTCAAGCGACTGTCCTGCCTTAGCCTCTTGAGTAGCTGGGATTACAGGTGTCCGCCACCACACCTGGCTAATTTTTGTGTTTTTAGTAGAGACAGGGTTTCACCATGTTGGCCAGGCTGGTCTTGAACTCCTGACCTCAGGTGATCCGCCCACCTTGGCCTCCCAAAGTGCTGGGATTACATGCATGAGCCACCACGCCAGCCCAGGAGTTACTTAATAGGACAGATTAAGAGTCACAACAATAATCAAAACTATGTCCTACAGCATTCATTCTGTCAAGTATCTGTAGTGTTAAAAATCCTGGGTATATTGTACAAAGACCATGGTAATCATTAACTATATAAAATGGACTTCATTAGCTGTTAATGACAGCCTGTGTTTTTTTGTTTGTTCGTTTGTTTGTTTGTTTTTGAGATGGAGTCTCGCTGTTGTCGGCCTCGGCTGGAGTGCAGTGACACAATCTCGGCTCACTGCAACCTCTGCCTCCCGGGTTCAAGTGATTCTCCTGCCTCAGCCTCCCAAGTAGCTGAGATTACAGGCGCCCGCCCCTACGCCCGGCTAATTTTTTAGTTCTAGTAGAGACAGGGTTTCACCATGTTGGCCAGACTGGTCTCGAACTCCTGACCTCAGGTGATCCATCCCCCTCGGTCTCCCAAAGTACTGGGATTACAAGGCATGAGCCACTGCGCCCGACCGACAGCCTGTTCTTCTAACATGAAGTTAGCTTGTAATTCTTTCCTAAGTGAATTATCCAGCTATATCTGCATTTGCCTTTTGAGTGTTTTGTCTGGGTTGCCAAATATGCAGCTGATGCTGGCGTAATGGATGTCTTCTAGTTTTGTTCAAATACAAAATGTGCCTTAGATTTTATTTAGAAGGTATTTTTGAGCCCCCTTAGTAAACTGTAGCTTTCCTAACGCAAAAGTTCCCTTCTTTCAGTTTGATATTAGCCTATTTCAGCTACATGGTTTACGTCATAGAATTTGAACCAAAATGAAACTTGGAGTTTATTGAACTCAGTATTACCAACAGAAGAAAAACCTACAAGAATGATGCTTCATCATTGCCTTGGAAAACCTATGCTGCATTTTTACTTGTGTTTAAAAATAACCCAAATTGTGTTCTTTATTCAAGACCTTGCAAGCAAGACATTTCTGGAAATATTGCTTTAATATTGATATATTCCATTGTTTTTAAAGGTGGGATATGAGCCTCTTCCTCCAACAATAGGACGAAATATTTTTGGGCGGCAAGTGTGTCAGCTTCCTGGTCTCTTTAGTTATGGTAAGTGCCTTTGATTTATTTGGGTTTGCATGACGTTGAGGACTGTGATAGGCAGGAGTTGTTATTGAAAGAAAATATATAGAAAGCTTGTTTCTTTGAAATTGTAGTATATCCATTTCTCTTGACCAGAACTTGACAACATCTCTGACTTGTGTTCTTAGCTCAGCACATTGCCAGTATCGATGGGAGGCGCGGGTTGTTCACAGGCTTAACTCCAAGACTGTGTTCGGGAGTCCTTGGAACTGTGGTCCATGGTAAAGTTTTACAGGTAAGAGGAAAATTAAATCAATCTTCCCATAGATGTTGCTTACCTGTTATGCATAGTTTGTTCTAAATATCAAGAGCAATTTAAAAGATACATTTATAACCCTGTCCTTTCTTCCTCTTGAAAAACACTTTCTTTTTTTTTTTTTTTTTTTTTGAGATGGAGTCTCACTCTGTCGCCCAGGCTGGAGTGTAGTGGCGCGATCTGGGCTCACTGCAAACTCCGCCTGCCGGGTTCACGTCATTCTCCTGCCTCAGCCTGAGTAGCTAGGACTACAGGCTCCCGCCACTGCGCCCGGCTAATTTTTTGTATTTTTAGTAGAGACAGGGTTTCACCGTGTTCTCAATATCCTGACCTCGTGATCCGCCCGCCTCGGCCTCCCAAAGTGCTGGGATTACAAGCATGAGCCACCGCGCCCGGCGGGACTCAGTGAAATTGTTGCTGTTACTTCCATGAAATTTACATATGGAAAGGCAGTTGTCATCTAGCCAAAGAGGTTTGTGTATAGACTTAGAGAAAAAGAGAAAGTGCTGCTTGAGACTAAGTTACTTTATGTAACTGTAAAGTAAGACAAACTTGAGGTAACCAGGTACCCTGAATATGTTCCAAATGTAGTCCAGTGAAATATTACAGGGTTGGTACTACACTTAGCATCCAAAGCTGCTTGTACAGTCAAGAAGAAGGATCTATGCAGGGCTGAGAAAATTATTAACCTTTACAAGAAATAATTTTGTAAACTGAACAAGAATTAAAATGAAATTCAGGAAATGTAGAAGACAGGTTAGATAATTATATCGATGGAGTAAATAACAAAGTATAGAAACAAGTGAAAATTTAGAGACCTGAAGCTATTAGAATTAATTCTAGCCAAGGACCTGGAATTTGGCCAAAATACATTACTTTGCTTTATCTTCACATTTGTTCTCTTGCCCGTGATTTTTTTAAACACAATTCTTTTTACAAGAGAAAATGTTGTCTATTTTTGAAATCTGATATGGCTAGAAAATAATAAAACTGACATTAAAAAATAAGAAAACAATAAAACTGGTGGTTACACAAGAAGGAGCTCTCAATTGATAATTTTATTTTCACCTAGCTCACATTCTATTTCCAAAATACGCCACAAAAAATTCCTCTTGCAAGAATTTTTCTCTGGGCTCTGGCAGTATTCATGATCTCTTCTCTAGAAGAGAAAAAAAAAACCTCTTGCTTGTTTTAGAAACCATCAGATACAAAGGAGAAAGTGAGGCGATTTCAGCTCTTCAGTCTTAATATCAATTCTCTGTCCTTTTATGCAGGGAAGAAAAGAGTCTTGCCCTAATTTGGTATTGGTCATGCGTTTTCCATGAGAAAAGTGGGAACCCTGGGCTATGTTTTTACTGACTTATTTTCTGTTAAAACTGAAAGTTCTTGGCCAGGCGCAGTGGCTCATGCCTGTAATCCCAGCACTTTGGGAGGCTGAGGCGGGTGGATCAGCCGAGGTCAGCAGTTTGAGACCAGCCTGGCCAACATGGTGAAACACTGTCTCTACTAAAAATACAGATGTTAGCCAGGCGTGGTGGTGGGCGCATGTAATCCCAGCTACTCAGGAGGCTGAGGCAGGAGAATCGCTTGAATCTGGGAGGTAGAGGTTGTAGTGAGCTGAGATTGAACCATTGCACTCCAGCAGTGAGCCGAGATTGCACCATTGCACTCCAGCTGGGTGACAAGAGTGAAACTCCATCTAAAAAAAAAAAAAAACAGAGTTCTTGAATTTTCTTTTTTGTTGTTGTTCTTATTTTGTAATTATTTCTTTAAATTTATTATTATTTTTTTAGAGACAAAGTCTCACTATGTTGCCCAGTCTGGTCTTGAATTCCTGGGCTCAAGCAGTCCTCCCTCTTCGGCCTTCCAAAGTGTTGGGATTACAGGCGTGAGTCACTGCGCATGTTCCCTTTTCGTTTTTTGGGTTTTTTTGTTGTTTTTTTTTGAGACAGAGTTTCACTCTTGTTGCCCAGGCTGGAGTGCAATGGCATGGTCTCGGCTCACTGCAGCTTCCACCTACCGGGTTCAAGCAATTCTCCTGCCCCAGCTTCCCACGTAGCTGGGATTACAGGCACCTACCACCACGCCCAGCTAATTTTTGTATTTTTAGTAGAGAGGGGGTTTCGCCATGTCAGCCAGGCTGTTCTCAAACTCCTGACGTCAGGTGATCCGCCTGCCTCAGCCACGCAAAGTGCTGGGATTACAGGCGTGAGGCACCATGCCCGGCCCCTTTTCTTTTTTTCTGAGATGGAGTCTTGCTCTGTTGCCCAGGCTGGAGTGCAGTGATGTGATCTCAGCTCACTGCAGTCTTTACCCCCCGGGTTCAAGCAATTCTCCTGTCTCAGCTTCCCAAGTAGCTGGGATTACAGGCGCCCGCCACCAAGCCCAGCTAATTTTTGTACTTTTAGTAGAGATGGAGTTTCACCACGTAGGCCAGGCTGGTCTCAAATTCCTAACCTCAGGTGATCCACCTGCCTTGGCCTCCCAAAGTGCTGAGATTATAGGCGTGAGCTACCGCACCCAGCCTTCCCTTTTCTTTTTTTTTTTCTTGAGACGGACTCTTGCTCTGTCACCTGGGCTGCAGTGCAGTGGCGTGATCTTGGCTCACTGCAACCTCTGCCTCCTGGGTTCAAGTGATTCTCCTGCCCCAGCCTCCCTAAGAGCTGGGATTAAAAGCGTGCGCCCCAATGCTCCGCTAATTTTTGTATTTTTAGTAGAGATGGGGTTTCACCATGTTGGCCAGGCTAGACTTGAACTCCTGACCTCAGGTGATCTGCCCACCTCGGCCTCCTAAAGTGCTGGGATTACAGGCATGAGCAACCACACCTGTCCCCTTTTCTTTTTTCAAAGAAGAGTTTTCATGACCATTTGCTTTTCTTCCAACTGACCAATATGTTAAACTTAGCAACAAGTTTATCTT